>NC_000008.11:144776558-145078636 GCF_000001405.40 Homo sapiens | reverse complement strand
TATATATGCACCCAATACAGGAGCACCCAGATTCATAAAGCAAGTCCTGAGTGACCTACAAAGAGACTTAGACTCCCACACAATAATAACGGGAGACTTTAACACCCCACTGTCAACATTAGACAGATCAGTGAGACAGAAAGTCAACAAGGATACTCAGGAATTTAACTCAGCTCTACACCAAGTGGACCTAATAGACATCTACAGAACTCTCCACCCCAAATCAACAGAATACACATTTTTTCAGCACCACACCTATTCCAAAATTGACCACATACTTGGAAGTAAAGTTCTCCTCAGCAAATGTAAAAGAGCAGAAATTATAACAAACTATCTCTCAGACCACAGTGCAATCAAACTAGAACTCAGGATTAAGAAACTCACTCAAAACCGCTCAACAACATGGAAACTGAACAACTTACTACTGAATGACTACTGGGTATATAACGAAATGAAGGCAGAATAAAGATGTTCTTTGAAACCAACGAGCACAAAAACACAACATACAAGAATCTCTGGGACACATTCAAAGCAGTGTGTAGAGGGAAATTTTTAGCACTAAATGCCCACAAGAGAAAGCAGGAAACATTTTAAATTGACACCCTAACATCACAATTAAAAGAACTAGAGAAGCAAGAGCAAACACATTCAAAAGCTAGCAGAAGGCAAGAAATAACTAAGATCAGAGCTGAACTGAAGGAAATAGAGACACAAAAAACCCTTCAAAAAATTAATGAATCCCAGAGCTGGTTTTTTGAAAAGATCAACAAAATTTATAGACGGCTAGCAAGACTAATAAATAAAAAAAGACAGAAGAATCAAATAGACGCAATAAAGGGGATATCACCACGGATCGCAAAGAAATACAAACTACCATCAGAGAATACTACAAACACCTCTATGCAAATAAACTAGAAAATCTAGATGAAACGGATAAATTCCTCGACACATACACTCTCCCTAGACTAAACCAGGAAGAAGTTGAATCTCTGAATAGACCAATAACAGGAGCTGAAATTGTGGCAATAATCAATAGCTTACCAACCAAAAAGAGTCCAGGACCAGATGGATTCACAGCCGAATTCTACCAGAGGTACAAGGAGGAACTGGTACCATTCCTTCTGAAACTATTCCAATCAATAGAAAAAGAGGGAATCCTCCCTAACTCATTTTAGGAGGCCAGCATCATCCTGATACCAAAGCTGGGCAGAGACACAACCAAAAAAGAGAATTTTAGACCAATATCCTTGATGAACATTGATGCAAAAATCCTCAATAAAATACTGGCAAATAGAATCCAGCAGCACATCATAAAGCTTATCCACCATGATCAAGTGGGCTTCATCCCTGGGATGCAAGGCTGGTTCAATATACGCAAATCAATAAATGTAATCCAGCATATAAACAGAACCAAAGACAAAAAAATTGGAAATCATCATTCTCAGTAAACTATCGCAAGAACAAAAAACCAAACACCGCATATTCTCACTCACAGGTGGGAATTGAACAATGAGAACACATGGACACAGGAAGGGGAACATCACACTCTGGGGACTGTTGTGGGGTAGGGGGAGGGGGGAGGGATAGCTTTGGGAGATATACCTAATGCTAGATGACGAGTTAGTGGGTGCAGCACACCAACATGGCACATGTATGCATATGTAACTAACCTGCACATTGTGCACACGTACCCTAAAACTTAAAGTATAATAATAATTTTAAAAAAGAAATTATCACAATAATAACAATAAAGGCCCTGTGTGTTATTTTATTATTTAAGTTGTTCATAACTTTAATGTAAATGAGGTAGAGTAATGAAGATCTGTAGACAAATCATGTCATTTATTTTTTTAATCTCAACAAAATATAACTTTTTTTTTCTTTTTTTTTTGAGACAGAATCTCACTCTGTCACCCAGGCTGAAATGCAGTGGCTAGATCTCGGCTCACTGCTACCTCCACCACCCTGGTTCAAGCGATTCCTCTGCCTCAGCCTCCCAAGTAACTGGGATTACAGGTTCCTGCCACCGTGCCTGACTAATTTTTGTATTTTTAGTAGAGACGGGGTTTCACCATCTTGACTAGGCTGGTCTTAAACTCCTGACCTCGTGATCCACCGGCCTCGGCCTCCCAAAGTGCTGGGATTACAGATGTGAGCAACCGTGCCCAGCCAACATTTCTTTTTTAAAGTGTGCAAGCTCTTTGACCATCATGTCTCTGTGCATCACTGCGATAAGATAACCAGAGCAACTGTTTCCACTGTGGAGTTGGGAGGAGATAAAGACACATCCTTTGTGCTTTGGGTGCTCTTATCAGGATCAGGGAGGTCCCTGCCCTCTGCTTTTATCTCTCTTAAATGTGCAAAGTACAGATTTTTATCATGAATAATTTTAAGAGAAATTAAAATTTCTATAATGTTCAAGGACATGCAGGTTTCCTATTGATCATGTTTCTTCTTGATAAATATTGTAACGTATTTAAAATATCTCATGTATTAAGAAATCATACTTAAGATGGGGCCAAGCTGGCCTATTAGAAGCAGCTGTGGCCTGCAGCTTTCACGGAGAGCAGTGAAAACTGCGAGTGAATTCTGCACCTTCAATTGAGGTATCCAGGTTCTTGCATTGGGACTGACTAGGCAGTCAGCTCGACCCACAGGGAGTGAGGAAAAGCAAATGGGGTGATGGCCCACCCAGGTGTGGCAAGAAGCTAAGGGAGCCCCCCACTCGCAGCCAAGGGGGGCGGTTAGGGATTGTGCGACTCTGCCCGGGAAACCATGCTTCTCCCAGGGATCTTTGCAACCTGCAGATCAGGAGGTCCCCTGGTGAGCTCAGCCATGGCCTTGGGTCTGAAGCAAAGAGCTGTGTAGAGTCTCGGCGGAGTGCTCGCTGGCTCACTGGGGCATGCGTGGAAACCCAGGAGTTTTGCATCCTCTGCCCCGAGAATTCCAGCAAATCGGGAGATAAATCCGTGCATTTCCCTAGGAAGGGGGCTGAATCCAGGGAGCCAAGTGACATCATTCTGAGGCCCCACTCCCACAGCACCTCACAAGACCCATTAGCTTGGAATTCCAGCTGGCCAGCGGCAGCAGGCTCGAGACAGCCGGAGATGGACCGAGTTCCCGGGGGAGGGCAGCCGCTCTATCTGTGGTTTGAGTTGGCTGCTCTAGCCTGCTGGCACTAGGGACCAGGAGGAATTCCCCATAACACAGCACAGCTGCTGAGCCTGATCGTGGCCAGGCTGCTTCTTTAAGTGAGACCAAAATCCATCCCTCCTCACTGGACAGGGCCTCCCCATCGGAATTTTAGCAACTCCAGCCAGA
This sequence comes from Homo sapiens, assembly GCF_000001405.40. Classification (NCBI taxonomy): domain Eukaryota; kingdom Metazoa; phylum Chordata; class Mammalia; order Primates; family Hominidae; genus Homo; species Homo sapiens. Next base: position 145,075,315 of record NC_000008.11, on the reverse strand, counting down.
GTTCTATGGACAGAACTCTGATTTCTCCCTGGGATGAAGTCCCCAAGGAGAGGGGTAGCTGCTGTCTCCCCAGTTCAGCCGACTCAGCCTTCCCAGCCTGCTGGCTCTGGAGAATCCCGGAGATCAGTACAGCACTCCTGCTCTGCCAAAGGTCAGCAATGTCAAAGATCAAAGGTAGATAAGCCCACAAAGATGAGAAAGCATCAACACAAAAATGCTGAAAACTCAAAAAGGCAGAATGCCTCTTCTCATCTAAATGACAACACCTCCCCAGCAAGGGCACAGAACCGACCCAAGGCTGAGATGGCTGAATTGACAAAAGTAGGCTTTAGGAGGTGGGTAATAACAAACCTCACTGAGCTAAAGAAGCACATTCTAACTTAATGCAAGGAAGCTAAAAATCATAAAAGAAATTAGAGAAGCTGATAACCAGAATATTCAGTTTAGAGAGGAACATAACTGACCCGATAGACCTGAGAAACACAACACGAGAACTTCACAATGCAACCACAAGTATCACTAGCAGAATAGGCCAAGTGGAGGAAAGAATCTCAGAGCTTCAAAACCATCTGTCTAAGACAGGAAGAGAGAATAGAGAAAAAAGAACAGAGAAGAATAGAGAAAAAAGACCAAAAAAGAATGAACAAAACCTTCAAGACATATGGGATTATGTAAAAAGACTGAACCTAACACTGATAAGGGTACCTTGACCCACCACGATCAAGATGGCTTCATCCCTGGGATACAAGGTTGGTTCAACACAGGCAAATCTATAAATGTAATTCCTCACATACACAGAACTAAACACAAAAACAACACGATTATCTCAACAGATGCAGAAAAGGCCTTCAATAAAATTCAACATCGCTTCATGTCAAAAACTCTCAATAAACTAGCTATTGAAGGATCACACCTCAAAATAATAAGAGCCATATATGACAAACCCACAGCCAATATCATACTGAATGAGCAAAAGCTGGAAGCATTCCCCTTGAAAACAGGCACAAGACAAGGATGGCCTCTCTCACCACTCCTATTCAACATAGTACTGGAATCTCAGCCCAAAAGCTTCTTAAGCTGATGAATCACATCAACAGAATCTCAGGATACAAAATCAATGTGCAAAAATCGCTAGTATTCCTATACATCAACAACAGGCAAGTAGAGAGCCAAATCATGAATGAACTTCATTCACAATTGCTACAAAGAGAATAAAATACATAGGAATACAGCTAACAAGCGAAGTGAAGAACCTCTTCAAGGAGGACTACAAACCACTGCCCAGAGAAATCAGATAGGACACAAATAAATGGAGAAGCATTCCATGCTCATGGATAGGGAAGAATTAATTCATGAAAATGGCCGTACTGCCCAAAGTAATTTATAGAAGAATTCAATGCTATTCCCATTAAACTACCAATGACATTCTTCACAGAATTAGAAGAAACTATTTTACAATTCTCATGAAGCAAAAAAGAGCCCAAATAGCCAAGACAATTCTAAGCAAAAAGAACAAAGCTGGAGGCATCACACTACCCAACTTCAAACTATACTATAAGGCTACAGTAACCAAAACAGCATGGTACTGGTACAAAAACAGACACATAGACCAATGAAACAGAATACAGAACTCTGAAATAAGACCATACACATACAACCATCTGATCTTTGACAAACCTGACAAACACAAGCAATGGGAAAGGATTCCTTATTTAATAAATCATGTTGGGAAAACTGGCTAGCCATATGCAGAAAACTGAAACTGGACATCTTCCTTACACCTTATACAAAAAAAATAACTCAAGATGGAATAAAGACTTAAACATAAGACCTAAAACCATAAAAACCCTGGAAGAAACCTTGGCAATACCATTCAGGACATAGGCATGGGCAAAGACTTTATGACTAAAACACCAAAAGCAACGGCAACAGAAGCCAAAATTGACAAATGGGATCTAATTAAACTAAAGAGCTTCTGGACAGCAAAATAAACTCATCAGAGTGAACAGACAACCTACAGACTGGGAGAAAATTTTTGCAATCTGTCTGACAAAGGGCTAATATCCAGAATCTACAAAGAACTTAAACAAATTTACAAGAAAAAAACAACCCCATCAAAAAGTGGCCAAAGGAAAAGAACAGATGCTTCTCAAAAGAAGACATTTATGTGGCCAAAAAACATATTGAAAAAAGCTCATCATCACTGGTCATTAGATAAATGCAAATCAAAACCACAATGAGATACCATCTCACACCAGTTAGAATGGCCATTATTAAAAAGTCAGGAAACAACAGATGCTGACGAGGCTGTGGAGAAATAGGAATGCTTTTACACTGTTGGTAGGAGTGTAAATTAGTTGGTAGGAGTGTAAATCCCATTATGGGGTATATACCCAAAGCATTATAAATTATTATACTATAAAGACACATGCACTGTATGTTTATTTCAGCACTCTTCACAATAGCAAAGACTTGGAACCAACCCAAATTCCCATCAATGATAAACTGGATAAAGAAAATGTGGCGCATATACACCATGGAATACTACGAATTTATGTCCTTTCCAGGGACATGGATGAAGCTGGAAACCATCATTCTCAGCAAACTAACACAAGAAAAGAAAACCAGACCAGGAGCAGTGGCTCATGCCTGTAGTCTCAGAACTTTGGGAGGCCGAGGTGGGCAGATCATCTGAGGTGGGGAGCTTGAGACCAGCCTGACCAACATGGAGAAACCCCGTCTTTACTAAAAATACACACAATTAGCCAGGCATGTTGGCACATGCCTGTAATCCTAGCTACTTGGGAGGCTGAGGCAGGAGAGTCGCTTGAACCCGGGAGGCAGAGGTTGCGGTAACCCAAGATCATGCCATTGCACTCCAACCTGGGCAACAAGAGTGAAATTTTGTCTCAAAAAAAAAAAAAGAAAGAAAAAGAAGAAAAGAAAACCAAACACTGCATGTTCTCACTTATAAGTGGGAGTTGAGCAAAGAGAACACATGGACACAGGGAGGGGAACATCACACACTGGGGCCTGTCGGGGGGTGGGAGGCTGGGGGAGGAATAGCATTAGGAGAAATACCTAATGTAGATGACGGGTTGATGGGTGCAGCAAACACCATGGCACGTGTATACCTATGTAACAAACCTGCATGCTCTGCCCATGTATCCCAGAACTTAAAGTACAACAAAGAAAATGTCACATAAATGCATAAAGTCTAGAACAGCTAATAAATTATAATGAAATGTCAACTATAATTCCAGCTCAAAGAGAACACCATGAAACCGTCTGAAACCTGGGAGGCAAGACCAAGCCCAGACAACCCTTGCAGAGTGACCCTGAAGAAGACGACAAGCCCTGCTCCAGTCACACCCGGAAGCTGACTGGTCCACGCACGGCCGAAGCATGAGGAAGCTCATCGTGGGATTCATTTTTCTTAAATTTTGGACTTACACAGTAAGGGCTTCAATTGACCTTACTCAAACTGGGGACTGTTCCCAGAGTATTCATCAGGTCACCGAGGTAGGACAGCAAATTAAAACAAACTTTCTGTTCTATAGTTATTATGAATGTATGGGAACATTAAAAGAAACTTGTTTGTATAATGCCACTCAGTACAAGGTATGTAGCCCAGGAAATGACCGACCCGATGTGTGTTATAACCCATCTGAGCCCCCTGCAACCACCGTTTTTGAAATAAGATTAAGAACTGGCCTTTTCCTAGGTGACACAAGTAAAATAATAACTAGAACAGTAGAAAAAGGAAGCCCCAAACAAATAACTTTAAGATTTGATGCTCGTGCAGCCATTAATAGTAACAAGTTAGGAACACGATGTGGTTCTCTTAACTGGGAAAGGAGCTACAGAGTACAAAATAAATATGTTTGTCATGAGTCAGGGGTTTGTGAAAATTGTGCCTTTTGGCCATGTGTTATTTGGGCTACTTGGAAAAAGAACAAAAAGGACCCTGTTCATCTTCAGAAGGGGGAAGCCAACCCCTCCTGTGCTGCCGGTCACTGTAACCCACTAGAACTAATAATTACCAATCCCCTAGATCCTCCTTGGAAAAAGGGAGAATGTGTAACCCTGGGGATCGATGGGACAGGGTTAAACCCCCAAGTTGCCATTTTAGTTAGAGGGGAAGTCCACAAGCGCTCTCCCAAACCAGTGTTTCAAACCTTTTATGAGGAGCTGAATCTGCCAGCACCAGAACTTCCGAAAAAGACAAAAAATTTGTTTCTCCAATTAGCAGGAAATGTAGCTCATTCACTTAATGTTACATCTTATATATGCGGGGAAACCACTATCGGAGACCGATGGCCTTGGGAAGCCTGAGAGTTGGTGCCTACTGATCCAGCTCCTAATATAATTCCAGTTCAGAAGGCCCAAGTTAGCAACTTCTGGGTCCTAAAAACCTCAATTATTGGACAATACTGTATAGCTAGAGAAGGAAAAGAATTTATCATCCCTGTAGGAAAGCTTAATTGTATAGGACAGAAGTTGTACAACAGCACAACAAAGACAATTACTTGGTGGGGCCTAAACCACACTGAAAAGAACCCATTTAGTAAATTTTCTAAATTAAAAACTGCCTGGGCTCATCCAGAATCTCATCAGGACTGGGCAGCTCCCGCTGGCCTATACTGGAAATGTGGGCACAGAGCCTACATTCAGTTACCTAATAAGTGGGCAGGCAGTTGTGTTATTGGCACTATTAAGCCATCCCCATAAAAACGGGTGAGCTCCTAATTTTCCCTGTCTATGCCTCCCGAGAAAAGAGAGGCATAGTTATAGGAAAGATAATGAGTGGCCCCCTGAAAGGATCATACAGTATTATGGGCCTGCCACATGGGCACAAGACGGCTCATAGGGATACCGAACCCCCATCTACATGCTCAATCGGATCATATAGTTGCAGGCTGTCTTAGAAATAATTACTAATTAAACTGGCAGAGCTTTGACTGTTTTAGCTTGGCAGGAAACCCAAATGAGAAATGTTATCTATCAGAATAGACTGGCCTTGGACTACTTGCTCGCAGCTGAAGGAGGAGTTCATAGAAAATTTAACTTAACCAATTGCTGCCTACAAATAGATGATCAAGGACAGGTGGTTGAAAACATAGTCAGGGACATGACAAAGTTGGCAGATGTGCCTGTACAGGTTTGGCACGAGTTTGATCCTGAGTCTTTATTTGGAAAATGGTTTCCAGCTATAGGAGGATTTAAAACCCTCATTGTAGGTGTATTGCTAGTAATAGGAACTTCCTTACTGCTCCCCTGTGTATTACTCTTGCTTTTTCAAATGATAAAAAGTTTTGTTGCTACTTTGGTTCATCAAAAAACTTCAGCACATGTGTATTATATAAATCACTATCGCTCTATCTCACAAAGAGACCCAGAAAGTGAAGATGAGAGTGAGAACTCCCACTAAGAAGTGAAAATTCTCAAAGGGGGGAAATACAGAATGAGACCACCACTTCTCCTGTTGTCCTTCCCAGCTTCTCCCCAATCTCCCCTTTTCCCTAGTTTATAAGGCAGGAGAAAAGGGAGAAAGCAAAAAGTTGGAAAGAAACAGAGGATAAATAGCGAGACGACCTTGGCGCCACCACCTGGCCATGGTGGTTAAAATAATAATAATGTTAACCCCTGACCAAAACTACTGGTGTTATCTGTAAATTCCAGACACTGTATGAGAAAGCACTGTGAAACTTTTTGCTCTGTTAGCTGATGTATGTAGCCCCCAGTCACGTTCCTCACGCTTACTTGATCTATTATGACCCTTTCACGTGGACCCCTTAGAGTTGTAAACCCTTACAAGGGCTAGGAATTTATTTTTTGGAGAGCTCGGCTCTTAAGACATGAGTCTGCTGATGCTCCTGGCCGAATAAAAACCCTCTTCCTTCTTTAATCCGGTGTCTGACGAGTTTTGTCTGCGACTCGTCCTGCTACAGGGTGACAGTAAATGATGCCAAACCCATGAAAAACAGATGGACTTAGAGTTGGTAAATTTATCAAACGTAATGAAGAAAGTAAATGAAACTTTTTTATTTTCTTTTCTTTTTTGAGACGGAGTTTCACTCTTGTCACCCAGGCTGCAGTGCAATGGCGTGATCTCAGCTCACTGCAACCTCTGCCTACTGGGTTCAAGCCATTCTCCTGCCTCAGCCTCCCGAGTAGCTGGGATTACAGGCGTGCGCCACTACGCCTGGCTAAATATCGTATTTTTAGTAGAGACGGGGTTTCACCATGTTGGCAAGGCTGGTCTCAAACTTCTGGAAGTGATCTACCTGCCTAGGCCTCCCAAAGTGCTGGGATTACAGGTGTGAGCCATGGCGCCCTGCCTAAAAGTAGATGAAACCTTTTAAGATGTTGAAGAAAAATATGCAAGCTGCAAAATTATCTTGTAAAGCAACCAAGAAGAATACTTTAAAATCCTCTGTGAGGAAGCAGCTCTGCTCTAAGAATGCTTAAAGGAGAAAATCTAAGGTTGCCAAAAATCCACTTGTTAACTTGAGGTCATAGGATTTAAATAACATTTTAGAGAGCCAGATATCTCTGCACACATTACAAAATAATATGGGTAAGTATGAACAAGCTTCCAAGGGAAATGGAACCTGATGATAACCATGCTAAGATAAGAGAAGCCCTTAGTTGAGTTCTGCCAGGTTAAGGAAGGGTTTGAAATTAGAGGTGATGGAGGGATTATAGCAGAAGGCAAACAATGATGTTAGTGACAAACAGCTCTGCAAGCCGAATCTGAATCTATGACCCCAAACCCTAACTTCACCTAATTTCTAACCCTTAGACCATCATCCCTAACACCTAATCTCTAACACTAACCACATCACTGACCCAAAACTAACTCTAACCCAATCCTCTCACTCTAAAACCTCACCTTCACCCTCTAACCCTTACTCTAACCCCTAAGACTCACCCTAAACCCCCCATCACTCTCTAACCCTCTCCATCACCCTCACCCTAACCCAACCCCAACCTGATCCTCAAGTCAAACTGGGACACTTAGGCTGGACAGACCAAGAATGGGTGGTTTTAACAGGGCCCAATAGGGAACCCCTGGAGGAAGAACCATGGATACCCTAGCAAAGGAAAAAGGGGAAGATCTGCCCTAGCATCTCCTTTACTCAAGCACTCCAAACTCATAGAAAAAGATTTGAGGAGCAAAGAGCCAACCACCAATGGGGGATGCCGGAGGGGCAGCAAGGTGATAAGATCCAAAAGATAAGGACAGTCCTAGTCCAATCATCCCAAGTTCCTAGTGGACAGTTAGTTTATTGGCTCATTCTAATATGGAAGACCAAACATCAGACCCATGAGGCATCTCACAAGAGACAGGAGTATTAGAAGATTTAGCAAAAGCGTGTTTAGGTGAAATGTAAATGCAACAGTGTTTTCATGGGCACATAACAAGACAGGGCTGGGTAGTGGGGAAAAGACCTGGTCTGAATTGTGAAGTGAACCAGGCTTCTGTTTCCTTGAGATGCAGAGTTCTAAACCCCCTTACTTGAAGCTCTGCATCTGGGTTGTAAATCAAGGAATCTTTTTGAGATCAGACATTTCCTTCCTACTGATGATTTCTAACAGCAAAGTGGTTGTCCATGATTTTAATAAACAAGGATTCTCAGTGGGAAAACAGACACTCAATGGGGTCATTATGACACTTTAAATCTGCAGTGACCATGCAGGAAATCTGTTTCCTAAATCTGTTACCTCGGCCTGATGAATGATAGGGCAGAGCTTTCTCACACAAAGCTGATGTTTACTTTCCTGGAAGCCAGTTATGCTAAGATCTGGAGGAAGAATAATCCAGGCAAAAGGAAGAGCAAGGTTGAAGACCTTGAATTAAGTCCAGTTACCCCAGGAGCAGAGGGAGACAACATCAGAGAGGCCGTCAGGAGCATAAACATGTGCAGGCCTAGGCAGGGCCTTGTACATCAGCCTTCATATCATATCCTAGGTACAGTGAAGTCACTGAATCAGAAGACAGTGATCCAACATACATGAAGGGGCAGTCTGGCTAACACAGTAGGCAGGGTAAGAACAGTCATTAAGTAGAATGAGCAGCAGTGAGGATAAAGAAAACGTGAAATACTTGAGATTTATTTTGAAGACAGATCTGATATGCCAGTTGAAGTATTAAAAGTATATAAGTAATACCAGCACTTTGGGAGGCCAGGGTGGGTGGATAACCTGAGGCCAGGAGTTCAAGACCAGCCTGACCAACATGGAGAAACCCCATCTCTACTAAAAATACAAAATTAGCCGGGCATTGTGGTGCACACCTGTAATCCCAGCTACTCGGGAGGCTGAGGCAGGAGAATCGCTTGATCCCAGGAGGCAGAGGTTGCAGTGAGCCAAGATCACACCGTCACACTCCAGCCTGGGCAAGAAGAGCAAAGCTCCTCAAAAAAAAAAAAAAAGAAAAAAAAGTATGCAGTGCTGGGGAGACAGCAATTGAGGATGACACAGGCTTGCTGCCAAATCAACTAGACAGGCATGTAGGGTCCAGCCCCACAGGGTCGGTGGGTTTTCTCCCCGTGTGCAGAGACAAGAGATTGGAGAAATAAAGATACAACACAAAGAGATAAAAGAAAAGACAGCTGGGCCTGGGGGACCACTACCACCAAGATGCGGAGACCTGTAGTGGCCCTGAATGCCAGGCTGCGCTGATATTTATTGGATACAAGACAAAGGGGCAGAGTAAGGAGTGTGAGCCATCTCCAGTCATAAGTAAGGTCATGTGGCTTATGTGTCCACTGGACAGGGGGCCCTTCCTTGCCTGGCAGCCGAGGCAGAGAGAAAGAGGAGAGAGACAGCTTACGCCATTATTTCTGCATATCAGAGACTTTTAGTACTTTCACTAATTTTGCTACTGTTACCGAAAAGGCAGAGCCAGGTGTACAGGATGGAACATGACGGCAGACTAGGAGCATGACCACTGAAGCACAGCATCACAGGGAGATGGCTAGGCCTCCGGATAACTGCGGGTGGGCCTGACTGATGTCAGGCCCTCCACAAGAGGTGGAGGAGTAGAGTCTTCTCTAAACTCCCCCAGGGAAAGGGAGACTCCCTTTCCTGGTCGGCTAAGTAGTGGGTGTTTTTCCTTGACACTGATACTACCACTAGACCATGGTCCGCTTGGCAACGGGCATCTTCCCAGATGCTGGCGTTACCGTTAGACTAAGGAGCCCTCTGGTGGCCCTGTCTGGGCATAAGAGAAGGCTCACACTCTTGTCTTTTGGTCACTTTTCACTATGTCCCCTCAGCTCTTATCTCTGTATGGCCTGGTTTTCCCTAGGTTATGATTGTAGAGTGAGGATTATTATAATATTGGAATAAACAGTAATTGCTACAAACTAATGATTAATGATATTCATATATAATCATCTCTATGATCTATATCTAGTATAACTATTCTTATTTTATATATTTTATTATACTGGAACAGCTTGTGCCCTCGGTCTCTTGCCTCAGCACCTGGGTGGCTTGCCGCCCACATCTCCCCCCTTTTTATTAACTAGAATCGCCATCGCCACCATTGCTCGTCGGACTTCGGACTTGTTTTTGGACTTCTTGGAGGCATCTGCAGACTAAAAGGAGACAACATAAGCATACCAATATTAATAATGCCAGTGACAACAATGATCCTCCGAGGGGTTTGATCCATTTAAAGGGATTAAGATCAGATAGTTCTTTAGTTATTCCTTCAAAAATGTCTGAGCCAGAAACAGTGGATAAATGAGCTTGTGAAGCCTCGAAAATTTGCTCTTTAAATTTTGAAATATCCAAGGTTAAGTTATCATCCCAGGCTTTTAACTGTCTTGAGACCTTTTCCCAGCTATGCTGATCTTTATTACAAGCATAAGGCATTATGCAATAATCAGAAGTATTCCAATCACACTGTAATTGCATACAATGTTCCAAATTCGTAACTCTGTCTCCCAGCCAGATTACACTCTGGTGAACATCATTAATTTGATTAGCTAATTTTTGATCAATTTGAGCCTGAGAATTCCAAGGTCTGGAGGCATTTTTTTGCCATGCTTCAACATATTGAGTGGTTTGAACAGAATTGTGGATGGCAACTCCAGCGGTTGCCACTGTTGCAGTAACTGCAATTAGACCTGCAAGGACTGTAACAAGAGTAAAAATAAATCCCTTTGTTCTTTTGAGGATACCTTTAAGAACTTCATTGACTATGTGTATAGAGGGGGAAGACTCCCAAGGACGATGTAAAGAAACTGGTATCCATACCCCTCCCTAGCCCTTACCAAGAGAATACTTGTTGTGGGATTAAAAGTAGCATCAATGCACGTGAACAGCTTACACTTATCACATTCTGTAGTTTGTGTATTGGGAATGATAATTATATTTCCAACCAACAGCACGTAAGGGGGTTTGACACAGCTCCTGATGAGTATCATCTGTTCAGATATCAAGGTGATGTTGAATGTGGGTGTTTTGGTATTAGTGTGAAGGAGTTGATAGGTAGTGTTCCATATCCTTATTCCTGTCATAGCTGCAGCTAATTTCCATAATTCAGGATGTTCTGGGGTAACAAAGGGATGAATCATTTTTGGTCTAGGAAGAACAATGCCTGCAGCCATCCATTTAAATGGGTAAGGAGACACCCATTGTCTCAACCTGTATGACTGCCATCCATCATCTATATAATCTAACAAATAATTAAACTCCGAGCATGAGGTTTTTTTGCCAAAGCAATCTTGCCACTAATGCCCTTTTGGAGCCCAACCAATAACAATACCCGTGGCTAGACTTTGGAGCACAACAGCCTTGGGAGCATTACAATTATTCCATAAAATTGAAGTCACTATAAAAGGTCGCTTTGTAGGTTTCTTTGGTCAGTCTGGCAGTCCTTTTATTAATTTTAGTAGTGACAGGAACTCTCCATTCCTCAGGTGGATTAAGTTTGACAGTGAGAACTTGAAAAGAATTGGTATTGAACACATTATATACTCGATAAGAATCATTTGTAAAGGACGGTACGGTCCACATCCAATTCTGGTAAGAATAAGCTAAACAGCCAGAAGACATCCCAATGCATAGTGGTGGATATTTATAGCCAATTGACAGATTAAAGTGCATACTTTCATCTTCCGGTTGAGCTGGAAACCTATCATCATTAGGGACTGGGATGAATGCACTATTATTAGTGTAAACTTCTACTGGGGAGTCCATCCAGGAGACAGACCAAATTAAAGGGGGAAAAGGAACATATGCCCAGTAAGTATAATTTTGAGTTGCCCCAACCGGTGGTATACTTATGGCTGCACTGACTACCATAAAGGCAGCCAGAATTATATTACCTGTTGTTTCTGGGATTCCTTTTTCTTTTAATAAATTTTCTGTTTGATGAGACAAAACTTTTATTTGACCCCATGTTGGTGGAGTTTAATGAGAGGTGTTATATGTCACATGGCGAGATCTTGTCTCAATGTCGAGGTCATGAAGTTTATGTGTCAGGCAGCAAAAGTTGCTCTTTGGTTTGAGGAGTCTTTGCCTTTTGTTTCCGGGAGCGTTTCATCTTTGGAGTTATGGTACAATTTTAATTGTCGGGAGGGGACCCACATGGGCTGTAGTCCTTTTCCTGGGGAAACACAAGCAAAACCCCTACCCCATGTTACAACTGTGCCTAAGTCCCATTGTTAGTTTTTGAATATTTTCACCATACCCGCATTCCTTTTTGTGGATCAAATTTATTTCCAGTGAAATATTGTTCTGCTGTGGAAAAAGGTTGATTTCTTGCTATGTTTAAGAAATTTAGGGTAAAAAGAGCCAGATTTAATTGAGCATGAGGAGTAGCAGCATCCCTCTTTGTTTTAGTGTCCTGTTTTCAAAGTTGATTTTTGAGTGTTTTATTGGCTCATTCCACCAAGGCCTGTCCTTGAGAGTTACAGGGGATGCCAGTTGTGTGAGTAATTGCCCATGTTTGAGTGAACTTTTTAAAAGCAGCACCAGTGTAGCCGGGGCCGTTATCAGTTTTCAGTTTCTCAGGACAGCCCATAACCGAGAAACATGAAAGCACATGTCGTTTACCATGAGCTGTACTTTCCCCTGGGTGACAAGTGGCCCAGATAAAATGAGAAAAAGTGTCGATAGTTACATGTATAAAAGAGAGCTTGCCAAAAGCAGGATAATGAGTCACGTCCATTTGCCAGAGAGGGTTCTGTGAAAGTCCTCTAGGGTTAACTCCTGAAGACAGTGGCTGTAAAATTAACACTTGGCAAGTAGGACAGTGGCGCACAATGGTTTTAGCTTGTTTCCATGTGGGGGAACTTTTTTTGGAGTCCCACAGCATTGACGTGAGTTAAGGCATGAAAATTTTCTGCATCTGTAAAAACGGGAGTATCAGCTCAGGCATTTGCTGCCGAGAGGGGTCCAGGGAGGGATGTGTGGGCCCGAATGTGAGTAATGTAGAAAGGAGAAGACCTTGCTCTGATCACAGACTGAAACCTTTGAAAAAGAATGAGTAGGTTATCATCAGGAAGAAATTTGATCAAGGCAGTTTCAATGTTGCCAGCAACATGTACTACATAAGCTGAGTCAGAGACAATGTTAACTGTTTTAGGGATATCTTCAAGGACAGCCATAAAGCAAGCAGCTCAGCTCGTTGTGCTGAAATAGCCCCTGTGCTAAGAACACGTTCTCTTGACCCTGTATATGCTGCTCGGCCATTACAGGAAGCATCAGAAAAAACAGTGACAGCTTCAGCTAATGGGGTGTTTCTAGTAATGTTAGGAAAAATCCAAGAAGTGAGTTTAAGGAACTGAAATAATTTCGCATTAGGATAATGATTATCAATTATACCCGAGAAACCTGCCAAATGTACTTGCCAAGTGATGCAAGTAGCAAAAGCCTGTTCAACTTGTAACTGGGTAAGGGGAACAATGATTTTTTGGGGCTCTGTACCCAAAAGACGAAGGACACGAGAATGAGCCTGACCAATTAAGATAGAAATTTGATCTAGGTAAATAGTTAGTGTCCATAAAGAGCTGTGTGGAAGAAAACACCATTCAATTAAATTATGTCCCTGAATAATGAGTCCTGTTGGTGAATGTTAAGTAGGAACATTACTGCCCCCTGCCACCACAGGATCAGCGTCAGTAGATCTCTGTTGCACCAGAGATATTTCTCTGCTGCCTGGAGAGCCACCTATTGCTGTTCCCACAGGTGTTTTTGGTCCCTTGCCGACTGGCAGTGTCGGTTTGCTACTGGGTCGTTTGCTACTGGGTTAAGTAGGAAAATTTATTAAAAGAAAAAGAAATTCCAGAAACGACGGGTAATATAATTCTGGCTGCCTTTATGGTAGTCAGTGCAGCCGTAAGTATACCACCAGTTGGGGCAACTCAAAATTATACTTACTGGGCATATGTTCCTTTTCCCCCTTTAATTCGGTCTGTCTCCTGGATGGACTCCCCAGTAGAAGTTTACACTATCTATCAACATTTCAAAAGGTAAATGTGGATTCACTCTGGTAACCTGAGACTGTTGAATGCATTTTTCTATAAATTGTAATTCAGAATCTGCCTCAGGAGTCAAGGACCTTTTGCTGCATAAATCAGGATTGCCCCACAACGTTGCAAAAAGATTAGACATAGCATAAGTAGGAATGCCTAAGGAGGGAGGAATCCGATTAATGTCTCCTAGTAATTTTTGGAAATCATTTAGAGTTTTTAGGGAGTCTCATCTGAGTTGAACTTTTTGAGGCTTAATGACCTTGTCCTCTAGCTGCATTCCTAGTGATAAGGGTAAGAAGTCTGAATTTTTTTGGAGCGATAACCAAGCCAGCTGCTGTAACTGCTTGTTGTAATGCAGAAAACCAAGATATTAATACAGAGCATGAAGGTGCTGCACAAAGAATATCATCTGTGTAATGAATAACATAACATTGGGGAAATTAATCTCTTACTGGCTTTAATATGCATCCCACATAATATTGACAAATAGTAGGGCTATTAAGCATACCTTGAGGTAGGACTTTCCAATGGTAACGTGCTGCAGGAGTGATGTTGTTAAGGGCTGGAACAACGAAGCAAATTTTTCAAAGTCCTGAGGGGCCACAGGAATGGTAAAGAAGCAATCTTTAAGGTCAATGATGATAAGTGGCCAATACTCAGGAATCATAGTGGGGGAGGGCAAACTGGGTTGTAATGTTCCCATAGGCTGACGGACAGCATTTACCACCTTAAGATCAGTAAGCATTCGCCACTTACCAGATTTCTTTGGGATAACAAAGACAGGTGAATACCAGGGAGAAAAAGAGGATTCGATGTGTCCCAATTTTAACTGTTCAAGAACCAAAATATGAAGTGCCTCCAGCTTATTTTTTGGGAACGGCCACTGATCTACCCAGACCGGTTTCTGAGTTTTCCAGGTCAAAGGGATGGGATCTGCAGGCTTGATAGTGACCGCTTCTAAAAAGAATAACCAAGTCCTGTAGTCTGATTCATCAGTAGGTATAATAGGCTCGGTGATGCCTTGTGCTAATTTTCCTAAGCCCATACCTTGAACAAATCCCATTTTGGTCATAACATCTTTACTCTGCTGGCTGTCATTGCCTTCCGGAAAAGAAATCTGTGCCCCCCACTGATATAAAAGATCTCTTTCCCATAGGTTAACAGGAATGCGTGTAATGAGGGGGCAAATAGTTCCAATAGTTCCAATATTTCCAATAGAAATATCTCTGGTACAACAGAGATCTACTGCTGCTGATCCTGTGGTGGCAGGGTCCTTCAGGGCTTGTGCAATGTAAAATTGTGGAACTTTCATATACTTCTGAAGCCTGACCAACACCAACTAATCCTGTGGACGCATGCTTCTCTGGCCAATGTCGGGGCCATTGATGTAAAGCGATAATAGAAACATCAGCGCCCCTATCAATGATTCCCTCAAACTTTCTCTCCTGAATATGCACGGGGCACACAGGATGAGTGTCAGAAATTTTGCTGGCCCAATAAGCTGCTTTACCTTGATAATCTGTGCTACCAAAACCTCCGTTTCTCGTACAAGAACTGGATCCTAAAGGAATGTAAGGAAGTATCAGAAGTTGAGCAATGCAGTCCCCAGCTGCCACATTCCAAGGGACTGTAGAGCTAATGACAATATGAATTTCACCTGAATATTCAGAATCAATTACACCAGTATGTACTTGAACACCTTTTAAGTTTAGACTTGAATGACCCAGTAGCAAACCGACACTGCCAGTCGGCAAGGGACCAAAAACACCAGTGGGAACAGCAATACGTGGCTCTCCAGGCAACAAAGAAATATCTCTGGTACAACAGAGATCCACTGCCGCTGATCCTGTGGTGGTGGGGGACAAGCATTGTACTGAGATTCGTGCTGGGGCTAAGCCGTTAGATCTTGTGGCACAAATTGCTGAAGTGGGAATCAGGATGGAGGTTGAATGGATTGGACTGGGAAGGCTCCCGTCTGGCTGGACGCTGGGGGCTGGGAGCTGAGGAGTGCCTCATTGTTTAGAGGGGCCTGGGTCCGGCCCCTCATCCTGTTTTCCTGGATGTTAAGAGGCTGTAAAGGATAACCATCAATATCAAATCTTGAATGACAGTGAGTGGCCCAGTGAATTCCCTTTCGGAATGATGGGCATAAAGTAGAAGCTGGGACTTTTGGTTGCTGAAAAATTTTTTGTTGTTGGTGGTGTTGTAAAGAACGGCGACCTGTACGCCGGGGGGAATTTCTTTTTATATGTCCTTTCTGGCCGCATATAAAGCATTGGCCAGAGAATTGTCCAGGCATTCTAATAGAGGCCATAGCTCATGCCATGATCATTGCTGTATGCAGAGTTCCTCCCACCCCTTCACAGGCTTTAATGTAGGAGGTGAGTATTTCACCACCTGGTGGAATTTTGCCTTTGACGGGAAGAAAAGCCGCCTGACAATCTGGATTTGCTTGTTCATAAGCCATGAGTTCTACAAGTCATTGGCCATGGCTATCAGGGATAGCCTTTTCTGCTGTGTCCTGGAGATGAGCAATAAAGTCTGAGTAGGGTTCATGTTGTCCCTGTCTGATGGCCATGAAAGATGGGCATACTTTACCATCATCTTGAATCTTGTCCTAAGCATTTAAGCAACATTTCCGCAATTGTTCAATAATCTCATCATTTAGTATAGTTTGGTGTCGAATTGCAGCCCACAGACCCACTCCCAGTAACTGGTCAGCCGTAACATTAGCAGGAGGATTAGAACCCTGATTAAGACAAATGCATTACTGGACAGCATCAACCCACCAAGTCCTGAATTGTAAATACTGGGACTTAGGTAAGACTGACTTTGCTAAAATTTCCCAGTCATAGGGAACCAAACATTCACCTTCTGCCAGGGCTTTTAATGTGGAAATGACAAAAGGAGAGTTGGTGCCATATTGTTCTACTGATTCCTTGAACTCTTTGAGAAATTTAAAAGAAAAACTTTCGCAAGTAGCAGGGTATAGCTGAACTTGACCTGGATGTATGGGGTCAGGTTGAACTACCACCTGAAGAGCTGGAATGCCAGATACAGGCTGTGCCCCAGCGGCAGGCAATTGCGGAGCCTCATTATTACTCTGAGCAGCCTGTCGGGCTGAAGGGCATGATTATCAGCGTCTTGATCTTGATAAGCAGCGGGGTCAGCCGCCTGCTGAGCAGGATCAACAATGGGCTGTGGGTGATTTTGTGCTGCTGGGGTGGCAGGTAGTGTACGTTGTAAAACTACAGGAAATTGCCAGGCTTCAGGATCCCTGTATTCCCTTGCCTGAGCTATATCCCTCATAAGTGGAGTGTCATTTTCAAAGATACATGTAACTTGTTGTTTTTGCGAGGCAATGGTAGTGTTGGCAACAGCAATAGCGACTGGACAAGGAGCAGAAAAAAAGTGGGAATTTTGAATAGAGGGAGAGTTGAGAACCTGAAAGCCAGGATGAGAAGAGATTACCTGCTAAGCAGGTCTTTCATGGGCCTGAAAGCCAGGTTACCATGGCAACTATGGACCAGGCTTCAAGGAAGTCTGTGACTGTAGCTGAGCCCAAGTAGGAGGAAAGGAACCAGGCTTCAAGGGAGCCTGTGACTCCAGCCGAGTCTCATTAGGAGGAAAGAAAACAGGACTCAAGAGAGCCTGCAACTCTAGCCCTGTCTGATTAGGAGGAAAGGAAACTGGCTTCAAGGGAGCCTGTGACTCTAGACTAGTCTGATTAGAAGGAAAGGAACCAGGCCTCAAGGGAGCCTGTGACTCTTGTTGAGTCTGAGTAGCAGGAAACGAACCACGCCTTGAAGGAGCCTGTGACTCTAAACAAGTCTGATTAGGAGGAAAGCAACCAGGATTCAAAGCAGCCTGTGACTCTACCTGAGTCTGATTATGAGGAAAAGAACCTGGCTTCAAGGGAGCCTGTGACTCTAACTGAGTCTCAGTAGTAGGAAAGGAACAGTGCCTCAAGGGAGCCTGTGACTCTAACCGAGTCTCATTAGGAGGAAAGGAACCAGGCCTCAAGAGAGCCTGTGACTTTAACAGAGCCTGTGATTCTAACCGAGTCTGAGTAGAAGGAAAGGAACCAGGCCTCAAGGGAGCCTGTGACTCTAACCCAGTCTGATTAGGAGAAAAGGAACCAGGCCTCAAGGGATCCTGTGACTCTAATGGAGACTGATTAGGAGGAAAGGAACCAGGACTCAAGGGAACCTGTGTCTCTGAGTCTGAGTAGGAGGAAAGGAACAGCACCTCAAGGGAGCATGTGACTCTAACTGAGTCTGATTAGGAGGAATCAGGCCTCAAGGGAGCCTGTGACTTTAATGGAGCCTGTGACTCTGAGTCTGACTAGGAGGAAAGGAACCAGGACTCAAGGGAGCCTGTGGCTCTAGCCGAGTCTGTGTAGGAGGAAAGGAACCAGGCCTCAAGGGAGCCTGTGACTCTAACCGAATTTGAATAGTAGGAAAGGAACCACGCCTCAAGGGAGCATGTGACTCTAACTGAGTCTGAATAGGAGGAAAGCAGCCAGGCTTCAAGGGAGCCTGTGACTCTACCCACGTCTGATTAGGAGAAAGAGAACCTGGCTTCAAGGGAGCCTGTGATTCTAGCCAAGTCTGATTAGGAGGAAAGGAACCAGGCTTCAAGGCAGCCTGTGACTCTTGCCGAGTCTGAGTAGGAGGAAAAGAACCAGGTCTCAAGGGAGCCTATGACTCTAAGCGAGTCTGATTAGGAGTAAAGGAACCAGGCCTGAAGGGAGCCTGTGGTTCTACCGGAGTCTGATTGGGGGGAAAAGACCAGGCATGAGAAAACCAGGCTGTGGAGGGATATCGTTGCGGGCCTCATTACCTGGCCGAGAATTGAAAGCCTCCTCTCCGGGCTGTTCAGGTATCAGAGCCTCTGTACCGGGCTGCATGGAAACAATTTATAGCCTCGTTTTCAGGCTGCCTGATCTCATCCTCTGTCTGCAGGGTGGCAGCGTTGACAGGGTGAGGAGAAGCAGGGGGGTGCGTCCACAATGGTTGTTGGCATGTTTCAGCTGAGTTTTGCTGGTTGGGGGAAATAAGTTCATTCGGGTCAGTTAAAAGATCATCATAAAGCGACAACGGGGGTGCGGTAGCCTCTTGCATACGTGGTGGCGGCACAGGCATGTCAGAGTGGAATTCCGCCTGTGAAATTATGGTCTCAATTTGTGCAGTATCCTCAGGGGAAAGAGAAGTGAGAAATTCCTCGCCCTCCTCAGGGAGAGGAAAGAGGGATCAGTCTCCATGCTGTCCTGAGTCTGTAAGGAGTCTAGGACAGAGCGAACCGAAGCCCAGATTGACCAAATGGTGGGTGGAATAAAATGTCCCCCTTTATGAGCAATTTTGAATTGTTGGCCGATCTCATCCCAATCTTTAAGTTCTCAAGTTCCCTCAGTCGGAAACCAAGGGCAAAGAAGATTTACAACCGCAAATAGTTCAATTAACTTTTCAGTAGAAACTTAAACCCCTCCTTCTTTAAGAAGAGTTTTTATAAAATTTAAATAAGCTGAGTACTTAGTACTGGCTTGTACCATGGTGTCCCCAGAATACTCTGAGTGCTCAAGCTTACCACCAAGCTTACTAACAGCAATCCTCAGGAATCTCTTGTCAAAATCCTCCGCTGAATCCCGCACTCAGAGTGCAACCTCACACAGCGAGGGAGAGCCCCACATCAGAGCGCCAGATGTAGGGTCCAGCCCCACAGGGTCAGTGGGTTTTCTCCCCATGTGCAGAGATGAGAGATTGTAGAAATAAAGACACAAGACAAAGAGATAAAAGAAAAGACACCTGGGCCTGGGGGACCACTACCACCAAGACGCGGAGACCAGTAGTGGCCCCAAATGCCAGGCTGCACTGATATTTATTGGATATAAGACAAAGGGGCAGGGTAAGGAATGTGAACCATCTCCAATAATAGGTAAGGTCACATGGGTCATGTGTCCACTGGACAGGGGGCCCTTCCCTGCCTGGCAGCAGAGGCAGAGAGAGAGAGAAGAGAGAGAGACAGCTTATGCCATTATTTCTGCATATCAGACATTTAGTACTTTCACTAATTTGCTCCTGCTATCTAAAAGGCAGAGCCAGGTATACAGGATGGAACATGAAAGCGGACTAGGAGCGTGACCACTGAAGCACAGCATCACAGGGAGACAGGCCTCTGGATAACTGCGGGCGGGCCTGACTGATGTCAGGCCCTCCACAAGAGGTGGAGGAGTAGTCTTCTCTAAACTCCCCCGGGGAAAGGGAGGCTCCTTTTCCCAGTCTGCTAAGTAGTGGGTGTTTTTCCTTGACACTGATGCTACTGCTAGACCATGGTCCACTTTGCAACAGGCATCTTCCCAGACACTGGTGTTACTGCTAGACCAAGCCCTCTGGTGGCCCTGTCCGGGCATAAGAGAAGGCTCACACTCTTGTCTTCTGGCCACTTCGCACTATGTCCCCTCGGCTCCTATCTCTGTATGGCCTGGTTTTTCCTAGGTTATGATTGTAGAGTGAGGATTATTATAATATTGGAATAAAGAGTAATTGCTATAAACTAATGATTAATGATACTCACATATAATCATGTCTATGATCTAGATCTAGTATAACTCTTCTTATTTTATATATTTTATTATACTGGAACAGCTCGTGCCCTCAGTCTCTTTCCTCGGCACCTGGGTGGCTTGCCACCCACATAGGCAGTCATGCCATTCACTGAAAAGCAGAAGCCAAAGGAAAACCGGAGCCTAATCAAGTGTTTTAAACACATCAGGTTTGAAATGCCTATGAAGCACCCAAGTGGAAATGCTGAGTAGGCAGCTGGGCTCCAGGTATCAATCTAGTCTGGGAACTGAGTTTGGAAGATACCAGCAAACATCAAGCCACCAATGAGGATTAGGTCACCTGGAGATTCCCAATTCCATGGAACAGAGGGCCTGAGACTGAATGGCCAACATTTAGACAAGAAGTCTGCCAAGGCTCAATCCAGGTCTCAGGCCAGAACTGTTAGCGCAAGAAGCTCCTTGCTCCTAAGAACAGAGCCTGGCCTGGTAGGTGCCATGCTGGTTCCCTGAGGATGATACCTGCTCAGGAATGAAGGCAACATGCACAAAGGTACCAGGTGAGGGACTGGACCCAGGGATACCACACCCCTGCATCTTCTGTACTTCCTCTAACATAGGTGGTCAGCATACTCTTTCACTCCTTATCCAATTTTATCAAAAATAGAGATTAGGGCAATATGACATAACAGCATTAAGCACTAAACCATTTGACAGGGATTCCTTTCAAAAGTGAAAACCAGTGTACGATTATACAGCTTCTCCACTAATCTTTGTTACCAACAGCCACTTAATCTAATCCTAAAGACTGAGTACAATATTCCTTCTACAATACTTTGAACACTCACTTCAATTTATTGCATATTTTCTAAATGCACCTCTCTCTCTCTTCTGAAAGAGAGAACATTTCATCAGAAAACGAACGGGGTCTTTTGCCTATCTGATGGTCTCACACCTTCACAACAGCTACAAATCCTTGGACCAGCCAGGGACAGACCAACTCCAGGGTTCTCTGACAACAGAAGTCCTGGAAAGGCTCTGCACTCAAAACAAACCCCTACACCACCCCAAGGGAGGGGGATTGTTTCAGGTTCGGGGAGACGCTAAAAGAAATTGAACCTAAACTCTTCATCAGGCATGTCCAGAGTGGCTTTGGCTCTCCATATAGAGCGAGGCCTGCAGACCCTTTGGCTCTTCTTTCTGGTGGCTCCATCTACAGGTTGCACCTGGGCTGAATAAGCAGCTGTCGGGGAGAGAAGCAGCGTATGTCAGAACTGAATAATAACAATTAACATTACCTGTACAGTTATGTTTGCCCATACAATTCTAACCACCTTGCATAAATTAACTGATTAATTCCTCAAATTTGTAAGGTTGATATTACTATCATCCCCCACTTAGAGAGGTTCAGTAGTTTGCAAAAGGTGTTAGTACTACTATGTGGTAGATCCAGGATTTGAACCTAGCTGATCTGGCCCCAGGAATTGCACTCAAACTGTTATGGGATATGGCTTCATTGCTAGTAGAGAAAGCCAAGACACAAAGACATGAGGCAGCTTTCCCCAACCCAGGAGCAGGACCAACATAGGACCATGCTCTTTCCCACTCCTCCCAGGGCCTCCCCGCTGCTTCCCAGGTTCAGTCCTAGGAAGAGGAAAGAGAGGTCCACGCTTTCTGTTTCCCTGCTCCCTCAGGCTTCCCTGAGCCCATCTCCTTCCCCCACCAGGCTTGTTGCTCTGGGCCTTCTTCCTTTCACCCCCTAGACACTTCCTCCTTAAGTTAGGCCTTCCTGAATCAACCAGTGGCTAGCTCCTCACCAGCTCTGAGAGCCCGCAGGGCCTCACGCCATTCGGCTTCCATCTGAGCCCTATAGTCTCCAAACAAGGAGTGCATCAGCTGCCTCTTCCGGGGCAAGGGCGTTCTTTTGCTGCGCAGGGTTCGGATTGCTCCAATAGCCTGCTCTTCTGCGAATAAAAATAAAGGACTAGTGAACACCTCTATTACTGACCTCCTACCACCCCGCCGCAAAGCCAACAACTCCATACTCTGCCAGCACCTGCAGGCCAGGCAGTGCCACTGTTCACATCCCCCAGCTCTACAGAAGGGTCCCTTACTCTGTTTCGGGGTGGGTTTCTGCCTCTTGAGGCCCAGCTCCAGTTGCTCCACACACCAAGCCAATTCCTGGGCCAACTGTTGTGCCTGTGATGGATTTGGGGAAGTGGCTGTGAGAGGGCACTGGAAAACCATAGCCGCCGGCCCCATCCCATGCCCCTCCCCGCCTTAACTCCGCGGACCCCAGATCACACGTGCCCGTGGATTCGCACCCGTGGATTCCACCCTTCCCGACCGAAGCCCGCCCTTGCCTGGGCCTCAGCGCTTAGGGGAACTTCTTCTGGGGCGAGTTTCTCTGAGGCCTTCTCGCCTCCATTTGCCACAGAGGCCCTGTTCCGCGTTTTCTTCTTATTCTTTTGTTTTTTCGACGCTGTGCCGCCTTCATCGCCCAACGGGTGCGCTCTGGAGTCAGCGTTACTGCACGTAGGTTGCTCTGGGCAGAGACAGACAGTGGAAGGATTCCGGGCGCTGGAAACTGGGCCGGGAAGCCGGGCTCCGCGGGACGCGCAGGGAGTACCCGGGCCTGGGGCCGCCGCTGCCTCCCCAGCAAGATGTCCCAGGGCCTGGAGAAAGGGGGGTAGCACGAGGGTCACCGAGAGCCGCCAACAATGCAAGGCCCAGCCACCCGCGCGTCTTCTCCACACCGCTCACCGCCATGCGCCGCAGTCGCCACCGGAACTACGCGGGGCGCAGAGTCCGACGCCGAATTCCGTCCTTCAAGAACGCGCCTGCGACTCTAGGTTCCGCGGGGCGCGGGCG
This sequence comes from Homo sapiens, assembly GCF_000001405.40. Taxonomy (NCBI): domain Eukaryota; kingdom Metazoa; phylum Chordata; class Mammalia; order Primates; family Hominidae; genus Homo; species Homo sapiens. Next base: position 145,052,389 of record NC_000008.11, on the reverse strand, counting down.
GGGCGCGGGCGGGGCGCGGGCGGGGCGCGGGCGGGGCGCGGGCGGGGCGCGGGCGGGGCGCGGGCGGGGCGCGGGCGGGGCGCGGGCGGGGCGCGGGCGGGGCGGGGCGCGGGCGGGGCGCGGGCGGGGCGGGGAGCGGGCGGGGCGGGGCGCGGCTGGGGTGGGATGAAGCTGGGACGGGGCGAAGCTGGGACGCGCCTGGGACGAAGCTGAGATGGGGCTGGGGCGGGGCCTGGGGGTTCGGGGAAGAGGCTGAAGAGGGGTCTCGGAAGAACCCTTGTGAGCGAGTGATCGCGGGCGCTGACTACGTGCCCGGCACCTTTCCGGATAAAAGTTCAAAGCTCTCCACGAGGGTGTGTCTTCTCAAGGCTCACCTTTTGGTGGGGAGGGAAAAGCAAGTAAACAGCACGTGAGCAGCTACGGCGCAAGAGGGTGGTCGGCAAAGACCCTGGGAAATGGGGAAGAGCGAGGGTCAGGGCGCGGTCGTTTGAGAGGCCGGCGTCTCGGGACGTGGAGGCTCGGGTGAGGTCTGAGAGTTGGGAGGGCCCCCGTCATGGGCTTACTTCCGTTCTAACGCAGTGGGAAGTCGCTGCAAGATGTAAATCTGAAGAGTGGCATAATCGTAGACGTATGTTCTGCAGATCTCTCTGCTCTTGTGTAACGAGTGGGGCACATGGGGTGGAGGGACGTGGAGGGGTTTCAGAAGCAGACGCGGGAAGAGCCTTGGACAGGATATGGACGTGAGGGAGGGTGGCGGTATGGGGGAGAGGGAGAGCCCCATCCCACCACCTCTCTTCCCCTGGATGCTTCCCTCCCACTATACCTTGCTAGAGACCTGGGGTCACACACAACACTCGACCCCCGCCGATGGAGGCATGACAACCGAGAGGAATTGCGTAGGGGTTGAGGTGAGGCTGAGTAGGGTTTCAGGGGGGCAACGGGCTATGCCAGGAGGGTGGGTTGTGTTGCTTGAGAAGGTAAGAGTCCGAGATGTCTGATGATTCCTTTCGGGGACACAGGAGTGGAAAGCGGTGTTTCCTGAGACGGTGGGGTGGGAAGTGTTAGCTGCCTGGTCTGCAAGGTCTCGAAGGGTTACAGTTTGGTCATCACTGATAGTTATTTACTGCAGTGTGATACATTACTCCCAAAATTCGGCGGATTGGCCGGGCGCGGTGACTCACGCCTGTAATCCCAACACTTTGGGAGGCCGATGCGGGCGGATCACGAGGTTAGGAGTTTGAGACCATCCTGGCTAACATAGTGAAACCCCGTCTCTACTAAAAAATACCAAAAAATTAGCCGGGCATAGTGGCGGGCACTTGTAGTCCCAGCTACTCGGGAGGCTGAGGCAGGAGAATGGCATGAACCCGGGAGGTGGAGCTTGCAGTGAGCCAAGATCGCACCGCTGCACTACAGCCTGGGTGACAGAGCGAGACTCCATCTAAAAAAAAAAAAAAAAAAAAAACACGCAGAATTTAAACGGGACACGCAGTAAAGGAGATGCGGCATACAGTAATTTATTACAAAGGAGAAAGAATATTTGGAAAGTTAAGTGAACAATAGACAGTACACCCTGAGAGAGAGAGAGAGGATTGAGGGCCAGCTGCTCATAAGGTTGGGGCAGCAAAGACGCATGAGGGAGACTCCCTTTATGGGGGTCTTACATGATTATTCATAAGGAATTGGGAAGAGGTGCTACTAGTGAGTATGTTCTGGATGGTCCTCTGAGTGCACATGTGCGGTAGCTGTATGTTCTTACATGCTTGTTCATACAATGCTTCTTGTCATACAATGCTTGTTCTACATGCTGGTATATGATTGTTCGTACATGTCACATGTCTTATTAGCATCTTAAACCTCCAACCAGGGCTCTGTTTTTTACTATTATAATGAGCGAAAGGTCAGTCTGAGGACAGGTAAAATCAAAATGTACATGCTCTTTGCAGGGGAAATTCTCTACTGAAGATAGTTTTGCTTGAAAGAGCTTAACCACAATGTGAAGGCAGAGGCTTATTGTGCTGATTGCACAGTCACAACAGTTGCTGCATCCCGAGGACATGGTTACTTCCTTGACTACCTATCCTGCCTCACTTTCAATGCTCTGATTTTATCCATTACCTTCCTGACTCATATGCTATTTTTGTCTTGACTTCATTTCTATCTTTGTTTTTAAATCTGCCATATTAGACTTAATTCTATTTACAGTCAGTGTTTTCAAATATACAACTTTTGTTTTTCTTAGAGTCCATGTCTCACTCTGTCACCTAGGTTGTCCTGGGCTCAACTGATCCTCCCTCCTGCCTCAGCCTCCCAAGTAGCTGGGACCACAGGCATGCACCATCATACCAGCTAATTTTGTAATTTTTTGTAGAGATGGGGTCTCACCAGGATGCCCAGGCTGGTCTTGAACTCCTGGGCTCAAGCAATCTTCCCACCTCAGCCTCCCATGCCTGGCATCATTCCTTATATCTCAGTTCTGATATCATTTCTTTAAATGTACATCCTTTTAAAGCTCCTTTAATGAAATCTGTTATGGTGTTTTGGGTTTTGCTCATCTGAAAATGCCTATTTTTATTCTAATTCCTGGAGGATAGTTTGGATAGAAACACAATTTGAGGTTAACAGTTATTGTCTCTCAGAATTTTGAAAATGAGCCATCTCTGTAGACCTCTCCCACCTCTGGGACCCCACTCAACCCTGTATTCTTACCTCTATTACTGTACTGATGTGGTTATCTGTCTCTACATACCTTTGTATCCCAACTAGACTGAGAGATATGAGGAAAAGAGGCCAAGTGTTTCTGCATCTCTGATTTGCCATTGTCAGGCACACTACCAGGCACATAGGGGCTGCACAGTAATTGTAGGTTGATGTAATCATGAATAACCTTGGATTTGAACTGTTGCCTTTCCAGTGCTATATTTTCTATGGTTCCTCTTGTGGCAGGAAACATGAGTCTTCAGAAAAGATTTTTCCATAGTTAGCAAATCACACCAAAATATTTATTAAGGGGCTGAATGAATAAGGCAATGGGATGGGTACGGTGAAAGAACAAGAGAAGTACCCTGACCTTGAAGGACACAGTTTAAGAAAACAGATATCCAGGCTGGGCACAGTGGCTCCGCATATAATCCCAGCACTTTGAGAGGCCAAGGCAGGCAGATTGCCTGAGCCCAGGAGTTTGAGACCAGCCTGGGCAACATGGTCTCTACAAAAAATTTAAAAAATTAGCCGGTTGTGGTCCCAGCTACTTGGGAGGCTGAGGCAGGAGGATTGCTTTGGGCAGCGGTGGGAAGGGGGATGGTGCAGGGGCGGATGTTGCAGTGAGCCAAAATTCTACGACCACCCTCCAGCCTGGGTGACAGAGAAAGACCTAGTCTCAAAAAAAAAAAAGAAAAAAGAAAGAAAGAAAACATATATCTAAATATGTTTATATATACTGTGTCTCCATTAACATAATTACAAGTTTGGATCACATTTTACTTTTATTTTTTTCTCATTTTTTTCTATGATAAAGCCTGATTTTTTAAACTTAAAATTAGCCTGAAGACTTTGTCACAGTATTTATGTTCATAAAGTTTATTGATAGAGTGGATTTTCTGCTACTGAACAGGCTCTAAACTATTAAAGACTACATACCCTGATACTTAATAAGTTTTGACACATAATATAAGGTTTTTGCACATGCATGAGATTCATAGGCTTTGTCTCTTCTTTGATTCTTTTTGATCCAGAAAGTGGTATGAATTCTGTATGGTCTTCCCATATTCACTGTACCCATAGGGTTTCTCTTTACCTGGAACTGCCTTAGGTTCTGCAGGGGCTATGAATCTACAAAAAAACTTTCCTACATTTACTGTAGTTATCAGATTTCATTCCAATGTGAATCTGCTGATGTATAACAAGGGTTGGATTCTGACCAAACACCTTCCCACATTCATTACACTCCTGTAATTTCTCTCTGTGATGAATATCCTGATGTCAAATAAGGTACAAATTTGGATGGGAATTTTTGCCAAATTCCTTGCATTCATATGGCTTATTTCCTGTGTGGATCCTATGATGTGAAATAAGGTGTGACCTGTAACTAAAGGCTCTTCCACATTCATTTACATTCATATGGTTTCTCTCAGCATGAACTCTGACAGAATAAGATTTAAACTCTGGATGAAAGTTTTCCCACATTCATTACATCCATTAGGTTTCACTCCAGTGTTAATTATCTGATTTTTAGCAAGTGCTGAGCTCCAATTGAAGGCTTTCCACATTGATTGCATTCACGGGCCTTTTCTCTACTGTGAATTATCTGCTGCTGAATAAGGTGTGATTTTGAATGGAAAGCTCTTCCACAGTAATTACATACTTATGACTTCTTTCCACTGAATTTTTTGATGCTGAATTAGGTGTGAGCTCTGTGCAAAGGTTTTCTCATACTTTCTGTATTCATGAGATATTAAATCTTTGGTACTTAATACATTTCTGGATAAAAGCTTTCCCACATTCATAATATTCATAAGGTTTCTCTCCAGTAAGAACTTTTATTTATTTATTTTTTGACACAGTATTACTCTGTAGCACAGGATGGAGTGCAGTGGCACAATCTCAGCTCACTGCAGCCTCCTCCCTCTGAGGTCAAGTGATTCTGCTGCCTCAGCCTCCTGAGTAGCTGGGATTACAGGCACCCACCACCAACCCTGGCCGATTTTTGTATTTTTAGTAGAGACAGAGTTTCACCATGCTGGCCAGGCTGGTCTCAAACTCCTGCCCTCAGATGTTCCACCCACCTTGGCCTCCCAAAGTGCTGGAATTACAGGCATGAGCCACCACGCCCGACCCTAGAACTTTTTAATGGTGAATTACAACTGAGCTCTAGCTGAAGGCTTTCTCTCGTTCATTACATTGACAGAGTTTCTTATCAGATAAATACTCTGATGTTCAATAAGGAGTAATTTCTGCATAACAGCTTTTCCACATACATTCACAGGGTTTCTCTCTCATGAGGCTTTTCTGATGTCTCGTTAAGTCTGAATTTAATTTGAAATTTTGGTCACACACCTGTCATTTCTGACACCTCTTCTGTAGGAACACTAGTATATATAATAGCATTTGAGCACAGACTCATGCAGCTCCTGTATTTGTTACATTTAAGACCTCTCTCCATTGCATGAGTGTTTGGATGGATCAGTATCACTGCCTGGAAATCTCTCTCTTGTAAAGAAAGGAAAATATTTGATCTGTCATCTGCAAGATGTTTGTAATGATTTTCTCAGTCTCTCTAATTTCTTTTTTTTTTTTTTTTGAGATAGAGTCTTGCTCTGTTGCCCAGGCTAGAGTGCTGTGGGGCAATCTTGGCTCACTGCACCCTCCACCTCCTGGGTCCAAGCAATTCTCCTGCCTCAGCCTCCTGAGTAGCTGGAATTACAGGCGCCTGCCACTGTGCCCAGCTACTTTTTGCATTTTTAGTAGAGACAGGGTTTCACCATATTGTCCAGGCTGGTCTCGAACTCCTGACCTCATGATCCACCTGCCTCAGCCTCCCAAAGTGCTGGGATTACAGGCGTGAGCCACCACACCTGGCCCCCAGTCTCCCTAATTTTTATAAGTTTCTTCAAGCTTGGCTTCCTGCAGAATGTTACATATAAATCTTTCCAATATCCACCTCCCACCTCAAGTGGCTCTCTTTCTTTTTTTTTTTTTTTTTTTTTTTTTTTTTTGAGATGGAGTCTTGCTCTGTCACCCAGACTGGAGTGCAGTGGTGCGATTTTGGCTCACTGCAAGCTCCGCCTCCTGAGTTCATGCCATTCTCCTGCCTCAGCCTCCCCAGCAGCTGGGACTACAGGCGCACACTGCCACGCCTGGCTACTTTTTTTGTATTTTTAGTAGAGACAGGGTTTCACCGTGTTAGCCAGGATGGTCTCGATCTCCTGACCTCATGATCAGCCTGCCTCGGCCTCCCAAAGTGCTGGGATTACAAGTGTAAGCCACAGTGTTGGGCCTCAAGTGGCTCTATTTATTTAAAAACTTCCATGTTTGTAGTTAGCTGGGTCTCAGAATCTGAAACAATCAAGAAAAAAGCATAGAAAACCATAACTAGCCAGGCGTGGTGGCTCACACGTGTAATCTCAGCACTTTGGGAGGCCGAGGCAGGTGGATCACCTGAGGTCAGGAGATCGAGACCAGCCTGGCCAACATGGTGAAACTCTGTCTCTACAAAAAATACAAAATTAGCCAGGTGTGGTGGCACATGCCTGTAATCCCCACCACTTGGGAGGCTGAGGCAGGAGAATCACTTGAGCCCGGGAGGTGGAGGTTGCAGTAAGCTGAGATTGCACCATTGTACTCCAGCCTGGGCAACAAGAGCAAAACTCCATCTCCAAAAAGAAGAAAAGAAAACCATAACTAAGAAAGTAATCAAATGAAATATGTAATACATGTAGTTATGTGGCAAACAGATTCAGGAGTATCTAAAAGCAGCCTTCCAAACACCAAGAGGTCAATAACAGTCCATGATCACCCCCAGGCAATACAGACACTTGGGGATTCTGGATTTCTTTTCATGTCTCTTAAATAGTGGTCCCTGGTACAGCTAGGTAGTAGATGAAGGCAGTTTAACTAAGCTCCATTCAGGGCCCAGTGTTTGTAGATGGTCAATGATGACACTTCATCAGGGTTATGGATGCTGTGTCTCAGCCCCATGGGACTGCTTAGGGAAAGAACACACAGGAGGAAGCTAAGGCACAGAACTGACCCCGTCACTGAGCCTAGTGCCTGCTGAGTGCTCACGCACACTGACAGTAAAAATGCCAGTATGGCCCAGTTTTAACGGAACCCACACACTTTCATGAGCTTTACCTCCTGAAGCCATAACAGGTTCTCACAGTGAAGATCTAAGAAAAAAAATCCCTTCATGCTTCCAGCAGTGGGAGGGGGAAATTAGCCATTCTGAAATATGCCCAGAGCGTATGGTTCTTCATAAAGCCCAACCTCAGGAGAAACTATTTTACCAGAGCCTAACCTGCTGAGGTTTTACCAGAGACAAACTGACCTGGGGAAAGGGAAATACCCAACTCCAACCTGCTCTAGCCTTTCTGTCTCATCTAAGGGGGATAAACCAATACAAAACTCAGAAGCACTTGTGAGGGTCACAATTTCACTGAAAGACTGAGACATACTCATAAGATTATGTGATGTTTCCCCTCCCTTCATATCTTACCCCAGCACTAGAGATCCTGAATAGTTAGGGGAGAATATAACTGAAAGAACTGTGTGTCTCAAACTTCAAGAAGTCTCTAGGATAACCCAAAGGCAACAAGGGAGACCAAAACAAGGACGCTGGAGACATTTTAGCCTCTGATACTGACAGCTGCAGCAAACAGAAAACGCAGCCTAACCGCGGGCCAGATAAAAACCTCACACTAAAGGCCTAACTATCAGTTCCTTTTAACCAGTGCATCGTATCTCACTTTCAATAAAATGTTACCACACGTTCTAGACACACAAAAAATATAGAATTTGAAAAGAAAAAGCAAGCATAAGAACCAAACTGAGCTTATGGCAGAGATGTTGGAAATATCAGACCTTGAATTTTTAAGACTATGATTAATATGCAAAGGGTTTTAATGGAAAGTGAGAACAATATGCAAGAACAGATAGGTAATATAAGCAGAGAAATGGAAACACTAAGAAAGAATCAAAAGAAAATGCTAGAAATCAAAAACATCATGACAGAAATAAAGACTGCCACCTGTAATCCCAGCACTTTGGGAAACCAAGGTGGGTGGATCACTTGAGGTCAGGAGTTTGAGACCAGTCTGGCCAAAATGGTGAAACACCATCTCTACTAAAAATTCAAAAATTAGCCGGGCATGGTGGCACACACCTGTAGTCCCAGCTACTCGGGAGTCTGAGGTAGGAGAATCATTTGAACCCAGGAGGCAGAGGTTACAGTGAGCCAGCCTGGGCAACAGAACAAGACTCCATCTCAAAACAACAACAACAAAAGGACTGGACACAACTGAAGAAAGAATCAATGATCCTGAAGACATGTCAGTAGAAACTTTCAAAATAGAAATGCTAAGAGAAAAAAAGAATAAAAAGGATGAAACAGAACATCCAAGAACTGTGGGACAACTGCAAAAGGTGTAACATATGCATATTGGGAATACCAGAAGAAGAATGAAGGAAAGGAACAGAAGAAATATTTGAGCCAATTGTAATAAAATTTTGCAAAATTAATAACATGCACCAAACCACAGTTCCAGAAAGTACAGACAACACCAGCAAGATAAATACCAAAATTCTATACACAAACATACCATATTCAAACTGCAGAAAATGAAGAACAAAAAAAATCTTCAAAGAAGCCGGAGGGCCAGACACGGTTGCTCATGCCCGCAATCCCAGTGCTTTGGGATGCCAAGGCGGGTGGATCACCTGAGGTCAGGAGTTCCAGACCAGCCTGACCAACATGGTGAAAACCCGTCTCTACTAAAAATACAAAAATTAGCCGGGTGTCGTGATGCATGCCTGTATTCCCAGCTACTTGGGAGGCCTGAGGCAGGAGAATTGCTTGAGCCTGGGAGGCAGAGGTTGCAGTGACCCGAGACTGCACCATTGCACTCCAGCCTGGCCAACAAGAGAAAAACTCCATTCAAAAAAAAAGGCAAGAAAGAAAAAAACTAAGCAAGGGTAAGCATTATATCAGTTTTATCTTCCAAAAAATGTTAAAAGTAACACCAGCCCCGATTCTGTATAAAGTGGCATTATCTTTCAAAAATGAAGGAGAAATAAAAACTCTCTCAGACAAAAATTGAGGGAATTTATTGCCCGTAGATCTAACCTTGCAAGAACTATTAAAATAACTTCTTCAGAGAGGGGGAAATGATAAATCAGAAACTAGTATCTACATAAAGAAAGGAAGAGCATTAGAGGCAAAATCAATAAAGGTAAATAAAATATTTTAGTTTTCTTATTCTCAATTATCTAATGGATAACAGTTTGTTTGAATTAATAATAGCAATGTATTTGGTGATTGTAGTGAAATGAATGATAGCAAAGTGGAGTTTTTTGTTTGTTGTTTGAGACAGAGTCCCACTCTGTTGCCCAGGCTGGAGAGCAGTGGCACGATCATGACTCACTGCAATCTCCACCTCCCAGGCTCAAGTGATCCTCCTGCCTCAGCCTCCTGAGTAGCTGGGACTACAGGCATGTGCCAATATACTTGGCTAATTTTGTTGCCCAGGCTGCTCTGGAACTCCTGGGCTCAAGCAACTGCCTGGACCTCCCAAAGTGTTGGGATTACAGACGTGAGCCACTGCACCTAGCTGATAGCAATGTTATAAGGGATGAGAGAAAAGAATTGGGAATACTCTGTTATAAGGTAATTGTACTATCTGGGAAGTAGTATAGCACTATTTGAAAAAAGACTCAGATTAGTTGTAAATGTACACTGCAAACTCAAGGGCTACTAATAATACAAAATAAGTAAAAAAATGTATACTTAATGTGATGAAAGGAAAAAACTAGAATCATACAAAATGCTCAATTAAAACCAAAGAAGGCCCAGGCACAGTGGCTCATGTCAATAATCTGAGCACTTTGGGAGGCTGAGGTGGGAGGGTTTTTTGAGCCCAGGGGTTCTAGACCAGCCTGGGAAATATAGCAAGACCCCATCCCTATAAAACATTTTAAAATTCTCTAAAGTGAAGGATAAAAAAAGAAAATAAATAAATTGTCTGGCCATGATGATGAACACTTGTAGTCCCACCTCCTTGGGAGGCTGAGTGGGGAGGATCACTTGAGCCCAGGAGTTCAAGGCTGCAGTGAGCTATGATCCTACCACTGCACTCCAGCCTGGGTCAAAGAGCAAGACCCTGTCTCTTAAAAAACAAAACAAACAAACAAACAAAAAAGAAGGCAGAAAAAGAATTGAAGACAAAAAACACACAAAGAACAATGGCAAATTATTAGAAAGCAGTAATAACTATGTTAGATATTGATCCAACTATATCAATAATCACTTTAAGGATCAATTGTCTAAATACACAAATTCAAAGACAAAGACTGTTAGAGTGGAGAAAAAACCAGACCCAGACATATGTTGTCTATAAGAAGCCAATCTTAAATATAAAGGTACAAATAGATTCAAAGGACAGAGAAAGATAAACCATGCTAACATGAACCAGAAGAAAGGCAGAGTAGCTATATTTTGGACAGGCCAGGTGTGGTGGCTTATGCCTGTTATCCTAGAATGTTAGGAGGCTGAGGCAGAGGGATCACTTGAGGCCAGGAGTTTAAGACCAGCCTGGGCAACATAATCTCTATAAATTTTTAAAATAATTATCCAGGCAGGATAATGTACTCTTATAGTCCATTGTTACCAAAACACGAGGGGTTCTGTCTAGGTCCTGCTGCTTGTCTCACAGAAAACCAATCACTCAGATAACTAGTATCGCCAGAAAAGAAGGCTTTATTCAGGTACTGTAGCTGAGGAGAATGGGAGATTAGTCTCAAATCTGTCTCCTCAATTGGCTAAATTTAGGGGTTTATATTGCAGGGAAGAAATGTAACTACATGTGAGAAAACAGGAATTAGGGAGCAGTAAGGAAGAGGATTTGGTCAACAGAAAGGAGATGGTTGGTTAGGCAATCCTGGTGGATGTTGGGGTCTGGCATCTCATTGTCTGGATGCAGTGATCTGGTAAGATTCAGTTCCTTGATACTATCTGGGAGGCCCAAGGGTCAGTTTCCTGAGGAAGGAACTCAGATAAGACAAACACAAGTTTCAAACTTTAAGACTGGGAGGATCAATTTCTTTTCTTCTTCTTCTTCTTCCTTTTTTTTTTTTTTTTTTTTTTTAGACAAAATCTTGCTGTTTTGCCAAGGCTGGAGTGCAGAGGCATGATCTCAGCTCACTGCAACTTGTGCCTCCTGGGTTCAAGCAATTGTTGTGTCTCAGTCTCCTGAGTAGCTGAGATTACAGGCATGCGCCACCATGCCTGGCTAATTTTTATTTTTAGTAGAGACAGGGTTTTGTCATTTTGGCCAGGCTGGTCTCCAACTCCTGGCCTCGAGTGATCCACCCACCTCAGCCTCCAAAAGTGCTGGGATGCAGATGTGAGCCACTGCACCCGACCTGGGAGGGTCAATTTCTTTGTTTATCCAAAAAAAAGTAAACATCAGTTCTATGGACAGTTGGGTCAATTTTACTATGATTGCCACTGCACTCCAGCCTGGGTGACAGAGCAAGGCTCTGTCTAAAAAAAAAATCCTCATAATAATTTCAGACGAAACTGACTTCATAGAAAGAAAAAAAATTATCAGGGATAAAGAAGGGAGTTACATGATCATAAAGGGATCAGTTTTCCAACAGGACATAGAAATCCTTAAGCTGTTTGCACCTAACAACAGAGGGTCAAAAAATGTGAAGGAAAAACTGATAGAACTTCAAGGAGAAATAAATGAGTCCACTATTATAGCTGGAGAATTCAACACCCTCTATCAGTAAATGACAGATTCAGCAGGCAGAAAAACAGTAAGAACATGGTTAAACTGAACAGAACCATCAATCAATTAGCTCTAACCAGCAGCTATAGAATACTTTATCCAATAATAGCACAATATACATTATTCTCAAACACACAGAACAATCACCAAGAGAGACCACATTCTGAGCCATAAAACACACCTTTATCAATTTAAAAGAATAGGGCCAGGCATGGTGGCTCACACCTGTAATCTCAGCAGTTTAGGAGGCCAAGGCAGGCAGATTGCTTGAGCCCAGGAATTCAAGACCAGCATGGGCAACATGGTGAAACCCAATCTCTACAAAAAATACAAAAATTAGCCAGGTGTGGTGGCATATGCCTTTAGTTCCAGTTACTCAGGAGACTGAGATGGGAGGATCACTTGAACGCAGGAGGCAGAGGTTTTAGTGAGCTGTGGTCACACCACTAGAGTCCAGCCTGGGGGACAGAGTGAGACCCTGCCTGAAAAAAATACATAAAGTATATGATCATACAATCTGTGGTCTCAGATGGCAAAGAAGTTAACCTGGAAATCAATGGCAGAAAGATCACTGGAAAACTCCAAAATACTTGGAGATTAAACAACACACTTCTGAATAACAGCTGGGTCAAAGAAGAATTCTCAAGTTAAATTTAGAAATATTTCAAACTAAATGAAAATGAAAATACAACTTATTTATCTCACAAAGTTGTGAGATGTGAAAGCAGTACTTAGAGATAAATTTATAGCATGGAATTCTCATATTAGAAGAAAGATACAATCAATAATGTAAGCTTCCACCTTATGAAACTAGGGAAAAAAGAATAAATCAAATCAAAGTAAGCAGAATAAATTGTTTCACCACTCACTGGGTGACCAGGTTGTGCAGCCAAGTTTATAAGATAGATAAGTGCCACTGAGGGAAGGCCTATGCATGATTTTGGGTCATTAAAACAAGTGGCACACACACCAGGCTCAAGTGGTATGTCATTTTCTTACAACAAGAGGAGAAAGAATGCACAGGATCCAGCCCTTTGCAATGCACAGTTCCCCCATTGACAGCAGTTTCACATCACAGCTGCGTTAGGCCATTCTTGCATTGCTATAAAGAAATGCCTACAACCAGGTCATTTATAAAAACAGAGGTTTAATTAGCTCATAGTTCTACATCTGCTCAGCTTCTGGGGAGGCCTCAGGAAGCTTGCAATCATGGCAGAAGGCAAGTGGGGAGCAGGCACATCACATGGAAAAATCAGGAGCAAGTAAAAGAGAGGAAAGTGCCACAGACTTTTAAACAGCCAGGTCTCAAGAGAACTCACTTACTATGGCGAGGATAGCATGGAGAGAATGATGCTAAACCATTCATGAGAAATCAACCCTCATGATCCAATCACCTTCCACCAGGCCCCATCTTCAATGCTGTGGATTACAATTCAACATGAGATTTGGGCAGGGACAAATATATGAACTATATCGACAGCCAATGTGGGCAGTGTAGCTGCACACCCCACACCCCACTTCCTGCTGCAGTAGAAGAACCCCAACTCCTCTCCCATCGGGTCTGAAACACAGAAAGCTATGGGTGTGCCTGAGATCCATCAATGCATGCACTCAAGCAGAACAGAGGACTACATATGAGTCTATAACAGGGAATAATGTCCCTGTACAAAGTAGTAAGCCCAGCACATGCTGTGAGGGCTCTTTATCTCTCTCATAAGGAAGTGTTCTGGACCCAAGGCCCATTCTTATATGATTGGGTGGAGGCTGAAAAACTACATGCACAAGACTGCCTTTCCCAACATCAATAATAAAAATTTGAGCAGAAATCAATGACATTGAAAATGGGAAACCAGCAGAGAAAATCCATGAAACCAGAAATTGACTTTTTGAAAGATCAATTCCTTTAGGTTGCCCACAGATAGACGTTACCTGCAGCCAATATACATGCTTGTGCTAGCAGAGGGATGCAAGACCAGGTACTCCTGGCTACAGCATAGTCTACCAATTAGCTTGCTAAAAAAAAACAAAAACAAAAACAAAACCCTAAGTTTTATCTGCATTTCTTGGCAGAGCACATGTGGAACCTGAATGGGACCATAATGGGTGTCACAAATGAGTAGCTGATGAAATGATGACATAACACAGAGCCCAGAAGTGGCCTGATCACACCTTATGACTTGATCTTCCTATCTCTTTTTATCTAAAGGAATACTCTTGTTGATTGCATTATACATTCCATTTGTTCCATCTTTAGCATGTCCTACAGGATACTAACTTCCTATCTACATGTAACATATCTTACTAGTCCTGCCTATAGCTCACACACTAGTTGCTTGCTCATATCTAGAGTTTTATCAATACTTCAAAAGCTACTACCTTACTAACATTTTTTATAAGTTTCATCCATCCTATTAATTTTTTCCTCTTCTATAGGCATTCACGTTACAAACAACCATTTATTTGCTCACAATTCTAAAATTTAGACTGGGCTCAGCTAGACAGTTCTTATCAACTCTCTGCTTGTGACATTTGCTTATTTCACACTGACTAAAGTCCACGGTTGGTGTGAGAAGGGCATGTATACCAGGAGGCACACTCCATTGTGGCCATTACTGTGACAATCCACAAGAGCAGCTCGGTGCTCCTTGGTGCATAAATATTCATAACTGCTAAATTTGCATTGGGAATCATAGCCTTTATCATTGTAAATTTCTTTGTATTACTTGATGCATTTTAACCTGAATTCCACCTTGTCTGATATTAAGATTACCATCTTAATGTCATGCTTTCTTCTTGTTTAGATTTCCCTGGTATACTTTGCTTATTCTTTTATTTTTAGCCTTTCAGAATCACTGTATTTTAAGAGTTGGACTTTGTTTTGTGATCCAATTTGAAACTTTATATGTATATATATATATATATACTTTTTAAATTTTTTATTTCCATAGGTTTTTAGGGAACAGGTGGTATTTTGTTACATAAGTTCTTTACTGGTGATTTGTGAGATTTTCGTGCACCCATCACCCAAGCAGTACACACTGAACCCAATTTGTAGTCTTTTATCCCTCACCCTCTTCCCACCCTTTCACTGTGAGTCAGCAAAGTCCATCATATCATTCTTATGCCTTTGCATCCTCATAGCTTAGCTCCACTTATGAGTGAGAACATACACTGTTTGGTTTTCCATTCCTAAGTTACTTCACTTAGAATAATAGTTTCCAGTCCCATCCAGGTTGCTGTGAATGCCATTAATTCATTCCAATTTGAAAAGATATATTTTTTATTTTTATTTATTTATTTATTTATTTTTGAGACAGAGTCTTGCTCTATCACCCAGCTTGGAGTACAGTGGCTTGATCACGGCTCACACAACCTCCACCTCCTGGGTTCAAGCCAGTCTCCTGTCTCAGCCTCCCAAGTATCTGGGATGACAGGCACATGCCACCATGGCTGGCTAATTTTCATATTTTGAGTAGAGACAGGGTTTCACCATATTGGTCAGGCTGGTCTTGAACTCCTGACCTTGTGATCCACCCGTCTCAGCCTCCCAAGTGCTGGGATTACAGACGTGAGCCACCACACCCAGCTCAAATCTATATACTTTCTAAAAGAGGTGAGTTAATCCCATTTGTTAAGATAGTTGTTCTTGTTTTAATTGTCATATTATATTTTGATTATATATTTGTGTTAATCTGTTACACTTTGTTATGAAGGAACACCTGAAGCTGGGTAATTTACAAAGAAAAGAGGTTTATTTGGCTCATGGTTCTTCAGGTTACACAGGAAGTATAGTGCTGGCATTTGCTCAGCTTCTGGTGAGGCCTCAGGAAGCTTTTACTCATGGAAGAAGGCTAAGAGGAAACAGGCATGTCACATGGCAAGAAAGGGAGCAAGAGAGAGGAGCCAGCCTCTTTTAAACAACCAGCTCTCTATGAAGTAACAAAGTGAGAACTCATTCATTACCTCCAGGAAGGCATCAAGCCATTCATGAGGGATCCATCCCCAAACACCTTCCACTAGGTCCCACCTCCAACTTTGGGGATCACATTTCAACATGAAATTCAGAGGGGACACACATCCAAACCATAGCAATATTAACTCTTTCTTTCCCTTTCAATCCTTTTTATTGTTGTTTCCAATATTTAGCAAGATTTTAATTTCTGTTCCAGTTGTCACCTTTATAGTTTTATATGGCACTCTGAGTCCTCTCATTAGGTAGCATTTTGAAGGTAATAGCCAGGAGTGGGCGCAAAGGAGGCTTTGGGTGCTAATCTGCTCTGCATTTTTATGTGGATAGTGGTTACTTTCTTGTTCACATACTCAAAATTGAGTTGTACATATTTATGATTTAAGTACTTTTCTGAATGCATATTTCAATATGTATAATTGAAGAGTGCTGAATTACACTTTGGGAGGCTGAGGCAGGTGGATCACCTGAGGTCAGGAGTTCAAGACCAGCCTGACCAATATGGTGAAACCCCATCTCTACTAAAATTACAAAAATTAGCCAGGCATGGTGGCATGTGCCTGCAGTACCAGCCACTTGGGAGTCTGAGGCAGGAGAATCGCTTCAGCCTGGGAGGTGGAGGTTGCAGTGAGCCAAGATCACACCACTGCACTCCAGCCTGGGCAACAGAGTGAGACTCCATCTCAAAAAAAAAATGCTGAATTATATGGAACCAAGCAGAAGAAGCAAAGAGGACAGGACTAGGCTGCCTGGAGTATGCTGCCATTAGCCCATAGGTTGCCACTGCTGGCTGGGGTGGCCAGCTTTTTTTCCCTTGTTTGTGCCTGCCCATGTCCTGCTGATTGGTCCATTTTACAGAGTGCTGATTGGTCCATTTTACAGAGTGCTAATTGGTCTATTTTACAAATCTCTAGCTAGCTACAGAGTGCTGATTGGTGCATTTTTACAAAGCACTGATTGGTGCATTTTACAAACCTCTTGTAAAACAGAAAAGTTCTCCAAGTCCCCACTCAAACCAGGAAGTCAAGCTGGCTTCACCTCTCAATCCCCCCTTTAAACGGGACACCCCACTGCTGTTGGGAATTGGCCAATGACCACTCTAGCTACTTCCTGCTGGATAGGGGTGAAGACGGGGCCCTCCAGTGGTAGTGTCCTCAGAAGGGAACTCTCTAGGCCAGCCAAAGAGCCAGTGGGTCAATCCAGGGGTCCTCGGTAGAAGTTTTGAGTTGAACTCATTTGGGGTTCCATTTGTAAGTCCATCTGTAGCTTGATGGCCTCAATCCTGAAGGAAACAAATTTGGCAAGGAGGTTAAAAATACAGGGCCCAAAAGTGAATAATAGCAAGATGGCTTTCACAGGACCTAGAAAGGGGAGAAGCCATGTCACCCAACTCCAGAGGTTGGTATAAGAGTTTGAGAGGCATTATCTGATTTCAGAAGCCTTTTCCTGTAAACACCAGATGGCATCTCATACTATCCCTGACTGGTTAGTGTAAAAGCAACACTCTTCCCCTAAGAAGGTGCAAAGTCCTCCTTTCTCAGCAGTGAGGAGGCCTAGGCCTCAGCAGTTTTGGACAGTCACTGCTGCCAAAGAGTTTATTTGGGATTATAGAGTAAGGATAGATTTTGTTATTTATTGCGAACTGAGAAATCCTTTGAGAGTGTGTGGTAGTAGGATAATGAAGTTGATAAACCTGCTATTCTGGTTCCAGTAGCAGTGGCCATTTCTAACCCTATAAGTAGGGGTAGTAGTTGTATGGCCCTGCACTGATGGACTTGAGCTTTGAGGGGCACTGATGTGGTCTGATTTCCACAAGATAAGAAGTTAGAATAATAAATATTACACTGTTAACTTTTAGCAAACTACTTTTGTTGAAAACCTTGGAAGTTTGGGATTTCAATTATTCTTTGCTATTAATAAGACCTCGTTCAGTCCATGTTAACTTAGAATTGGTATAGATCCTCTTTCCTGATTCTGTAAGTACTTTAAGGTTTAGCTGAGTGCAAACAACTCACACATTTGAGCAGACCAATTATTAGGCAATTTTCCTAACTCTGCTTCTACAAGAGTTTCCTTATCACTTACTGAATACCCATTGTGTCTTTTTCCCTTAATCGCCTGGAAGGAACCATCTATTATCCTGTCCTGAAGGGAGTTCCTCTTAGGTATGTTCAGACCTTTGTATGGTAATTAATTTAGATCCCCTGTTAGGAAACCTGCTGGGTTAAGGATTTTTGATAGGAATGCTATGGGTTGTCAGTGGCCTCAGTGCTTTCGGGCTATACCCTTGTTTACACTGACAACAAGGTGGTATTGGAGAAGACTTTTTTTTTCTGTATATATATATTTTTTATTATACTTTAAGTTTTAGGGTACATCTGCACAATGTGCAGGTTAGTTACATATGTATACATGTGCCATGCTGGTGTGCTGCACCCATTAACTCATCATTTAGCATTAGGTATATCTCCTAATGCTATCCCTCCCCCCTCCCCCCACCCCACAACAGTCCCCAGAGTGTGGTGTTCCCCTTCCTGTGTCCATGTGTTCTCATTGTTCAATTCCCATCTATGAGTGAGAACATGCGGTGTTTGGTATTTTGTCCTTGCGACAGTTTACTGAGAATGATGATTTCCAATTTCATCCATGTCCCTACAAAGGACGTGAACTCATCATTTTTATGGCTGCATAGTATTCCATGGTGTATATGTGCCACATTTTCTTAATCCAGTCTATCATTGTTGGACATTTGGGTTGGTTCCAAGTCTTTGCTATTGTGAATAATGCCGAAATAAACATACGTGTGCATGTGTCTTTATAGCAGCATGATTTATAGTCCTTTGGGTATACACCCAGTAATGGGATGGCAGGGTCAAATGGTATTTCTAGTTCTAGATCCCTGAGGAATCACCACACTGACTTCCACAATGGTTGAACTAGTTTACAGTCCCACCAACAGTGTTAAAGTGTTCCTATTTCTCCACATCCTCTCCAGCACCTGTTGTTTCCTGACTTTGTAATGATTGCCATTCTAACTGGTGTGAGATGGTATCTCATTGTGGTTTTAAATCAATTATCAATTATAGGTTTTAAATTTGCCCTGGCTTTTAAAGGAATAGGGTACACTGTTTTTTCTTTAATACTTCTCTCTCTCTTTCTTTGACTTTCTGTCTCTCTGTTTCTCTCTTTGACTTTGTCTCTTTCTCTCTTTCTCTGACTCCCTCTTTGTCTGTCTCTTCCTCTCCTTCTCTTTGACTTTCTGTCTCTCTTTCTTTCTCTCTGACTTCCTCTTTGTCTCTTCCTCTCTCTCTTTCCTTCTCTCTTTTTCTGTCTTTCCCTCTCTCTATCCCTCTCTCTTTCCTTCTCTCTTTGACTTTCTGTCTTTCCTCTCTCTCCCTCTCTCTCTCTTTCCTTCTCTTTGTCCTTCTCTTTGTCAAGTGCCCTGCCAGCCACTTATGCTGCTGTTCTCTGCTCTCCTTCCTCTTTTTGATGGCTTTGCAGTGTAAGACTGCCACCTCCTTGGGTTTTTGCACTGCGTGCAATAACTCCAAGATTTCCTTGTGGTATTTAATGGGGGTTCCCCCAGAGGTTAGGAACTCCCTTTTTTTCCATATTGCAGCATGGGCATGTAGGATTACATAAGCATGATTGCTATCTGTATACACATTTATTCTTTTTCCCTTTCCCAGTCCTAAGGCTTGGGTAAGTGCCACTAGTTCTGTTAACTGGGCACTGGTCCCTGGGGGAAGAGGCTTACTTTCAAGTACCGTTACATCACTAACTATGGCATAACCTGCCCTTCATATCCAATTCTCCACAAATGAACTTCCATTGGTATATAGGTTAGGGTCAGGATTAACTAAGGGGACTTCTAAGAGATCCTCTCAGTGGCATAAGTCTGGACTATAATTTGTTGGCAGTAGTGCTCAACTGGTCCTCCATCCTCTGGGAGAAAGGTGACAGGGTTTAGGGCTGCACATGTGCATATTTGAAGCACCAGTCCCTCAAGGTGTAGCAGCTGGTATCTAAGCAGGCAGTTGTCTGATAGCCATAAACTACCTTTG
The DNA here is from genome assembly GCF_000001405.40 of Homo sapiens. Lineage (NCBI taxonomy): Eukaryota > Metazoa > Chordata > Mammalia > Primates > Hominidae > Homo > Homo sapiens. Next base: position 145,032,854 of record NC_000008.11, on the reverse strand, counting down.
GCACCTATTATGCCATTTACATCATGAGTAGTCCAGATGGTGAGATCCTTTCCTTGTATTATTTTCATAGCCTCTGATACTGAGATTGCCACTGCCACAACTACCCATAAACAGTGAGGCCAGCCTTTTTTCCACTGTTGGGGAAACCAGCCCCACAACACCCAGTGGGTACCCCAAATCCAGCAGAGACAAAGGAGTTGGAAAGAGACAGAATAAGCATTTAAAAGGCAGGTCCAGGGGACAAGAGTGTTGGAGGCTTGCTCATGGCCCAGAGCTCTCAGGCTCTGCCCAATTTATTGGTCTACAAGCTCTTTGTTCTTAAGGCAGATGGGAGGGGGAGGAAGGGGTGGGAAAAAGGATTAATCAGTGAAGGAGAACTCGTGAGTCATTCGATAAGATGTATAGCAGTGGCGGTTTCTGTGAATTTCCTTGAGCAGAGGTGTATGTCTAAACTACTTAAGATCTTGCGGGTTTCAGGAGGAGCCAAGATGTTTGATTATACTCCACTGCTTCAAGGGAGTGTTATCTCCCTGAGCAACCTGTGGAATGCTGCTGAGCAGTTATGCTCTCAGGGCATAAAGACATGAAGGCAATAAGGAGACTTTTCCCCCCAGAGGCTGCCCATGGCTTCCCATGGGTGTCTCACACAGGGGAGACCAACTCAACTGGCACCCTAGAAACTCTCTTTCCCACATGTCCCCCTTTTTTGTCTTTATTAATTTTTTTTGATTAATAACTGCCATTGCTATCATGGCTCATTCACGGTGTCTGGCTTCTCTCCCAAGGCATCATCCACATCTGTAGACTAAAAACAAACAGCATAAACAGACACAAACCAAAATAAAATTTGCAATTGTTGATCCACCTATGGTTTTAATCCACTTTAAAGGATTGGTATTAGAAAGGCCATCAGCAGCTCCAGCAAGAATATCATCTCCAGGCAACAGGGTGAGATGAACCTTAGATGTCTCAAAAACATGTTTTTCCAGTTTAGCAATATCTAATGATAAATTATCTTCTTTTCCTTGTAGGTGACATCTAATCATCTCCCAATGGTGTTCACTGGCATTGTAAGAGCTAGGAGTAATACAAAAATCAGAAGTATTCCAATCACGTTGCATTTGAATTCTATGCTCCAAGCTCATAATCCAATCTCCCATCCACATTACTGTTTGATGGAGATCATTAATTTGATTTGCCAATTTTTGATCTATTTGGCTTTGGGGATTCCAAAGCTTAGAAGAATTTTTCTGCCAACTATCCACAAAGCCCACAGTTTGAATAGAAGTGTGCAAAGCAACACCAGCAACAGCAGCAGCAGCTGTGACAGCTATAAGGCCCATGATCACAGCTATTAAAGTAAATATGCATCTCTTTTATCTATTAAGTATTCCTTTTAGTAATTCAGTGATAATATGTATGGAGGGAGAGGACTCCCAAGGTCTATTGAGGGAAATAGGTATCCAAACTCCTTCTCAGGCCCTAACCAGTAAAATGTTATTATCTTTATTAAAGGTAGAATTAATGCAGGTAAAAAGATGACAGTTGAGGAATGATATGGTTTGAGAGTCAGGTAGGATATTAATTTTTCCCACTGCCAACATAAGAGGAGGTTTAACACAACTCTGCAATGGGACCATCTGATTAGAAGTCATGGCTACAACAAATTGAAGTTTTTACTATGGGTCTCTGTTTTATATTCTCCTTTCCAAATCCGAATTGGGTTTGAGCCATCATTAATTTCCACAATTCTGGATGTTCTGGACTTATAATTGGATCAATTATTTTGGGGCTTGAAGGAGCCATACCATTCCCCTCCCACTTAATAGGGAAATGTGCTTCCATTCTTCTATATAATTTTGGTGCATAATCTGGGTGGTCGTTTGCAAAAGGAGTCTCTCTACAATCTTCACGCTGTCCAGTACAATTTACTGCAAAGCCTCTCCTAGGGGCCAAATCAATGATGATTCCATAGGAATTATTTTGCAGTACAGCATCGCTGTTTGCAATACAATCTTCCCAGGTTAGCACCTCTAGCTTTCCAGACCATTTAGTGGCCTGCCTAGGGCAGGGCTTCTTATTAGGTTTAAATTTATTAATCTGGTGATGTGTCATAACATAGCCGTGCACAAGGTATTTAATAGTGTCCAAAGATTGAAATGTTCTTCCACTGATTACATGAATACAGGCTTTTGATCCACTATGTGCAGGGACATAAACCATCCAACTTTATTTATCATAATTTAAACATCCTCCTGTCGGCCCCAGGCAGATGGGAGGAAAGTGATAAGCAATGGAAACATTCATTAACATTCCTTCCTCCTCTGGATGAGTAGGACCTCGGTTGCCTGTTGGTCCAGGCATCCAGACACTATCATTAACATAAACCTCCACCAGGAAGTCTAACCATGTAACAGGCCTAATCAGTGGTGGGAATGGAATGTAGGCCCAATAATTGTAATTTTGATCTGCCTCAGCTATGGGGAGACTCACCACCAGGGAGATTACTGTCATCATAGCTACCATTAGATTACTGGTGGTCAGCGGCTTATTCTGAGACCTCAGGTTCTCTTCTGTAATATGAGCTAGTCTCTTCATCTGCCCCCAGGTCGGTGGAGTTACTTGGTGGGTTTTACTGGTTTCCATCTGCTCAACAGAGATGTTCATCTGAGCCATCTGATGAACTGGGGGTGAAGGGATATTCCAAGGTCTTTACCTCTTCCTTGGATTCTGGCTTATGGCACAGCTTAAGATGTCTTATGTGTACCCAGACAGGAAGCTGATTCTCTCCCGGTGAGATACAAGAAAACGCTTGACCCCAAGTAATGATTTTGCCCTTTTCCCAGGTTTTGATTCTGACTTCCTTCCACCACACATGTTTTCCTTCATGACGATTTATTTTTGCCCTGACAAATGCTGTTCTGCTGTTGTTGTAACCTTATCTTTAGACAAATTCAAAAAATTTAAAGTGATAAGAGCAAATTGTAGCTGCATATGGGGAGTAGAGTATTCTCTGGTTCCCCCCTCTGTCTTTTGTTTTTGTAATTGAGATTTTAAGGTTTGATTAGCCCATTCAACAATGGCTTGGCCTTGAGAATTATAGGGTATTCCAGTACTGTGCTCAATGTACCATTGTTGAAGGAACGCTTGTAAAGATTTACTACAGTAGCCTGGGCCATTGTCTGTTTTAATCTTTTGTGGGAGGCCCATGGCAGCAAAACAGGAAAGTAAATATCTTTTAATACGAGCAGCCGCCTCGCCTGTTTGGCAAGTTGCCCACACAAAATGAGAAAAGGCATCTATAGTAACATGGACGTATGAAATTTCCCAAACGAAGGTACGTGGGTTACATTCACTTGCCCCAACATATTACGGGTTAATCCCTGTGGGTTAACATGAGTCCCTTCATGTGGCAGTTATAGTACCTGGCACTGAGGGTAATGTTGTACAATGTCCTTTGCCTGTCTCCAAGTAATCTGATATTTTTGTTTAAGTCCTGCTGTATTAACATGTGTTTCACAAGGAGTGAAAATCTTGGGCATTAGTAAGCACAGTTGAAACTAGTAAATCAGCTTGACCATTAGCCCTTACAAGGGGCCCAGGAAGATTAGTGTGTGCTTGAATGTGTGTAATATAGAAAGGAAAACAGCGATCATGCACTGTCTTTTGTAAAGAAGAAAACAGCTGATAGAGTTGTTCACCCACAAGATATTTAATGAGTGCAGTTTCTATGTATTGAATGGCTTGAACAACATAAGGTGAATCAGAGACAATATTTACAGGTTGCTTAAAGTCTTCTAACACAGCTATAACTGTCTGTAATTTAGCCCTTTGTGCCCATTGAAAGTCAGTTTGAATAATTTTGTTTTTAGGTCCTATATAAGCTGCTTTTCCATTGCTAGAGCCATCTGTAAACACAGTGACTCCTCCTTCCAATGGAGCACTATTGGTAATTTTTGGAAGGACCCATGTTGTTAGCTTTAAAAACTGAAAAATCTTCTTTTTTGGATAATGATTGTGGTAGAGAAAAGAGAGATCAGACTGTTACTGTGTCTATGTAGAAAGGGAAGACATAAGAGACTCCATTTTGAAAAAGACCTGTACTTTGAACAATTGCTTTGCTCAGATGTTGTTAATTTGTAGTTTTGCCCCAGCCACTTTGACCCAACCTGGAGCTCACAAAAACATGTGTTGTATGAAATCAAGGTTTAAGGGACCTAGGGCTGTGCAGGACGTGCCTTGTTAACAAAATGTTTACAAGCAGTATACTTGGTAAAAGTCATCGCCATTCTCTAGAGTCAACAAACCAGGGGCATAATCCACTGCGGAAAGCCGCAGGGACCTCTGTTCTTGAAAGCTGGGTATTGTCCAAGGTTTCTCCCCATATGATAGTCTGAAATATGACCTCATGGGATGAGAAAGACCTGACCATCCCCCAGCCTGACACCCATAAAGGGTCTGTGCTGAGGTGGATTGGTAAAAGAGGAAAGCCTCTTGCAGTTGAGATAGAGGAAGGCCACCATCTCCTACCTGCCCCTGGGAACTGAAGGTCTTGGTATAAAACCCGATTGTACATTTGTTCAATTCTGAGATAGGAGAAAAACTGCCCTATGGTGGGAGGCGAGACATGTTGGCAGCAATGCTGCCTTGTTATTCTTTACTCCACTGAGATGTTTGGGTGGAGAGAAACATAAATCTGGCCTACGTGCCCATCCAGGCATAGTACCTTCCCTTGAACTTAATTATGACATAGATTCTTTTATTCACATGTTTTTTGCTGACCTTCTCCTTATTATCACCCTGCTCTCCTACTACATTCCTTTCTGCTGAAATCATGAAAATAATAATCAATAAAAACTGAGGGAACTCAGAGACCGGTGCTGGTGCAGGTCCTTGGTGTGCTGAGTGCCGCTCTCCTGGGCCCACTGTTGTTTCTCTATACTTTGTCTCTCTGTCTTATTTCTTTTCTCAGTCTCTCATCCCACCCAACTAGAAATACTCACAGGTGTGGAGGGGCAGGCCACCCCTTCATCTGCCACCCAACGTGGGTGCCTTTCTCTAGGGTGAAGCTATGCTAAGAATGTGAGCATCGAGGACAGCCGACGAGAGATTCCCGAGTACGTCCACGGTCAGCCTTCCGGTAACCTTGTGCACTCAGAGGAATCCAGGGTAACAATGGGGCAAACTGAAAGTAAATATGCCTCTTATCTCAGCTTCATTAAAATTCTCTTAAGAAGAGGGGGAGTTAAAGCTTCTACGGAAAATCTAATTACACTGTTTCAAACAACAGAACAATTCTGCCCATGGTTTCCAGAACAGGGAACTTTAGATTTAAAAGATTGGGAAAAAATTGGCAAATAATTAAAACAAGCAAGTAGGGAAGGTAAAATCATCCCACTTACAGTATGGAATGATTGGGCCATTATTAAAGCAACTTTAGAACCATTTCAAACAGGAGAAGATAGCGTTTCAGTTTCTGATGCCCCTGAAAGCTGTGTAATAGATTGTGAAGAAGAGACAGGAACAGAGTTCAAGAAAGGAATGGAAAGTTCACATTATAAAAATGTAGTAGAGTCTGTAATGGCTCAGTCAATGCAAAATGTTGACTATAATCAATTACAGGAGGTAATATATCCTGAATCATCAAAATTGGGGGAAGGAGGTCCAGAATTATTCGGGCCATCAGAGTTTAGACCACGATGGCCACCAACTCCTTCTCCTGTGGTTCAGATGCCTGTGACATTACAACCTCAAATGCCAATACAGACACAGTATCTACAATATCAGCTGGTTGAAAATAAAACCCAACCACTGGTAGTTTATCAACACTGGCCGCCAGCCGAATTTCAGTATCGGCCATCTCCAGAGGTGCAGTATAGATCCCAGATGGGATCCTGTGCCAAATAGTAGGGCACTATATCAACAACCCACGGCGATGGTGTTTGATCCTACAGTACCAGCTAGTGGACAAGATAGTGCACTGCATGAGACCGTTGATACAGCCAGAAAACAGGGAGATCTTGAGGCATGGCAGTATCCGGTAATGTTACAACCGATACCGGCCGGGAAAGGGCCAGGAAAGGGAGTCAAGCAGGAGCGTCTGTCCGAACGGAGGCTAGGTAAGAATATTTCACCATGAAAATGTTAAAAGACATAAAGGAAGGAGCTAAACAATATGGACCCAACTCTCCTTATATGAGAACGTTATTAGATTCCATTGCTCATGGAAATAGACTTATTCCTTATGATTGGGAAATTTTACCTAAATCTTCCCTTTCACCCTCTCAGTATCTACAGTTTAAAACCTGGTGGATTGATGGAGTACAAGAACAGGTACGGAAAAATCAGGCTACTTATCCTGTTGTTAATATAGATGCAGACCAATTGCTAGGAACACGTCCAAATTGGAGCACTATTAACCAACAATCAGTAATGCAAAATGAGGCTATTGAACAACTAGGGGCTATTTGCCTCAGGGCCTGGGAAAAGATTCAGGACCCAGGAACCAGTTAGAGACAGTTTTCAGACTGTTATATCATTCATTATGTTGATGATATTTTGTGTGCTGCAGAAACAAGAGACAAATTAATTGACTTTTACATGTTTCTGCAGACAGAGGTTGCAAACACAGGCCTGACAATAGCATCTGATAAGATTCAGACCTCCACTCCTTTTAATTATTTGGGAATGCAGGTAGAGGAAAGAAAAATTAAACCACAAAAAATAGAAATAAGAAAAGACACATTAAGAACATTAAATGACTTTCAAAAATTGCTAGGAGATATTAATTGGATTGGGCCAACTCTAGGCATTCCTACTTATGCCATGTCAAATTTGTTTTCTATCTTGAGAGGGGATCCAGACTTGAATGGTAAAAGAACAATAACTCCAGAGGCAACTAAAGAAATTGAATTAGTTGAAGAAAAAATTAATTCAGCACAAGTAAATAGAATAGATCACTTAGCCCCACTCCAATTTTTGATTTTTGCTACTGCACATTCTCCAACAGGCATTATTGTTCAAAATACAGATCTTGTGGAGTGGTCATTCCTTCCTCACAGTACAGTTAAGACTTTTACATTGTACTTAGATCAAATGGCTACATTAATTGGTCAGACAAGACTACGAATAGTAAAATTGTGTGGAAGTGACCCAGATAAAATCATTGTTCCTTTAAACAAGGAACAGGTTAGACAAGCCTTTATCAATTCTGCTGCATGGCAGATTGGTCTAGCTGATTTTGTGGGAATTATTGATAATCATTACCCAGAAACAAAAATCTTCCAGTTTTTAAAATTGACTACTTGGATTTTACCTAAAATTACCAGACAAAAACCTTTAGAAAATGCTCTGACAGTGTTTACTGATGGTTTCAGCAATGGAAAAGTGGCTTACACTGGGCCAAAAGAATGAGTCATTGAAACTCAATATCACTCAGCTCAAAGAGCAGAATTGGTTGCTGTCACTTCAGTGTTACAAGATTTTAATCAGCCTATTAACATTGTTTCAGATTCTGCATATATAGTACAGGCTACAAAGGCTACAAAGCTCTAATCAAATATAGTATGGATTATCAGTTAAATCATCTGTTTAAATTGTTACAACAAACTGTAAGAAAAAGAAATTTCCCAGTTTATATTACTCATATTCGAGCACATACTAATTTACCAGGGCAATTAACTAAGGAAAATGAACAAGCTGACTTGCTAGTATCATCTGCCTTGATGGAAGCACAAGAACTTCATGTCCTGACTCATGTAAATGCAACAGGATTAAAAAATAAATTTGATATCACATGGAAACAGGCAAAAAATATTGTACAACATTGTGCTCAGTGTCAAGTCTTACACCTGCCCACTCAGGAGGCAGGAGTTAATCTCAGAGATTTATGTCCTAATGCATTATGGCAAATGGATGTCACACATGTACCTTCATTTGGAAAATTGTCATTTGTCCGCGTGACAGTTGATACTTATTCACATTTCATATGGGCAACCTGCCAGACAGGAGAAAGTACTTCCCATGTTAAAATACATTTATTATCTTATTTTGCTGTCATGGGAGTTCCAGAAAAAATTAAAACAGATAATGGGCCAGGATACTGTAGTAAAGCATTTCAAAAATTCTTAAATCAGTGGAAAATTACACATACAACAGGAATCCCTTATAATTCCCAAGGACAGGCCATAATTGAAAGAACTAATAGAACACTCAAAGCTCAATTGGTTAAACAAAAAAGGGAAAAAGACAGTAAGGAGTATAACACTTCCCAGATGAACTTAATCTAGCACCCTATACTTTAAATTTTTTAAACATTTATAGAAATCAGACCACTACTTCTGCAGAACAACATTTTACTGGTAAAAAGAACAGCCCACATGAGGGAAAACTGATTTGGTGGAAAGACAACAAAAGTAAAACTTGGGAAACAGGGAAGGTGATAACATGGGGGAGAGGTTTTTCTTGTGTTTCACCAGGAGAAAATCAGCTTCCTGTTTGGATACCCACTAGACATTTGAAGTTCTACAATAAACCCATCCCATCAGAAATGCAAATAAAAGTGCCTCCACAGAGACAAAAAACCTGCAGTTGAGCATCATCGACCCACCAGGTGAACAAAATGGTGATATCAGAAGAACAGATGAAGTTGCCATCCACCAAGAAAGCGGAGCCGCCAACCTGGGCCCAGCTAAAGAAGCTGACACAGTTAGCTGAAAAAAGTCTGAAAAACACAAGGGTAACACAAACTCCAGAGAATATGCTGCTTGCAGCTTTAATGATTGTATCAATGGTGGTAAGTCTCCCTATGTCTGCAGGAGCCGCTACAGCTAACTATACTTACTGGGCCTATGTGCCTTTCCGACCCTTAATTCGGGCAGTCACTTGGATAGATAATCCTATTGAAGTATATGTTAATAATAGTGCATGGGTACCAGGCCCCACAGATGACCGTGGCCCTGCCCAACCTGAAGAAGAAGGAATGATGATAAACATTTCCATTGGGTATCATTATCCTCCTATTTGCCTGGGAAAAGCACCGGGATGCTTAATGCCTACAAACCAAAATTGGTTGGTAGAAGTACCTACTGTCAGTGCTACCAGTAAATTCACTTATCACAGGTAAGTGAAATGTCACTCGGGTCACAAATAAATAATTTACAGGATTCTTCCTATAAAAGATCATTAAAATTTAGGCTTAAGGGAAAATCTTGCCCCAAGGAAATTCCAAAAGAATAAAAAGACTCAGAAGTCTTAGTTTGGGAAGAATGTGTGGCTGATACTGCGGTGGTATTACAAAACAATAAATTTGGAACTATTATAAACTGGGCCGCTTGAGGCCAATTATATTATGATAGTACAGGCCAGACCCACTCATGTTCACAGGCTCCATCAGTCTGGCCCACTAATCCGGCCTATGATAGTGATTTAACTAAAAGGCTAGACCAGGTTTATAGAAGGCTAGAATCACCCTATCCATGGAAATGGGGTGAAAAGGGGATTTCATCACCCCGCCCAAAGTTAGTTAGTCCTGTTGTTGCTCCTGAACACCCAGAATTATGGAAGCTCACTGTGGCCTCATACCACATTAGAATTTGGTCTGGAAATCAAGTTATGGGAACAAGAAATCATAAACCATATTTTACTATTAACCTAAAATCCAATCCGACAATTCCTTTGCAAAGTTATGTAAAACCCCCTCATATGCTAGTTGTAGGAAACATAGTTATTAAACCAGATTCCCAAACTATAACCTGTGAAAATTGTAGATTGTTTACTTGCATTGATTCAACTTTTGATTGGCAGCATCGTATTCTGTTAGTGAGGGCAAGAGAGGGTGCGAGGATCCCTGTGTCCATGGACCGACCGTGGGAGGCTTCTCCATCCGTACATATCTTAACAGAAGTATTAAAAGGAGTTCTAACTAGATCTAAAAGATTCATTTTTACTTTAATTGCAGTGATTATGGGTCTTATTGCAGTCACAGCTGCTGCTAGGGCTGCTGTAATTGCTTTACCCTCCTCTGTTCACACTGCAGAATATGTGAATAATTGGCAAAAGAATTCCTCAAAATTGTGGAATTCTCAGACTCAAATAGATCAAAAATTGGCAAATCAAATTAATGATCTTAGACAAACTGTCATTTGGATGGGAGATAGGCTCATAAGTTTGGAATATCTTTTTCAGTTACTGTGTGACTACAATACATCAGATTTTTGTATTACACCTCAAGCCTATAATGAATCTGAACATCACTGGGACATGGTTAGATGCCATCTACAAGGAAGAGAAGATAATCTTACTTTAGATATTTCAAAATTGAAAGAACAAATTTTTAAAACATCCAAAGCCCAGTTAAATTTGGTGCCAGAAACTGAGGCAATGGAAAAAGCTGTTGATAGCCTCACGAATCTTAAACCTGTCACTTGGGTTAAAACCATTGGAAATTCCACTATTGCAAATTTTGTATTAATCCTTGTATGTCTGTCCTCTCTATTGTTAGTCTACAGGTGTATCCAGCAGCTCCGGAGAGACAGCGGCTAGCGAGAACGGACCATGATGATGATGGCGGTTTTGTCAAAAAGAAAAGGGGGATATGTAGGGAAAAGAGAGAGAGATCAGACTGTTACTGTGTCTATGTAGAAAGGGAAGACATAAGAGACTCCATTTTGAAAAAGACCTGTACTTTGAACAATTGCTTTGCTCAGATGTTGTTAATTTGTAGTTTTGCCCCAGCCACTTTGACCCAACCTGGAGCTCATAAAAACATGTGTTGTATGAAGTCAAGGTTTAAGGGATCTAGGGCTGTGCAGGATGTGCCTTGTTAACAAAATGTTTACAAGCAGTATACTTGGCAAAAGTCATTGCCATTCTCTAGTGTCAACAAACCACAGGCATAATGCACTGCAGAAACCCACAGGGAACTCTGCCCTTGAAAGCTGGGTATCGTCCAAGGTTTCTCCCCATGTGATAGTCGGAAATATGGCCTCATGAGATGAGAAAGACCTGACTGTCCCCCAGCCCGACACCCGTAAAGGGTCTGTGCTGAGGTGGATTGGTAAAAGAGGAAAGCCTCTTGCAGTTGAGATAGAGGAAGGCCACTGTCTCCTGCCTGCCCCTGGGAACTGAACGTCTTGGTATAAAACCCGATTGTACATTTGTTCAATTCTGAGATAGGAGAAAAACCGCCCTATGGTGGGAGGTGAGACATGTTGGCAGCAATGCTGCCTTGTTATTCTTTACTCCACTGAGATGTTTGGGTGGAGAGAAACATAAATCTGGCCTATGTGCACATCCAGGCATAGTACTTTCCCTTGAACTTAATTATGACATAGATTCCTTTGCTCACATGCTTTTTGCTGACCTTCTCCTTATTATCACCCTGCTCTCCTACTACATTCCTTTCTGCTGAAATCATGAAAATAATAATCAATAAAAACTGAGGGAACTCAGAGACCGGTGCCGGTGCAGGTCCTTGGTGTGCCGAGTGCCGCTCTCCTGGGCCCACTGTTGTTTCTCTATACTTTGTCACTGTGTCTTATTTCTTTTCTCAGTCTCCCATCCCACCTGACTAGAAATACCCACAGGTGTGGAGGGGCAGGCCACCCCTTCAGATTATCAAGAACTCCAATGAAGCCAGCTAAATCTATTTGCCAATTGACTGAATTAACAAAGGCTTTCCAAATCTGATTTTTATTCATTGGAACTATAATCTTATCTGGATCTGAGCCACAAAGTTTAACAACTCTAAGGTGAGCTTGCCCAATCAAGATTGCCATCTGATCCAAGTATACTGTGAGTGTTCTAACAGTATTGTGAGGCAGAAAAGACCATTCAACTAAGTCCTCACTCTGAACTGTAACCCCTGTAGAAGAATGGAGAGTAGGGAACACAATGAACTGTAATGGTAAATTTGAGTCTATTCTATTAACCTGGGCCTGTTGTATTTTTTCTTCAATCATTTGTAATTCTTTGGCAGTCTCAGGAGTCAGTTCTCATTTACTATTGAGAGCAGGGTCACCTCTTAAAATAGAGAACAGATTAGACATAGCATAGGTAGGGATTCCCAAAGGAGGTCAAATCCAATTGATATCCCCTAATAATTTTTGAAAATCATTTAAAGTTTTCAGAGAGTCTTTTTGAATTTGAACCTCTTGGGGTCTAATTGCCCTTTCCTGATCCTGCATTCCCAAATATTGGAAAGGAGTGGATGTTTGAATTTTATCTGGTGCTATGAGCAATCCAGCATTGGCTACCACCTCCTGTAAATATGAATAACACTGGATAAGTCAGTCTTAACTTTTGACCGTACCCAATATGTCATCCATAAAATGAATGATATATGAATCAGGAAACTGATCTCTCACAGGTGGAATAGCCTTCCCCACAAAAGTTTGACAAATAGTAGGACTATTCAACATATCCTGCAGCAGGACTTTCCAATGATATCTGGCTGCTGGTTCCTTGTTGTTCATAGCAGGAATAGTAAAAGCAAATTTCACAAAATCAGACTCTGCTAGAAGAATATTTAAAAAGCAATCCTTCAAATCTATAATTACTAATGGCCAGTCTCTAGGAATCATGGTGGGGGATAGAAGCCCCAGCTGCAGGGCCCCAATCAGCTGAATGAATGTGTTCACCACACGTAAGTCGGTTAGCATGCGCCATCTGCTGGATTTTTTCTTTATTACAAACACCGGCAAATTCTATGGAGAAAATGTGGGCTCAATGCTTCCTTTGTTTAATTGCTCTTTGACTAATTCCTGTAAGGCCCCCAATTTTTCCTGAGTAAGTGGCCACAGCTCAACCCAAACAGGATTTTGGGTCTTCCATTTTAAGGGAATAGGACTTGGAGGCTCAACAGTGACCACCCCTAAAAATGGTAACCTACATGGGAGGTTCCAAGATGGCCAAATAGGAACAGTTCCAGTCTAGAGCTCCCAGCATGAGCGATGCAGAAGACAGGTGATTTCTGCATTTCCAACTGAAATACCAGGTTCATCTCACTGGAGCTTGTCAGACAGTGGGTGCAGGACAGTGGGTGCAGCCCACCGAGTGAGACCTGAAGCAGGGCAAGGCACCACCTCACCTGGGAAGTGCAAGGGGTCAGGGAATTCCCTTTCCTAGCCAAGGGAAGCTGTGACAGATGGCACCTGGAAAATCGGGTCACTCCCACCCTAATACTGTGCTGTTCCAATGGTCTTAGCAAATGGCACACCAGGAGATTATTTCCTACACCTGGCTTGGAGGGTCCCACACCCATGGAGCCTTGCTCATTGCTAGCACAGCAGTCTGAGATCGAACTGCAAGGTGGCAGCAAGGCTGGGGGAGGGGCGCCCACCATTGCTGAGACTTCAGTAGGTAAACAAAGCGGCTGGGAAGCTTGAACTGGATGGAGCCCACTGCAGCTCAAGGAGGCCTACCAGCCTCTGCAGACTCCACCTCTGGGTGCAGGGCATAGCTGAACAAAAGGCAGCAGAATCTTCTGCAGACTTAAATGTCCCTGTCTGACAGCTTTGAAGAGAGTAGTGGTTCTCCCAGCATGGAGTTTGAGATCTGAGAACAAACAGACTGCCTCCTCAAGTGGCTCCCTGACACCTGAGTACCCTAACTGGGAGGCACCTCCCAGTAGGGGCTGACTGATACCTCACACGGCCGGGTACCCCTCTGAGATGAAGCTTCCAGAGGAATGATCAGGCAGCAACATTTGCTATTCTGCAATATTCGCTATTCTGTAGCCTCTACTGGTCATATCCAGGCAAACAGGATCTAGAGTGGACCTCCAGCAAACTCCAACAGACCTGCAGCTGAGGGTTCTGACTATTAGAAGGAAAACTAACAAACAAAAAGTACATCCACACCAAAACCCCATCTGTACGTGACCATCATCAAAGACAAAAGGTAGATAAAAACACAAAGATGGGGAGAAGCCAGAGCAGAAAAGCTGAAAATTCTAAAAATCAGAGCACCTCTTCTCCTCCAAAGGAATGCAGCTCCTCACCAGCAATAGATCAAACCTGGATGGAGAATGACTTTGATGAGTTGAGAGAAGAAAGCTTCAGATGATCAAACTTCTCTGAGCTAAAGGAGGATGTTTGAACCCATCACAAAGAAGCTAAAAACCTTGAAAAAAGATTAGACGAATGGCTAACTGAATAACCAGGGTAGAGAAGACCTTAAATGACCTGATGGAGCTGAAAGCCATGGCACGAGAACTACATGTGCAAGCTTCAGTAGCTGATTCAATCAACTGGAAGAAAGGGTATCAGTGATTGAAGATCAAATGAATGAAATGATGTGAGAAGAGAAGTTTAGAGAAAAAAGAGTAAAAAGAAATGGAACAAAGCCTCCAAGAAATATGGGACTATGTGAAAAGACCAAATCTACATCTGATTGGTGTACCTGAAAGTGATGGGGAGAATGGAACAAAGTTGGAAAACAGTTTTCAGGATATTATCCAGGAGAATTTCCTCAACCTACCAAGGCAGGCCAACATTCAAATTCAGGAAATACAGAGAATGCCACAAAGATACTCCTCAAGTAGAGCAACTCCAAGACACATAATTGTCAGATTCACCCAAGTTGAAATGAAGGAAAAAATGTTAAGGGCAGCCAGAGAGAAAGGTCGAGTTACCCACAAAGGGAAGCCCACCAGACTAACAGTGGATCTCTCAGCAGAATCTCTACAAGCCAGAAGAGAGTGGAGGCCAATATTCAACATTCTTAAAGCAAAGAATTTTCAACCCAGAGTTTCATATCCAGCCAAACTAAGCTTCATAAGTGAAGGAGAAATAAAATCCTTTACAGACAAGCAAATGCTGAGAGATTTTGTCACCACTGGGCCTGCCTTACAAGAGCTCCTGAAGGAAGCACTAAACATGGAAAGGAAAAACCAGTACCAGCCACTGCAAAAACATGCCAAATTGTAAAGACCATCGATGCTAGGAAGAAACTGCATCAACTAATGAGCAAAATAACCAGCTAACTCAAAATGACAGGATCAAATTCACACATAACAATATTAACCTTAAATGTAAATGGGCTAAATGCTCCAATTACAAGACACAGACTGGCAAATTGGATAAAGAGTCAAGACCCATCAGTGTGCTGTATTCAGGAGACCCATCTCATGTGCAGAGACACACATAGGCTCAAAATAAAGGGATGGAGGAAGATCTACCAAGCAAATGGAAAACAAAAAAAAGCAGGGGTTGCAATCCTAGTCTCTGATAAAACAGGCTTTAAACAACAAAGATCAAAAGAGACAAAGAAAGCCATTACATAATGGTAAAGGGATCAACTCATCAAGAAGAGTTAACTATCCTAAATATATATGCACCCAATACAGGAGCAACCAGATTAATAAGGCAAGTCCTTAGAGACCCACAAAGAGACTTAGACTCCCACACAATAATAATGAGAGATTTTAACACCCCACTGTCAACATTAGACAGATCCACAGGACAGAAAGTTAACAAGGATATCCAGGAATTGAACTCAGCTCTGCACAAACAGACCTAATAGACATCTACAGAACTCTCCACCCCAAATCAACAGAATATACATTCTTCTCAGCACCACATCGCACTTATTCCAAAATTGACCACATAGTTGGAAGTAAAGCACTCCTCAGAAAATGTAAAAGAACAGACATTATAACAAACTCTCAGACCACAGTGCAATCAAACTAGAACTCAGGATTAAGAAACTCACTTAAAACCGCTCAACTACATGGAAACTGAACAACCTGCTCCTGAATGACTACTGGGTACATAACGAAATGAAGGCAGAAATAAAGATGTTCTTTGAAACCAATGAGAAAAAAGACACAACATACCAGAATCTCTGGGACACAATTAAAGCAGTGTGTAGAGGGAAATTTATAGCACTAAATGCCCATAAGAGAAAGCAGGAAAGATTTAAAATTGACACCCTAACATCACAATTAAAAGAACTAGAGAAGCAAGAGCAAACACATTCAAAAGCTAGCAGAAGGCAGGAAATAACTAAGATCAGAGCAGAACTGAAGGAGATAGAAACACAAAAAAACCCTTCAAAAAATCAATGAATCCAGGAGCTAGTTTTTGAAAAGATCAACAAAATTGATAGACCACTAGCAAGACTAATAAAGAAGAAAAGAGAGAAGAATAGATGCAATAAAAAATGATAAAGGGGTTATCACCACCAATCCCACAGAAATACAAAACTACCATCAGAGAATACTATAAACACCTCTATGCAAATAAACTAAAAAAGCTAGAGGAAATGGATAAATTCCTCGACACATACACACTCCCAAGACTAAACCAGGAAGAAGTTGAATCTCTGAATAGACCAATAACAGGCTCTGAAATTGAGGCAATAATAAATAGCCTACTAACCAAAAAAAGTCCAGGACCAAATGGATTCACAGCCAAAATCTACCAGAGGTATAAGGAGGAGCTGGTACCATTCCTTCTGAAACTATTCCAATCAATAGAAAAAAAGGGAATCCTCCCTAACTCCTTTTAGGAGGCCAGCATCATCCTGATACCAAAGCCTGGCAGAGACACACACAAAAAAGAGAATTTTAGACCAATATCCCTGATGAACATCGATGCAAAAATCCTCAATAAAATACTGACAAAAAAGAATCCAGCAGCACATCAAAAAGCTTATCCACCATGATCAAGTGGGCTTCATCCCTGGGATGCAAGGCTGATTCAACGTATGCAAATCAATAAACATAATCCATCATATAAACAGAATCAAAGACAAAAACCACATGATCATCTCAATAGATGCAGAAAAGGCCTTCGACAACATTCAACAGCCCTTCATGCTAAAAACTCTCAATAAATTAGGTGTTGATGGGATGTATCTCAAAATAATAAGAGCTATTTATGACAAACCTACAGCCAATATCATACTGAATGGGCAAAAACTGGAAGCATTCCCTTTGAAAACTGTCACAAGACAGGGATGACCTCTCTCACCACTCCTATTCAACATAGTGTTGGAAGTTCTGGCCAGGGCAATCAGGCACGAGAAAGAAATAAAGGGTATTCAATTAGGAAAAGAGGAAGTCAAATTGTCCCTGTTTGCAGATGACATGATTGTATATTTAGAAAACCCCATCATCTCAGCCCAAAATCTCCTTAAGCTGATAAGCAACTTCAGCAAAATCTCAGGATACAAAATCAATGTGCAAAAATCACAAGCATTCCTATACACAAATAACAGACAGAGAGCCAAATCATGAGTGAACTCCCATTCACAATTGCTTCAAAGAGAATAAAATACCTAGGAATCCAACTTACAAGGGATGTGAAGGACCTCTTCAAGGAGAACTACAAAACACTGCTCAACAAAATAAAAGAGGACACAAACAAATGGAAGAACATTCCATGCTCATGGATAGGAAGAATCAATATCATGAAAATGGCCATACTTCACAAGGTAATTTATAGATTCAATGTCATCCCCATCAAGCTACCAATGACTTTCTTCACAGAACTGGAAAAAAACTACTTTAAAGTTCATATGGAATAAAAAAAGAGCCTTCATTGCTGAGACAATCCTAAGCCAAAAGAACAAAGCTGGAGGAATCACGCTACCTGACTTCAAACTATACAACAAGGCTACAGTCAAAAACAGCATGGTACTGGTACCAAAACAGAGATATAGACCAATGGAACAGAACAGAGCCCTCAGAAATAAAACCACACATCTACAACCATCTGATCTTTGACAAACCTGACAAAAACAAGCAAAGGGGAAAGGATTCCCTATTTAATAAATGGTGCTGGGAAAACTGGCTAGTCATATGTAAAATGCTGAAACTGGTTCCCTTCCTTACACCTTACACAAAAATTAATTCAAGATAGATTAAAGACTTAAATGTAAGACCTAAAACCATAAAAACCCTAGAAGAAAACCTAGGCAATACCATTCAGGATATAGGCATGGGCAAGGACTTCATGTCTAAAACACCAAAAGCAATGGCAACAAAAGCCAAAATTGAGAAATGGGATCTAATTAAACTAAAGTGTTTCTGCACTGCAAAAGAAACTACCATCAGAGTGAACAGGCAATCTACAGACTGGGAGAAAATTTTGGCAATCTATCCATCTGACAAAGGGCTAATGTCCAGAATCTACAAAGAACTTAAACAAATTTACAAGAAAAAATCAAACAGCCCCATCAAAAAGTAGGTGAAGGATATGAACAGACTCCTCTCAAAAGAAGACATTTATGCAGCCAACAGACACATGAAAAAATGCTCATCATCATTGGCCATCAGAGAAATGCAAATCAAAACCACAATGAGATACCATCTCACACCAGTTAGAATGCTGATCATTAAAAAGTCAGGAAGCAATAGGTGCTGGAAAGGATGTGGAGAAATAGGAACACTTTTACACTGTTGGTGGGACTGTAAACTAGTTCAACCATTATGGAAGACAGTGTGGCAATTCCTCAAAGATCTAGAACTAGAAATACCATTTGACCCAGCCACCCCATTACTGGGTATATACCCAAAGGATTATAAATCATGCTGCTATAAAGACACATGCACACGTATGTTTATTGCAGCACTATCCATGATAGCAAAGACTTGAAACCAACCCAAATATCCATCAATGATAGACTGGATTTAAAAAATGTGGCACATATACACCATGAAATACTATGCAGCCATAAAAAAGGATGAGTTCATGTCCTTTGTAGGGACATGGATGAAGCTGGAAACCATCATTCTGAGCAAACTGTCGCAAGGACAGGAAGCCAAACGCCGCATGTTCTCACTCATAGGTGGGAATTAAACAATGAGAACACTTGGACGCAGGATGGGGAACATCACACACCAGGACCTGTTGTGCGGTGGGGGGAGGGGGGAGGGAAAGCATTAGGAGATATACCTAATGTAAATGATGAGTTAATAGGTGCAGCACACCAACATGGCACATGTATACATATGTAACAAACCTGCACATATTGCACATGTACCCTAGAATTTAAAGTAAATAAAAAAATTCTTCTTGTTTACATTAGTGCAAGAAACTCCAAAGGCTCTGCATACAGCAAGTCATTTAATCCTCAAAGCAGTCCAAGAAGTAAACGGCTTATTGGTACAGACACCACACAAGGGATTATAAGTGTGGTTGCCATGGGTGAAACAAAAATGCCTCAGGAACTGCTAATCTCTCACCTGGATGCTCAGGGAAGGGTAGGTAAATGAAGTTTAAAACTTGAAGAGTGGCTGGGTGCAGTGGGTCACGCCTGTGGTACCAGCTACTCAGGAGGCTGAAGTGGAATGATTACTTGAGCCTAGGAGTTTGAGGCTGCAGTGAGCTATGATAGCACCACAGCACTCCAGCGTGGGCAACAGAGCATGACAGTATCAAAAAATATATATTTTAAAAATAAATAAAACTTGAAGAGTGAGTAGAAATTCATCAGGGAAACAGAGTGGGAGGAGTGCTGTAGCAGAGGAAACAACTTATGGCAAAGATTCTGAGGAAGGAGTGGTGTGTATTTCAGTACACAAAGCAAGGCCAGCATGGTCAGAAGTGACAGGTGGAAGGTGATTTGAAATCAGGCTGTTGAATGTTGATTCCAGATTACAGTTCCTATAACTAAGGCCAGATAATGCAGACCTTATATACAAGACTGAGGAATTTGAAGTTTAACTTAGGAGCAGTGATGGATTTTTGAGTCCTGGCTTTGATCAGTAGATCAAAAGCAAGAATATATGTCAAGAGAATAGTTAGGTTACTGCAGTAGCCCATCGAGGAAAGAAGGAAGATGTGGGCTAAGGAAGTAATGCTAATGATGGAAGGAAGGAAATGGAATCAAGAAATATATAGGTGGCATAACTAGGACTTGGTATTGATTGGGTGTGGGAGAGATAACTGTGAAGAAGGGTCCCAAGATGATGTCCAGATTACAGTTCCCATAACTAAGGCCAAGAAAAAGGAACGAGGGACTTGGATCTGGGGGATTTGGTGGGAGAACATGAGGAATTGACTTTGTACACTTTTAGTTGTAAGATCTTTGAGAATTCTAGGTGGAAATTTCCTCTTACACACAAGTAGATATGAGGTGTGGAGTTCAGGTAGTAGCTGAAGCCATGAAAGAAAAGAGGTTTCTTAATAAGACTGTATAGCCAGAGAAGAGCAGAAGGCAAGGACAGAACCCTGAGAGACATTGACACTGTTAAGACCTTTGACAGGAAAGAGGACCCTGAAGAATACCAAGAATGAACTACCAGGAAGGTAGGGGCACAAGGAAAAAATATTCACAGAGGAAGAGCACGAACTTACTTTCTTTCTTCCTTTCTTTTATTTATTTTTTTTTGACAATGGTGTTGTTTATTTAAAATGTTTACTCCAAGAAATATATATATATATAATAAGACAATTACAGCACTAAACCAGGCACCTTCGACCGAATCACAACCTCCTCTTTGATTCCCCTTCATGCTAAGCCTCTTTCAAATTATTTTTCCTGAGATGGAAAACCCAGTCAGATGCCCATGGAGTCGACGCCAAGCATGTTCCCAGCCGGGCGACTGTGTACCTTTCTCTAGGAGTGCATGACGCCCTTCCCCCCAACTCCTTGTTTTAAAGGAGTTAACCCATTAGGAAATTCATGTTTCAATCTAAGCCAAAAGGAGGTGCAGGACAAGGCAGGCTTCATTTCAAAGGTCCTTTCCTGCTCCAGTCCCTGGCTAGGGTTCTAGAAGAGGCTGACTGCTGGGTTTATATGAGACTACCAGAAGATCTAAGTCCAGCTCTACCCAGGGCAGCTCCTGCCAAGGCTGGGACCTTGGGTACTGCTTCCTCAACCCTCTTGGTGACCCTGACTCAAAGGAGAGACCTCAAGGGTGCCAGGAGCATAGGTGCCTGGGATGCATTCCAGGAAAGAGACCTGTCCAGGGAAATGGATTAGGCTGTCGCATGGAAGCTTGGGTCAAAGATGGCGATTCTGGGGAGATTTAGACAAGTTAGGATAGTTTAGCAAAGCTCTGAAGTGGCAGAAGCTTCTCCCCTGGACTACTGATTGAACACAGAACAAGAGATGCGCATGGCATCAGACTAAGTCTTAGAGAGATGCAGGCCAGTCTCCTCCCACAGGGCCTTGGGACTGGCGGGACAGATACTGCTACGTGCCCTCTGAGGGAAGGAGTCATGGTAAGGAGTGACTGGGTGGAAAATAGGGAAAAAAGCAAAAGCAACTAGATCATTTTTGGCATTTTAACATGGAGACAGTGACAAGTGGTAACAATAGCAAAAGCCAAAAAAAAAAAAAAAAAAAACGAAGAGACCAACATCTTATGGGGGAGATAACACAAACTTTTAAGAGGGACTAAGTAACCACAATGACAAATTCAACAGAGTTCCAGGGAATTAAGGACTGAGGCATGCACTGGATCTGGCAATAAAGGAGTCACCAGTGATCTCTGTCACCACATTTCTGGCAAAGAGAAAGGTGCATAAATGAGAAGGCAATGGTTAAGATGTGAAACAGGTGAGAAAGCAAAGATTGTACTCACAGAAAACCTTCAGTAAACTTGAAAGGTAGTGCAATTGCTAGAAGGAGACAAAGGACCAAGAAGAGTTTTACTAGGATGAAAGTTCCTTACAGGTATTTGTAGGCAGAGGAACTTGACAGGGAGACTGTAAAGTTAAAAGAGGATACTTGGTGGTGGAAGATTACAATTGTGCTGGGAATGTAGAGGAAGGGGCTAAATCAAGAACAGCTAGAGAGGATGGCTTTCAGAGGAGGAAGTGATTGCATCCTCTGAGTTTTCTCTTTTAAGTAGAAGAGAAAGCTGGATACAATGGTGTGTGCTTGTAACCCCAGCTACTCGGGAGGCTGATGCAAGAGGATCACTTGAGCCAGGAGTTTGAGGCTGCAGCCTGGGCAACACAGGGAGACTCTGCCTCTAAAAAAACAAACAAAATTGCTTTAAAAAATGAGCTAAAGGTGAAGATTACTGATTAAAGTATTGCTTCCTCAAAGAATATTTGAAATCTTAAGAATAATGAACGTATAAGAGATTTTTTTAAATATAGAACAATAAGCTAGGTGCAGTGGCTCATGCCTGTAATCCCAGCACTTTGGGAGGCTGAGTTGGGAGGGTTCCTTGAGGCCAGGAGTTTGAGAACAGCCTCAGCAACACAGTGAGATACTGTCTCTACGAAAAGTAATTTTTTAAAAACTAGCTGGGTGTAGCGGTGTGTACCTGTAGTCCCAGCTAATCAGGAGGCAGAGACAAGAGGATCACTTGAGCCCAGAAGTTCAAGGTTGCAGTAAGCCATGACTGCACCACCCTGCACTCCAGCCTAGAAGATAGAGACCCTGTCTCAAAAAATAAAATAAAATATAGGAGAATGGATGTCAGTAAATAAATGAAAGGCACAAAGTCATTAAAGACACCATCATACAAGAAATTAAAGCCAAAAAAATTATCATCTAATTTTTAAGTTAGGAAAAATTATAAGAAAATATATACCAAGAAGGAAGATGAAAAAAAAAGAATATGATATCAATTAAGGAAAAAAATAACCATATATTTCCATAGTTAAAGTGAATGCTTGGGAAAGGGTACTGCTATAAATTTTCCTGACTATAAGCATCTCACAAAAATCAGTGAAAATGCAGGACAGGAATGTGCATTTCCTGAAGAGAAGACAGGTATCGGAGCCTTGGAATCTTCTTTATAAAGGGCCCAACTCCAGAGATGGCCTTCCCATAACAGTCATATTTACTTAGACTGGATTTTGCAAGGTTTTAGCGTATGCTTCTTTCATAAACAGTTAAAGATAGTCCTAAGCTATCAAAAGCACATTTGCTGGCAAATATGGCTCTGAGAACACTAACAACAATTAGTTCATGTCCAGTTATTAACAGTTCACTTGATCTTACAACTAACTAATGAGGTAGATGACATACATTTTGTTATTATCTCCATTTTATAAATGAAGGAAATGGATTCTCAGAGAGCTTAAGGGACTTGCCCAAGATCTCTAAGCTTGGGTCAAAGTCTTAGACTTTTCAGCTGGTCAGTACATGATAGTGCATGGGCACCAATCTACCTGGGTTCTAGTTTGGTCAATTATTAGAAGTGTGACCTTGGCCAAATTACTCAGCTTCTATATGATTTAGGTCCCTCATCTGTGAAGTAGGAAAAAACGATAATAATTACCGGGATGGTTAACTTTACCTGTCAACTTGACTAGGCATGGGGTGCCCAGATTAAACATTATTTCTGGGCAAGGGCACTTCTGGATGAGATTAGCATTTGAATCAGCAAGGTAGATTCCCCTTCCCAATATGGGTGCACATCATCCAATCTGTTGGGGATGTGAAATAGAAAAAGTGGAGCAAGGAGGAATTTGCCCCTTTATTCCTGTCTCACCTTGAGCTGAGACATCTAATTTCATTTTCTCCAGCCCTGGGACAGAGGTTTATGCTGTCAGCTCCCCTGGTTCTTAAACCTTTTTTAAAAAAATATAAATTGCCCAATCTCAGCAATGAGAGAATATAGCAATGAAAGAAAAGACTTTCTTTTTTCTGTTTTTTTTTTTTTTTTTGAGATGGAGTCTCGCTCTGTCACCCAGGCTGGAGTGCAGTGGCATGATCTCGGCTCACTGCAAGCTCTGCCTCCCAGGTTCCCACCATTCTCCTGCCTCGTAGCTGGGACTACAGGCACCCACCACCTTGCCTGGCTAACTTTTTGTATTTTTAGTAGAGATGGGGTTTCACCGTGTTAGCCAGGATGTTCTCGATCTCCTGACCTTGTGATCTGCCCACCTCAGCCTCCCAAAGTGCTGGGATTACAGGCATGAGCCACTGCGCCCGGCCTAAGACAAGACTAATACACCATGCCTGCTGTATGTAACAGAAGCGTTTGCTCAAAGGCTGACTGAATAGAAAGTTCTCTCTCGAGCATGTTTGTCTCTCAGGAGCCCGCTTACCCCAGCACCTTCCTGGGTCAGTCATCCACAGCTATTTATCCATGCAGCGCTGTATCTGACAGATTGTGGAGGGTTTAGTAAAGTCAAAATCTTGCTTCTTGGGAACAGGCTCAGTGGATAACGTCTTCCACAAGAGCTCGGGAGCTTCAGTGGGGGTGATAGTGTTACAGTAGGTAGTCAGGCAGTCAGGAGAGCCCTCCCACCCACCAGGAACACCAGGTGACCATCAGGGGACAGTCAGGTAGTTGTTAGTTGTCTCTCTCAAATAAGAATTGGTTGCTGCCAGCACAAGGGAAAGGCAGTCTCCCAACAGATAGAAAAAACCTGAAGCTGGTGATCAGCAGCTTCCCAATGAGATCTTAGGAGTTGGGCAAGTGGGCTTGAGCATGCACACAGGGCGGTGAAGTGGCAGAGTTTAACCGGTTGATACCTTATTAGAAGACTCAACTGGTAAGGAAAGAAACACCTTAAGTGAGCATACACACAACTCCAGTAAACACACTGGGCATGTGTCCCCACTTCCACCCTGCACATGTGGACAGCCCACCCCAAGGGAGGAATCAGAGGAGAAGGGATGCTCCCCAACCCCCGACCGCCACAACCTTGCCAGTGTATAAAACCCCAAGTCAAGGGTCAAACCGTGCACTTAATCTCTTGAGTGGCCCACTTGGCCTTCTTCCAAGTGTACTTCGCTTCCTTTTGTTCCTGCTCTAAAGCTTTTTAGTAAATGTTCACTCCTGCTCTAAAACTTGCCTCCATCTTTCCCTCTGCCTTATGCTTCATGCCTCTCCGTCAAATTCTTTCTTCTGAGGAGGCAAGAATTGAGGCTGCAGCAGACCCATGTGGATTTACCCCTGTTAACAATAGATCACACTGCGGCGAAGGAGACAGAAACGCCACAAAAGACCCTGCAGCCCGTCAGGGAAGGAAGCCCGAGCGCCCCAGACGGCCAGCCCTACCGGGGGACTAGCGCGAAAAGCCTAACTGCGTTCCTGGAGAGAGGGGGAGGGTTCAGAGCTGACAGCAGCTCCAGGCCAGTAGTCCCACGCACACCCCAAGACTCATCTCCTTTCCTGCTCCCAGAGGGAGGAAACAACCTGGGCGGGAAGTGTGGTCCTGAGAAGTCCTGAGGCAGCGTCTGGACTTGAACTCAGCTGGATCCACTCTAGGTGCCCTTGGAGAACTATGGTCTCGGTGGTGTCCGGACGCACTGAGGCATCCTCTCTACCCTCACCCACTCGCCCGAGCTGTGCTGGGTCCCCAAAAGCCCCAGTGGGACTTCCTTGCCCGCACCTGCCCTTGCGCAGCTGGAGGCGAGGGAAGCCGCATGTGATCCTTACGGATAGCTGCGCTGTCTTCAGACGCTCAGAGCATCCCCCACTGACCTTAGCTTTCTGCCTTTCCAGCTCCTTTACAGTTGGGATGTTTTTTATTGTCGAGTTGCGCTATAGCAGAATGTTTGTATCCACCACAAAATGCCTGTGTTGAAACCCAGTCCCCACTGAGATGGTTCAGATGCGGTAATGAGGGTGGAGGCCCAAGACAGGATTAGGATGAAGGGCCCGAGGCTTCCCATTTCCGCTAGGCAAAGGTGCTGTGTGAAAACCACAGTCTGCAAACCAGGGAGCCACCTTCACCAAGAACGGCCAGCTGGCACCCTGATCTTGGGCTTCAGCCTCCAGAACTGTGAGAAATAAATTGTTGTCAAAGCCATTTAGCCTATGGTAGTCTGTTTAGACAAGTCGTAAAAGTTATTTATATATTCTGGATATTGTGCCCTTATCAGATATATGATTTGCAAGTATTTTCTCCCATTCTATAGGTTGTATTTTCACTTTCTTGATGGCATTTCTTGAAGCACAAAAGTTTTTCATTTTGAAGTCCAACCTATCTTTTATTTGGTTGCTTGTGTTTGTGGTGTCACTTATAAGAAACTATTGCCGAACTCTAGGTCACAAAAATTTATGCCTTTTTTTTTTCTAAGAGTTTTATAGTTTTAGTCTTACAAATAGGGGTTTCATCTTTTTTTTTTTTTTTTTTTTTTTTTTTTGAGACAGAGTTTTGCTCTGTTGCCCAGGCTGGAGTGCAATGGTGCAATCTTGGCTCACTGTAACCCCTGCCTCTTGCCCTTCTGCCTCTGCCCTTCCATGAAGACATCTTCAGCCTGCTTAGGCTGGACACACTGTGCCAGTCTTGCTATATGGATGGCCTCCACCTTGCTGCTCTTTCCTGCTTTGGTTCCCCCAGCCCTGGTATGGATGCTACCTTGCTCAGCTTTACTTTATACCTTTGGGACTAAGTTGTCTGGAAAGGAGAAGAGGAAATGTAGAATCTTGGTCTTTAGAATTAAAAGGCTGTGGTCTTTTTATTATGCCATGTTTCCTGCTTGCTGTATTGCTTCAGGTTGTGAGGCAGATAACAAAGAGTTGCCTCTCCAAAAGGAACCCCCAAAGCATGAAACCACAGTGGGTGGTATGTGTTAAAAAGGAGATATTGACTAAGCACCCAACTTTTTTAAAGCCTACAGAGTTGTGAGTCTACTAGAGAAATATCAGGGAAATCTTTGTAGAGGAAAACTAAGAAAATGTTTAAGAAAGTACTAGTCAAGTACATGTGAAGATAAATCACAGTGATCCATAAAAACATTCCATGGGAGAAAAGCCAGGAGTATAACAATGTTGACAGCATCCTAGACTTGACCTCAAACCCTGTAGCATATCTGAATGTTCCCACAAAAGAGAAAACCTATCAACGTAATTCATCTGGACACAGCTTCAGATAACTCACATTTTAACAA
The DNA here is from genome assembly GCF_000001405.40 of Homo sapiens. Lineage (NCBI taxonomy): Eukaryota > Metazoa > Chordata > Mammalia > Primates > Hominidae > Homo > Homo sapiens. The sequence goes on along the minus strand of NC_000008.11, from coordinate 145,006,094 downwards.
TCACCAGAAAGCCCACATCCTAATGAAATCTCAAAAACATGCAGAACGTCAGAGTACAGCCTTTAATGAGCACCCAAATAGTTACCATGGAGAGGAATTGTGTAGTGTAGTGAACATGGTAAGCCTTAAGAAGGACTAACACAATTTAGAAAACACCAGAGATTTCACTATAAAGACAAGTTCTATGAAGGCAGAGTGTGGGAAAACCTTCAACTACAGCTCTAATCTTGTGTAACACCAAAGAATCCACATTGGAAATAAGCCTTATCAGTGTAACAAACGTGGAAAGGCCTTTGTTTAAAGTTCTAACCTAATTTCCCATCACAGAACTCACACTGGACAGAAACCCTATGAATGTAATGAGTGTGAAAGGGCATTCTCTCTGGGATCAACCATTATGAAGCATCAGGGGAATACTACTGGTGAGCAACCCTACACACATGTAAAAAATGTGGAAAGGTCTTTGGTCAGCATCCAGCCTTTATTCGACATCTGGAAGTTCACACAGGGTAGAAATCTTATGAACATACTGGATGTGGAAAACCCTAAAAATAACAGTTCTGCCCCGTTAGCCATGGAAGAGCAGACTGGTGAAAGCAGTGTACAAAGTAATAAAGACAATTTGCTAAAGGTCATTTAAACCACAGGACAGACTAGATCTTAGAGAAGTACAGTTCCTCCAGGATGTGACTGCTGTGTGCTGTGACCAGAAAGTAAATTGTACTCTACTAGTTTCAGCTGGAAAACAGTAAATATTTTTCTGAAATGTTAATCTGATCTTGCCTCTCCCTGCTTAAATCCTTTAATGACTTCCCACATCCTATAGCAGCATTTCTCAAAGCTGCTAACAGCAGAGGTAATGTGGAAGGAAAATGAAATAAAATAAATAACATTAAAGTTTAAAATAACAAACACAACATAGGTAATAGTTACCATTTAGTGTAGGCTATTTAGAAGTTATACATAGGCTAAGAAATTTAAGCAGCCACTCTCAGCATTGCTAAGAAGTTGCACCTGCGAGCTTATCTCAACCTTCCAAGCTTATCTCCGGCCTCGCGACTCCCTCATACTTCCGTAATTCCTGTTTTCCCTTACCCCAGCTCTGTCCAGCTTCAAGGTTGACTGGTCAAGATAACTAAATGTAAGTTTTCTCAGAATTGTCACAGGTTGAATAATTTACTGTCTTTGTCTGAAACTTGTATCCTGCCTTGTTTTTCACGCCTGAAACGACATATAAGCAAGCCTGCTTTCTTTGTCTGGGTCGGTAGCCATTTTGGGCATGAGCCTGCTCTAGGCTCGGGTGCCCGAATTGAAGTTCTCTTTGGTCTCCAACTGTCTCTTCGTCTTCCTTGGCTAGAGTCTTACTGCAACAGTAAGTGCTCACTAAATACCCCTAGTGAGTTTGGGATCAAGGGAGTAGGAAAGCAGGAAGAAAAGAAATAACAGTCAACAGGGGAAGTGAGATGTTGCAAAGGCCGCTCTCAGAACGGACCCCACTATCCTTAAAAGAAAAGGCTAGCTTGTGCCAATGGGCCAGAGTGGAACAGGCATCCCATGGAGTATACCTGGAAGATTCCTGGGTCTTCTGCATGAGTTGCCCCTAATGCCCACAGTGTTTCTAAACGAGAAGGCAGGTACGTGGTACTTGGGGCGGCCATCTGTGTTAGCTAACTGCCTTTATCCAAAGTTAAAATAAACCTCATGTCTCTATGACAAGCAGGTAATTGCAACTTGGAGCCAGCCATCTGCTAAACTCCCACAGAGACAAGGAGGGAAGCTATCTTCCTTGGCCTTTTTATTTCAAAGAAATCACTCCAAGGTCCTTAAGAAAGGTCCTTAAGAAAGAAATTCCTGGTTTATAAAACTGGCAAGAGGCTTATGCAGCTTTTTAAAAAATTTACATACATTTCAAGAGGGCAAAGAAAGATTTTCCTATTACAAAGTTTTCTAAAAGAAATGGTCTTAGTAAAAGGAAAGGAGTGTCTCTTCCCTTGGGCACCATGAAAAATCCAACTTTTAAAAAAATATTTAGGGCCGGGCGTGGTGGCTGACACCTGTAATCCCAGCACTTTGGAAGGCTGAGACGGGTGGATCACTTGCGCTCAGGAGTTCAAGACCAGCCTGGGAAACATGGCAAAACACCACCTCTACAAAAAAATACAAAAACTAGCTGGGCGTGGTGGTGGGCGCCTGTGGTCCCAGCTACTCCGGAGGCTGAGGTGGGAGGATCGCTTGAGCCCAGGAGTCGGGCCGTAATTGCGCCACTGCACTCTGGCCTGGGAGACGGAGAGAGACCCTGTCCCGCCCCCACCTTCAACCACCCCCCAAAAAATTAAAGATTTAGTGTGGTGGCGCGTTGCTTGTAGTCCCAGTTACTCGGGAGGCTGAGGCAGGAGGATCGCTTGAGCCCGGGAGGTCGAGGTTGCAGCCTGGGCGACAGAGCAAAACCCCATCTCTAAAAAATAAAATACCCTATGGCTCTTCCCACAACTGCTCATTCTCTGACATCTTAATGCTCCCACTGTCCCACTGAAGACGGGCTGCTTTCCTTTCCATTCTCGTAAGTCCTCCCTCCGGGCCCGTGCTCCTCACCTGCCCGGGTCGCACCTGGCCTCTCCCCTCACTCCGCTTCACCCCCGCCCGCCGCCCGTTCCGCAAGCGCGTCTCAGCACCGAGTGGTTGGTTCTCGAACTCCAGCTCCACCGCAATAGGTCTGAAACCTCTCTGCACCTCGGCTTCCTCATTTAAGCGATGGCAGCAGCCTTCTAGAGGGGGCGATGAGGTCAAAAGACTACAGGTGGGAAGTGCTAGGTGCACAGCGGGCGCGAGCTGGATTCTGAGCTTGATCACTACTTGGAGGTGGGGGAAAAGTCGCCCGAGAGAGGGGGACAGTGCACCGCGAGACGTCCTAGGTGAGGAAGGGCCGGGTCCAGAGCACGGAGAACAACCCCCGGTTGAGGAGCGTCCGCAGGAACGCTCGGTGTCGGGGTCCCTTCCTTCGCAGCCGCACGCCGCCGGCGGCACCTCTGCACCTGCGCCCTCTCGCCCGCAGACTCCGCCAAGGGCTGGAAGGGACGTAACCGGGAAGGAGCAGGACTGCCGGAGCATTGAGTACTATCAGCCGCCTAGAGCGGACCCACGAAACCTGGAATTCAATTGGTTGGTGAGCTGAAGGGCAGGGCGGAAGTTCAGATTAGGCATTTCCGGCCCAGGGGGCTTGGCTCCCCGCGGCACGGGATTTAGCGTTCGCGCTCCTTCCCTTCCCGTGGTCGAGCCGAGTGAGTCCCGAGCTAGGGCGCCTGGTGCGGAGGTGCCGGAGTGGCGCTGGGGCGGGCAGGGGCGGTGCCGTGGTTCTGAGAGGCCGCAGGTCGGGCCCCGCGGCCTCAGTGACCCGTAGAGGACGCGTCGAGGGCGGCTGCGGGGTGCTGAGCGCCCGCTTTGTGTTGGCCGAGGCGCGGGCAGGGCGAGGGTGGCGTGAGGCACGAGCGGAGGCAGCGGGGCGTGCAGGTCTACGGGCTGTCATCCACGCTCCCGAGCAACACTGAGGCAGGGAAGCCAGATGGGTAAAAAGATCTCGCAGAGGAAGGGAGTTTGGGCAATGTCAGGGGATGAGCTGAATTGTGCTTTTTTTTTTTCAGAAGAGAGAAAAGTGCATTTCATTTAGCAGGAATGTATTGATTGAAAGGGTAAAGCTGTGAGAGCTGTGGTGTGAAGGAGCTTCTGTTTTGGGGAAGGAAAGGAATAGGCAGGAGGTGATATCTCACAGATGCGCTGGAACAAGCTCAACACTCATTCATTTAGTAGGCACTCGGTAAATGCTGACTTACTGATTAGGACAATTGAGACTTAGTATTGTTTGCGGTTTGCTAATACTGTGCTGAGCATTTTATACATATTCTCATTTAACGCAATATAGTCACTTAAGGAGTAGTGTCAATCTCATTTTATGGTCTGTGGAAAAACTCAAGTCACTTACCTGAGACCTCTGCATGAGTAAGTGGTGGATCCAAGGTTAGAACTCAGTCCTATTCGAGTCCAGAGCCCATGCGCCTAATAGCAGCATTACATGCCTGCCACATGCGTTTAGGAGTGAAGGCAGAGTACACTAAGAGGTACCGCTTGTGATTCACAAAGGGCATAAGCAGCAGGGGCCAGTCAAAGGCAAGCCCTGTCTGAGGACTGGAAGATTCCCTCTGGCCAAGGTGTGCCTCAGCTGGAGACTGTGAAGACATCAATGAGCTTATGTTCAGCTGCCAGTCAGAAAGTCTGTCCAACGAAGGCTTAAATGATGATGAGACAGGGTTTGTTCCAGAGTTTGTTGTGAAATGCCAGGGCTCTAGAACGTGTCTCCAACGTTCTCTTGGCTTTCCTTTGTGGTCACTCCATTCCCCTTATTTCCTTTCAGATGCCTCTTGGCAAACTTCCCTTAACATCTTGGTGACGAGAACTGGGCCTTGCGGTCACCTAGAGCGGAAGGAAAAGGGCGCATTTCCTCCTGAACTAAACTAAGGAATTTGTTTATGTGTAGAGGGCTGTGGGGAGGTGACTTGTTGTGTATGCTGAGGCCAATTGGGAAGGCTTTTGTGGGAGTGACACATATCACTGCTAAAATAAAACCAGATTTGTGGTTTTAGATGTCATCTGTGTACTGACAGTTTTCAGTATATACCCAGCCAGCCCAACCTCACTCCTGAATTTTCAACTTGTATATCCAAATGCCCTAATTTTCCATTTATAAATCTAATAGGTATCTTAAACATTACTGTATACAAGACAACTTTTACATTTAATCTTTTTGCAGTCTTACTCTTTTGAGTATATGGAAATTTCATAATTTCAGTTGCTCAGGCCAAAAATCTTGGTGTCTCGTCCTACATGAAATTCATCTGCAAATCCTATTGATGGTACCTTTGAAATGTATCCATAATCTGGCTGCTTTTTGTCACTTCTGCCACCACCAGTCTGGTCCAGGACATTCATCTCTAGCTGGATTGTTGCTAGAACCTTCTGACTGGTTTCCTGTTTTTGTTCCTTACCCCCACCCCATAGTCTATTCAAAGCACCCTCAAAGCAGCAGCTGTAGAGACCACATCTGAGGTCATATGACTCTTCCCAGACATTCCAGGCACTTCCCATCCATTCAGAATAAAACCCATTGCCCTAAGGCTTACAAGGTACCCACCCCAGAGGGTACCCACCTCTTTTACCCTCCCCTAGTCTGTTTGAGCCCCTCTGGCTTCTTTGCCCGTTCTTGAACACAGGTGTGCTTGCATCTCAGAGCCTTTGCACTTGTGCCCTCCTCCTGCCTGGGATGTACCTCACTGATAACCACATGGTGCCTACCCTCACTCCATCCAGATCTCTGATTTGTTGTCACTTTATCGGAGGTGTCTTCCCTGGCCATCCTGTGTAAAATATCTCTTACCACCAGTCGCTGCCCTCGTGCTGCGTCATTAATTTTTTGTATCCTTTGTCATTACCTGACACCACCTGGGCGTTGTGTCTGTGTGTCATGCATATGTGTTAACTTCTCCATTTGCTCATTCGCTGCCTTAGCACCAGAGCCTGGTCCGCTGTTCTCAGCTGTTTGCCGTCTGCGCAGGACCTCATAGGTGGGCCTGGGAAACGCAGTCCATTGTCTCTCCTGGCCAAGTGCACTGCCACAGTCCTGGCTTTCACATGGTGGCCTCAGGATGCTGTCATCCCAGGGGCCTCAGGAAGGCCTCTCTTGAGACATGGAGAGGTATGGCAGAAAATTAGGGAGGGGATATGGTCTCAGAGACCACTGGCTACTTAGTTCATCCACCTTTCCTGGGGTGTTCAGGCAGCTCATAATTGGGTCTCTGCTACCACAAAATGTCTAGGCTTAGAAGTCTCAGAGCACCTATGGGGAGCAGAAGGTTGGTCAGGCTCCATCACCCTCCTCTCCCTACAGCTCTGCCCACACCTCAGGACAAGCTCAGAGACCTAGTGATGGCTGTCATGCAGCTCCTTCTTGGTGGGCTCCAAGTGAGTGGTCCTCATGGAGTCTCTTCCATGTGACCTCAGCCTTTTCTCAGCAGGAGTCTGTCTATAAGGAGCTGGTCCCAGAGGGTGGACAGCTCCCTGTCTCCACCGATGTCCTCAGTTCCTGAGTTCAAGTCCCTGAAATGTACTTCTCACTGTTTTACTGTCCCTGGACCAGGTACAGTAGAGGTCAGAGTTGGGGCACACCAAGATGAGCCAATATAGTGTCTGCCTCAAAGAGTTCACATTAGTGGGGAAGACAGGTACATGTTCCCAGAGGGATTTTACCAGTCCTGAGCCTAATATCTTCTCCCTCCAGGTCCTGACCTGAGGGCTGCATCAAGATCTTGTCATTCCACATCGTGGTTTCCTTTGAGGATGTGGCTGTACCCCTCTCCCAGGAGGAGTGGGACTGTCTGATCCCTGCTCAGAGGGGCCTCTACAAGGATGTGATGATGGGGACCTATGGGAACCTACTCTCATTAGGTAAGTTCCCTCCCTGGGGCTCAGCTCCTGGGCTTCCTGCTCCTTAACCTTGAGGATCAAGCTTGGGGCTCAGAGGCTCCTCACCCCCTGGGCCCAAAGACCAGACATTTTGACCATGGTACCATGCAGGTCTGGTTTGCACAGAGAGGGGGACAGGTGGTACTGGGACCCTCCTTGATTTTTTTTTTTAATAGGCAATGTCTCACTCTGTTGCCCATCCTGGAGTGCAGTGGTGAGACCATAGCTCACTGTAACCTTGACGTCTTTGGTTGAAGAGATCCTCCTACCTCAGCCTCCCAAGTACCTGAGACTACAGGCATGGGCCACCATGCCTGTCTTATTTTACTTTTTTAGAGACAGAGCCTCTGTGTTGCCCAGGTTGGTCTCAAACTCCTAGCCTCAAGGAATCCTCCCACCTTGGCCTCCCATGCCTTTCCAACCCTCCCTGATTTATAGAAGGAGAATATTATTCATTGCACACCTAGTACCTCCCTATCCCCTGAATTAATCTTTCTGCATCTTGATGATCGGTGGTAGGATACACAGTTTATAAACGAACCTGAGGCTAACAAATACTGTCACTTTTCTTAAGTTTACACAGCCTATTGGTGGCAGATCTGGGATATGGATCTGTTCGGTTTCAGAGCCCTGCTTTCCTTTCACTGGAATGTGCTCTTCGCTTTAGCCCTTTTTTTTTTTTTTTTTTGGTTTCTGCTAGCCTTTATTTGAGAAAATTTACACAAAAATCCCCAATGCAACATTTACAAGTGAATCTGTATAAATCCCATATGCCTCTTTCCCAAACTGAAAAATGGCTTTATGACAGGGGTCCATGACAATGGTATAAAAATACTTACTTAAACTGCATCATTCTCATTTATATTATACAGACCATTTTGGATAATATGCTCAAAAGTGGAGGAAAGCACATAACACCCCTGTTTTTAAAGATTATTTGCTCTTGTATCAGTCTTTTGTCAAAGGCAAATACTTTTACTTCTTGGATAAAACCAAGGTATAATATCAATTAACTTTTAAACCAAAAGCACAAAATGTCCTAGTTGATAGTTTTGGCATGAGTAAAGGGAAGGGACATGAGAGAACATCAGCTCCTACAAAGCTTAAGTTTAGGGTCACACTTGGGAACAAAAGCATCAACAAAACAAAATATTCTCTTCTCCTATCTTCTTGACATTTTGTCACATCAGAAGAACATAACTAACAGAGTAGCTTTCATTGCTCCTGAAAAGGGGAAAGGCACCAGTCAGAAATAGGAAAGAAAATCTTGTTAGGTTAATGGTACATGATAGAATTTCACATTAAAAAGTTTAATGATGGAGGATGGGCGTAGTGGCTTACACATGTAATCCCAGCACTTTGGGAGGCTGAGGTCAGTGGATCACTTGAGGTCAGGAGTTCAAGACCATCCCGGCCAACACGGTGAAACTCCATCTCTACCAAAAATACAAAAACCAGCCAGGTGTGGTGGCATGCACCTGCACTCCCAGCCACTCTGGAGGCCGAGGCGGAAGAACTACCCGAACCCAGGAGGTGAAGGTTGCAGCAAGCTGAGATAGCACCATTGCACTTCAGCCTGGGCATCGCAGCAAGACTCTGTCCCAAAAAAAAAAAAAAAAAAAAAAAAAAGTTTAAGAATGGAATCCAAGTAGACTTGGATGTACCCTCTGTAACTTAGTATATGTAATACTACATGTAGACTTTCTCAACATCTGCTGCCTATGGTAAGGATCTGCAGCCAGGTTCTCAGAAGCAGTACCTACCAATTCTTAACAGCAGGTGGCAATGTTGTACAAGTTAACGACAGAACTACTTTTATGCCACATGAGAGGAAGATACAAGGAGTCAAAAGGGGGAAAAAAACAGGTTTGGGTTCATAGTAGCAGGAACATGAACAGAATAGCCTGAGATTTTAACAACATAACTCATTCCCTCTTCCACCTTTGTACTTTATCCAGGTCAACACATCAGGGTTCTCTAACAATTCCAGTATTCTGCTTCTTTACTGTAAAATACATGTAATTCTTGCCACTGTGATTAAATAAGCCCTGTGATAGCAGGGTTAAAAAGAGATTACAGAAAGGATAAACTCTACCTACTTTCTTGAGAGATGTGGGAAAGATTTCAAGTGACAGCATTTTTCATAGCTGTTTATAAACATGGTCATTTATATCCACATTTTCTCTTATTTACATTAGTTTTGGCCCTTAGGCACCTCATACTCCTACAGTGATTATTGGCTTTGCTTTCATTGGCTTTGTATTTTTAAGTATTTACCCTCTTAATGGCCCTCCTAGATATCTATTTTATACATCATATTTCTTAATTATCTAGATGGAACACTGAAGGACAGGAATTAAGTAAGTGACTGGCCATGCAAGAAGAGTTGTAAATTTTACTTATTTTTCCTTGGTAGAAGTTATGTTAAAAATTCAAGCAACCACGTATCTAACAGAAGAGTTTTATCTAGGATGTATAAAAAAACTCTGAAAACTCAATAGTAAAAAGAACAAATGACCTAAATAGAAAATAGACAAAAGACATGAGCAGACATTTCACTGAAGAGGATGTGTAGATGGCAAATTAGCACACGAAAAGATACTCAACATCATTAGCCATTGGAAAATGCAAATTAAAACCACATGTGGTATCATTACACACATCTATATGAATGGTTAAGATAAAAAATAGTAGTAATACCAAACGCTGGTGAGGATGTGAAGAAACTGGATCAGTCATACATTGCTGTATGAATTGTATGAGTGGCTGTATGTAAAAGGTACAGCCACTCTGGAAAAAAGAGTAGGGTAGTTTCTTACAAAGATATACGTGTTTACCACACAACCCAGCAATTGCCCTTTTGGGCATTTATCCCAGAAAATGAAAATGTGTGTTCACATAAAAACCTGTACATGAATGTTCACAGCAGCTTTATTAGTAAGGGCAAAAAACTGAAAACAACTCTTTTGTCCTTTAGTAGGTGAATGGTTAAGCAAACTGTGGTACATCCATACCATGGGATACGACTCAACAATCAAAAGGAACTGCCCAGACTTCACCACGATGCAATATATGCATGTAAGAAATCTGCACTTATACCCCCTAAATATATAAAACATTTTTAAAAGAAAAAAAGGAAGAAGATACATGCAACAACTTGGATGGATTTCAAGGGAATTATGCTGAATGAAAAAAAGTCAACCTCATAAGATTACATTCTATATGATTCCATTCATATGACATTCTTGAAATGACAAAATTACAAAGATGGAAGACAGAACAGTGGTAGCCACAGGTTGGGGTGAGGGGATAAGAAAGGGATGTGGCTGTGGCTGTAAAAGCGCAGCACAAGGGATCCATGTGATAGAACTGTTCTGTCTCTTGTGATGGTGGTCACATGAATCTACACATGATAATACTGCATATAATTGTCTAAAATGACATTTTCTTCAAGAGTTATCTACAGTTTAAAGCTCACTTTTATGAAGTGTCACATCCATCACCATTTTAAGAGACATAAAATCATGAAAAGATATCACCAGAAGCTACGTAAACATTTCAGCTAAGGGTAAAGAGAAAGTTAAGAGTGTTTTCACAAGGAAATTGAAAGAAGGCAATCCGAATGAAGTCAACTTGGTCACACAAAAATCTTGGTAAAAGAACTAGAATGGAAGCCCAAACTGCTGAGCAAGTGGGAGAAGAAAAGAAAACTTGGTTCAAACAGATCACACAAGGGAACCCAGGACAAATGCTGACTTTGGCATTATCTAGGTAACCCTTTTTTTTGTCATAGGTGACTCTAATAATAGACCTGTTGTTGCAAAACCAGTCAAAATCCTACCAAATTAAAAAGAAGTCCCTCATTGACTTGTTGGGTGTAGGTGGTACCCCATGTCCTCGCACACCAAAAGAGATCATTTCTGGCAAGAAAGCTCCTACATGCCTTGATGGTGCTGCTGGTAGGATGCCTTAGGCCAGGCCCATCCCAGCGATGTTCTGCTGGCTGTGGTAAAAGGTGGGAGGAGAATATGCCTTATTCATTACTCAATCAACTTCTTAGCCTTGAAGAAGCATCACAGGTAGAAGACCTGCCAGGTGGCTAGTCCAGTGAGGCAGAACATTGAAAAGATGCTGAAGTGTAGGACCCAAGTGTTTGTTGACTCACTGGTATCACCATCTCCTCTTCTCTCTTCTTCATGTAGGCAAAATCATTAACAATAGATTCTGAAAGGTCTTCTAGGTGTCGCAGCTTCACCTCTAATGGTTTGAGCTTCTCAACTTTTGCAATCTCTCTGTAATTTTTCACCTCCACTCCATGCTTCATGTCTAGGATCACAAGTTGGTCAGGTATCTGCCCTGTTTCCTTGCTCTCAAAACACACTTCAAACATGTCATAATCTTCAGTGGTAAAGGCAAATTTCCCCTTGGTTGTATTCTTTTTGGAGTAGAAAATATGGCCAGCAGAATCTGTGATCTTGAGGTGGCTGCACAGGCCACCAGTGCCCCCAGACTGGTCAGAGATCTCGTATGTGCCAGTCACTAGTAGGTCCTTGTGGATCTCCTCATGGAAGCAGTTGTGAGAATTAATGGACAGATGGAAGGAGATGGCGAGGACCAAGCTGGGGCCCAGCAGGAACAAAAGCAGCAACGCCGATGGACAAGGGCCATGCCGGGCTGGTGGGCCAGACAAACCAGACATGGTGCTGGAGACTCATTCCCCCTTTAGCCCTTCTGCTGGGGATCAACACCCACTACTATGAGTCCTCTACCATGATGTGTTCAGGCCCCAACACTGTCCTATCTATGCTCCCCGTCCTCCTGAAAAGCTAGTTTTGACCTTTCCTCAGCTTAGGCAGAGGCCTGTGTCTTTCTCCACGGTTAGAGACCAGGTGGCAGGGAAGGACACAACCAGCACAAAGACTCAGACCACAGGTCCATCCTGCCCTCTACCTGGGATGACTTTTCAGGTCTTGCTTCCTTTCTCTGGAGCAGGACTTCAAGCTTCCAAACCTGATGTCATCTCCAGGCTGGAGCGGGGGGACGAACCATAGACCCCTCACATCCTGAGAACTCAGGGGAGCTGGAGCTGGAGGCACAAGAGAGAAGGTGAGTCTGCCCCCACTCTCTGCTTCTGTGGTAGGTGCTGCAGCTTCACTCACGAATCCCTTCTCTACAAGCCCCAGACAAATCTCTTGTTACCCTCAGGCCTTTGCTTTCCTCCTCCTTTTTCTATCTTGTCCTCTTTCCTTGCTGTTATTTGCCCCTGTTATCTGCCCATAAGTAGGTTTGTGTTTTATTTACCCTAGAAAAATGCTATTTCAGCCACAAAAAATAGTTCAAGTGTCCTTCCCAGGCAGCTGGCTCCCAGTCCCTTCACTTCTATGTCATCCACTCCTTAGGCTGTTTGGGAAAAATGCTAATTACATTTTTCCTCTGCTCTGACACCACAACAACAATCAACAAAGACTTCGTGACCAAATGTATGGAGGGTTTTTCCCATGTTCCAAGCAGCTCTAATTCAATTCAATTCTGGTGCTCTCTTGGAGATAGCCTCAGATCCCACAGGCTGAGGGCTCAGTCTCTGAGACTGTCCACTCAAGGCACTAGTTGTAAGTTCGGGGTTTCCAAACTTGAGACCAAAAGGATTCAAGTTGGGGTTCCCATGACCCTCACTTTGGGTTCTATTAATTTGCTGGAGCATCTCACAGAACTCAGGGAAACACTTAGATTTACAAGTTTAGGCTGGGCGCAGTGGCTCATGCCTGTAATCCCAGCAATTTGGGAGGCCGAGGTGGGCAGATCACTTGAGGTCAGGAGTTCGAGACCAACGTGGCCAATATAGTGAAACCCCGTCTCTACAAAAGATACAAAAATTAGCCAGGCATGGTGGTGTGCATCTGTAGTCTCAGTTACTTGGGAGGATGAGGCATGAGAATCACTTGAACCCAGGAGGCAGAGGTTGCAGTGAGCTGAGATCATGCCACTGCACTCCAGCCTGGGTGGCAGAGTGAGACCCTGTCTCAGAAAAGAAAAAGAAAGATTTACCAATTTATTATAAAGGATAAAGATGAAGAAATGTGTAAGCTGAGGTATGGGGGAAGGGGTGCAGAGTTTTCATGCCCTTCCTGGGTGCATCACCCTCTAGGATCCTGTCCACTTAGCTATCCAGCAGCTCTCTGAACCCTGCCCTCTTAGGTTTGTATAGAGGCTTTATTATGTAGGTATGATTGATTAAACCATTGGCCATTGGTGATAAACTTAACCTTTAGCTCCTTTCCCCTCTCTTGAGTTTGGGGCATTGGAGCTGAGAATCCCAACCCTGTAATCGTGCCTTGGCCTTTCCAGTGACCAGCTTCATCCTAAAGCTGTCAGTCAACATAAGTCTATGAAAAGGCAGCACTTTGGAGATTACAAGGATTTTAGGAGTTGTATGCCAGGTTATGGGGATGAAGACCAAATATGTATTTCACACTATCCCACAGGGTTTGCTGGCCAGCTCTGTTTTGGCTGCTGGGAAATACCAATTAGAGAGACGTTCTCTTCTAAGTCTCTCATTCCTGCTGTTACTCACTCAGAGCATCCCAGGCTGATTCTCGGTCTTAAGGAAACAGATGAGCTAGAAAGGGTTTCTTCCTGTGTAGTGGGGGACCTGGGCATGTAAACAGTAAGCAGAGCAGAGTCCTAGGGCTCCGTGCTACCACACAGCTAACATTGGTCATTTGCGCTTGATGCAGGCCTGGCACTGTGCTGTCACAATGAATTTATGGAATTCACCAATATCTCTGCACAATCAGTGTCCAGGAAACTGAGGCACAGAGAGGTTAAATTATTGGCCCCAGATCACACAGCCAGCCAGGGAGAGAGCAACGTTGGGTCCCTGGCAGATTGGTCTCAGCCCCATACTCTTATTTATTTTCTTTAAAGAACCAGCCTTATTGAGGTGTAATTAACATATAATATGTTAATAAGTATTTAAAGTATATGATTTTATATCTTTTGACATATGTATACACATGTGAAACCATTGCTACAATCTAGGGCAGACATATCCATCACCCCCAAAAGTTTTCTCCTCCTTCATCATCTTTCACTCCTTCCCACCTTTCTCACTCCTTCCCACTTCTATACTGAAGCAATTACTGATCTCCTTTCTGTCACTATAAATTATATATATATGTATATATATATATATATATATATATATATATATATTTTTTTTTTTTTTTTGAGACGGCGTCTCGCCCTGTCACCCAGGCTGGAGTGCGGTGGCACGATCTCGGCTCACTGCAAGCTCCGCCTCCCGGGTTAAGGCCATTCTCCTGCCTCAGTCTCCTGTGTAGCTGGGACTACAGGCACCCACGACCACGCCTGGCTTTTTTGTATTTTTAATAGAGACGGGGTTTCACCGTGTTAGCCAGGATGGTCTCTATCTCCTGACCTCGTGATCCGCCCGCCTCGACCTCCTGAAGTGCTGGGATTGCAGGCATGAAGCACCGCACCAGGCCTTTTATATTCTTTTGAATAAATCAAACTTTATGTAATTTTATTTTTCTTCTCCATTAGCTTTTTAGTTGTACATTCTTTTTTAAGTGATGACTCTAATGATTAAATATGTCTCTTCAACTTACTATGGTCTACCTTAATATTTTTACCACTTCTTGAAAAATGCAAGATCCTTACGTTTGCTTTTGTCCCTCTCCTGCCTTTCATTATTATAGTCACTTATTTTGTACTACCTACTTTGAAACCTCACCAGAGAGTTTATTCTGTTGCTATTTTTGACGGTATATATACATTACATTTAGAGTTACCCTTTCTAGTGTTTTTCATTCCTTTCTGCAGTTCTGTACTTTTGTCTAAGATCATTATTTTCAGTTTGAAAAATTCCCTTTAGTATTTCTTGTACTTAAGTTAGCATTATTCTGTGAGTTTTTGTTTGTCTGAAAATGTCTTTATTTTCCTTTCTTGATTTTTTCCTTTATTCTTTGGATATGATGTATTAATTGATTTTAGGATGCTAAACAAACCTTGCATTTCTGGGATAAATCCCACTCAGTAATGGTGTATAATTTTTATATATGTTTTCATTGAATGAATTGGGAAGTGTTCTCTTTTGTTTTTTTGGAAGAGTTTGTGAAGAATTGGTATTAAGCCTTTTTTCTATTCTCTAGTTCATTAGTTTCTGTTATATTCCTTATTTTCTACCTTCTGCTTGATTTGGGTTTAGTTTTTTTGTTTGTTTGTTTGTTTTCTCCAGTGTTTTAAGGTAGAAGATTAGGTTGTTGATTTGCTCCCTTTAAAAAAAAAAAAAAGTAGGCATTGAGGAAGGAGCCAAGATGGCCAAATACAAACAGCTCCAGTCTGCAGCTCCCATTGAGACCAACACAGAAGATGGGTGATTTCTGCATTTCCAACTGAGGTACCCAGTTCATCTCATTGGGACTGGTTAGGTAGTGGGTGCAACCCATGGAGAGGGAGCAGAAGCAGGGAGGAACATCGCTTCACCCAGGAAGTGCAAGGAGCCGGGGGACCTCCCTGCCCCAGCTAAGGGAAGCCATGAGGGACTGTGCTACCCAGCCTAGGTACTACACTTTTCCCATGGTTTTTACAATCTGCAGATCAGGAGATTCCCTCATGAGCCTACACCACCAGGGTCCTGGGTTTCAAGCACAAAACTGGGCGGCTGTTTAGGCAGGCATCGAGCTAGGTGCAGGAGTTTTTTTCATACCCTGGTGGCACCTGGAATCCCAGTGAGACAGAACTATTCACTCCCCTGGAAAGGGGGCTGAAGCCAGGGAGCCAAGTGGTCTCAATCAGCGAGTCCCACTCCCATGGATCCCAGCAAGCTAAGAACCACTGGCTTGAAATTCTCACTGCCAGCACAGTAGTCTGGAGTCAACCTGGGATGTTCGAGCTTGGAGGGGGAAGGAGCATCTTCTGACATTACTGAGGCTTTAGTAGGCGGTTTTCCCCTGACGGTGCTAAGGAGACCAGGAGGTTTGGACTGGGCGGAACACCACAGTGCGGCAAAGCAGCTATGGCCAAACTGCTTCTCTCGATTTCTCCTCACTGGGCAGGGCATCTCTAAAGGAAATGCAGCAGCCCCAGTCAGGAGCTTACAGATAAAACTCTCACCTCCCTGGGACAGAGCCCCTGGAGGGAGGGGCAGCTGTGGGCGCAGCTTCAGCAGACTTAATCTTTCCTGCCTGGCTGTGAAGAGAGGAGCTGATCCTGACAAAGGGGATTCTCCTAGCACAGCACACCAGTTCTGCTGAGGGACAGACTGCCTCCCCAGGTGGGTCCCTGAACCCCATGCCTCCTGACTGGGAGACACCTCTTAACGGCTCAAGAGACACCTCACACAGGAGAGCTCCAGATGGCATCAGGTCAGTGCCACTCTGGGATAAAGCTTCTAGAGGAAGGAGCAGGTGGCAATCTTTGCTGTTCTGCAGCCTCCACTGGTGATAACCAAGTCAACAGGGTCTGGAGTGGACCTCCATCAAACGGCAGCAGACTGGCAGAAGAGGCGTCTGACTGTTAGAAGAAAAACTAACAAACACAAAGCAACAATAACAACATCAACATAAAAGACCCCACACACACACACAAACTCCATCCAAAGGTCATCAGCCTCAAAGATCAAAGGTAAATAAATCCACGAAGATGAGGAAAAAACAGTGCAAAAACACTGAAAATTCCAAAAACCGGAATGTCTCTTCTCTTCCAAATGATCACAACTCTTCTCCAGCAAGGGCACCAAACTGGATGGAGAATGAGACTGATGAATTGACAGAAGTAGGCTTCAGAAGGTGGGTAATAACAAACTCCTCTGAGCTAAAAAAAAAACCATGTTGTAACCCAATGCAAGGAAGCTAAGAAACTTGGTAAAAGGTTACAGGAACTGCTAACTAGAATAACCAGTTTAGAGAGGAACATAAATGACCTGATGGAGCTGAAAAGCACAGCACAAGAACTTCCTGAAGCATATACAAGTATCAATAGCCGAACTGATCAAGTGGAAGAAGGATAGTAGAGATTGAAGATCACCTTGCTGAAATAAGGCATGAAAACAAGATTACAGAGAAAAGAATTAAAAGGAACAAACAAAGCCTCCAAGAAATATGGGTCTATGTGAAAAGACCAAACCTACGATTGATTGGTGTATCTGAAAGCAATGGGGAAAATGGAACCAAGTTGGAAAACACACTTCAGGATATTATCCAGGAGAGCTTCCCCAACCTAGCAAGATATGCCAACATTCAAATTCAGGAAATACACAGAACACCACTAAGATACTCCACAAGAAGATCAAACCCAAGATACATAATCATCAGACTCTCCAATATTGAAATGAAGGAAAAAATGCTAAGGGCAGCCAGAGAGAAAGATCAGGTCACCTACAAAGGTAAACCCATTAGACTAACAGGTGATCTCTCTGCAGAAACCCTATAAGCCAGACGAGAATGGGGGCCAATATTCAACATTCTTAAAAGAACTGGGCTGGGCGCAGTGGCTCACACCTGTAATCCCAGCACTTTGGGAGGCTGAGGTGAGCGGATTACCTGAGGTCAGGAGTTCGAGACCAGCCTGACCAGCATGGAGAAACCCTGTCTCTACTTAAAAATACAAAAATACAAAAATTAGCCACATGGTGGCACATGCCTGGGAGGCACAGGTTGCAGTGAGCTGAGATTGCACCATTGCACTCCAGGCTGGGCAATAAGAGCAAAATTCCATCTCAAAAAAAAAAAAAAAAAAAAAAGAAGAATTTTCAACCCAAAATTTCATATCCAGCCAAACTAAGTTTCACAAGCAAAAGAGAAATAAAACCCTTTCCAGACAAGCAAATGATGAGGGATTTTGTCACCAGCAGGCCTGCCTTACAAGAGCTCCTGAAGGAAGCACTAAATATGGAAAGGAAAAACTGGTACCAGCCGCTGCAAAAACACACCAAAATATAGAGACCAATGACACTGTGAAGAAACTGCATCAACTAATGTGCAAAATAACCAGCTAGCATCATGATGCCGGGATCAAATTCACACATAAAAATATTAATCTTAAACATAAATGGGCTAAATGCCCCAATTAAAAGATGCAGACTGGCCAATTGGATAAAGAGTCAAGACCCATCCATGTGCTGTATTCAGGAGATCCATCTCACATGCAAAGACACACATAGGCTCAAAATAAAGGAATGGAGGAATATTTACCAAGCAAATGGAAAGCAAAAACAAAAACAAAAACAAAAAAAGCAGGGGTTGCAGTACTATTCTGATAAAACAGACTTTAAGCCAATGAAGATCAAAAAAGACAAAGAAGGGCATTACATAATAGTAAAAGGATCAATGCAACAAGAGGAGCTAACTATCCTAAATATATATGCACCCAATACAAGAGCACCCAGATTCATAAAGCAAGTTCTTAGAGACCTACAAAGAGATTTAGACTTCCACACAATAATAGTGTGAGACTTTAACACCCCACAGTCAATATTAGATTAACAAGACAGAAAATTAGCATCCTTTATTTATTTATTTTTTTAATTTATTATTATTTTTTTGAGACAGAGTCTCACTCTGTCAACCTGGCTGGAGTGCAGTGGTGCAATCTCGGCTCACTGCAAGCTCTGCCTTCTGGGTTCATGCCATTCTCCTGCCTCAGCCTCCTGAGAAGCTGGGACTACAGGTGCATGCCACCATGCCCAGCTAATTTATTTGTATTTTTAGTAGAGAAGGGGTTTCACCGTGTTAGCCAGGATGGTGTTGATCTCCTGACCTCATGATCTGCCCACCTTGGCCTCCCAAAGTGCTAGGATTACAGGTGTGATCCACCACACCCAGCCAGCATCCTTTAAAATTAAAGATATTCAGGACTTGAATTCTTCTCATTCTTGTCAGTGCCACATGGCACTTATTCTAAAATCAACCACATAATTGGAAGTAAGACACTCCTCTGCAAATGCAAAAGAACAGAATTCATAACGGTCTCTCAGACCACAGTGCAATCAAATTAGAACTCAGGATTAAGAAACTCACTCAAAACCACACAACTACATGGAAATTGAACAGCCTACTCCTGAATGACTCTTGGGTAAATAATGAAATTAAGAATGAAATAAGTTCGTTGAAGCCAATGAGAATGAAGAGACAATGTACCAGACTTTCTGGGACACAGCTAAATCTGTGTTAAGAGGGAAATTTATAGCACTAAATGCCCACATCAGAAAGCTGGAAAGATCTGAAATCGGCACCCTAACATCACAATTAACTAGAGAAGCAAGGGCAAACAAATTCAAAAGCTAGCAGAAGACAAGAAATAACTAAGATCAGAGAAAAACCGAAGGAGATACAGAAAGGAAAAACCCTTCAAAAATCAATGAATCCAGGAGGTGGTTTTTTGAAAAAATTAACAAAATAGATAGACCGCTAGCTAGACTAATCAAGAAAAGAGAGAAGCATCAAATAGACACAATAAATAATGATAAAGGGGATATTACCACTGATCCCCCAGAAATACAAACTATGATTGGAGAATACTATAAACACCTCTACTCAAATTAGAAAATCTAGAAGAAATGGATAAATTTAGTTTAGTCTTCTAGAAGACTAAACCAGGAAGATGTCAAACCCCTGAATAGACCAATAACAAGTTCTGAAATTGAGGCAGTAATTCATAGCCTACCAACCAAAAAAAAGCCCAGGGCCAGATGGATTTACAGCCAAATTCTACCAGAGGTATAAAAAGGAGTTGGTACCATTCCTTCTGAAACTATTCCAAACAATAGAAAAAGAGGGACTCCTCCCTAACTCATTTTATGAGGCCAGCATCATCCTGATACAAAACCTGACAGAGACACATCAAAAAAAAAAGAAAATTTCAGGTCAATATCCCTGATGAACATCGATGCAAAAATGCTCAATAAAATACCGGCAAACTGAATCCAGCAGCATATCAAAAAGCTTATTCATCACGATCAAGTCATCATCCCTAGGATGCAAGGCTGGTTCATCATATGCAAATCAATAAATGTAATCCATCACATAAACAGAACCTATGACAAAAACCACATGATTATCTCAATAGATGCAGAAAAGGCCTTCGATAAAACTCAACCGCTTCATGTTAAAAACTCTCAATCAGCTAGGTATTGATGGAACATATAATAGCTATTTATGACAAACCCATAGCCAATATCTTACTGAATAGGCAGAAGCTGGGAACAATCCCTTTGAAAACTGGCACAAGGCAAGGATACCCTCTCTCACCACTCCTATTCAACATAGTATTGGAAGTTCTGGCCAGGGCAATCAGGCAAGAGAAAGAAATAAAGAGTATTCAAATAGGAAGAGAGGCAGTCAAATTGTGTCTATTTATAGATTACATGATTGCGTATTTAGAAAACCCCATTGTCAGCCAGGTGCAGTGGCTGACACTTGTAATCCCAGCACTTTGGGAGGCCTAGGCAGGCAGATCACGAGGTCAGGAGATTGAGACCATCCTGGCTAACACAGTGAAACCCCTTCTCTACTAAAAATACAAAAAAATTAGCCAGGCATGAGCCAAGATTGTGCCACTGGACTCCAGCCTGGGTGACACAGCAAGACTCCATCTCAAAAAAAAAAAAAAAAAGTCAGGAAACAACAGATGCTGGTGAGGCCATGGAGAAATAGGAATGCTTTTACACTGTTGGTGAGAGTGTGAACAAGTTCAATCATTGTGGAAGACAGTGTGGTGATTCCTCAAGGATCTAGAACCAGAAATACCAGTTGACCCAGCAATCCCATTACTGGGTATATAACCAAAGGACTGTAAAGCATTCTACTATAAAGATAAATGCACACATACGTTTCTTGCAGCATTATTTACAATAGCAAAGACTTGGAACCAACCAAAATGCCCATCACGGATAGACTGGATAAAAAAAAATGTGGCATATATACACCATGGAATACTACACAGCCATAAAAAAGAATGAGTTCATGTCCTTTACAGGGACATGGATAAAGCTGGAAGCCATCATCCTCAGCAAACTAACACAGGAACAGAAAACCAAAAACCTTATGTTCTCACTCATAAGTGGGAGTTGAACAGTGAGAACACATCAACACAGGGAGGGGAACATCACACACCGGGGCCTGTCAAGGGGAGAGGGACAAGGGGAGGGAAAGCATTAGAACAAATACCTAATGCATATGGGCCAAAAAACTAGATGACAGGTTGATAGGTAGATTACCATGGCACATGTATACCTATGCAACAAACCTGCAGGTTCTGCACATGTATCCCAGAACTTAAAGTAAAATTTCTAAAAAATTAAAAAAAATTTTTTTTTAACTTTAAATAATGTTGGTATTGACAGCTACAAATTTCCTTCTAAGCACAGATTTAGCTGCATCCCACAGGTTTTGATATGTTGTGTCTTCCTTTTCATTCATCTCAAAGTATTTTCTAATTTTACTTGGTATTTCTTGTTTGACCCATTGGTTCTTTAGTACTGTGTTGCTTAATTTTTACATTTTTGTGAATTTAGCAAATTATTTTCTGTTATTAGTTTCAGTTTCATTCCATTATGTTTAGAAAACATAGTGACAAGGAAACTTGTACAATTTCAGTCTTTTTAAACTGATCCAGGCTTGTTTTATGGCCTAGCCTATGATCTATCCTGGAAAATATTCCACGTGTGCTTGAGAAAAATGTGTATTCTGCTGTTGTTGGGTGGAGTATTCTCTAACAACTTAATGTTTGTTAAGTCTAGTTTGTATACAGTGTTCTTAATCTTCTACTCTTGTCACTCAGTATCCATGGGGGATTGGTTCCAGGAACCCCTTCAAATACCGAACTCCACAAGTCCCTTATATAAAATGGTGTAATATTTTCATATAACCTATGTACATCCCCCTCCTATATACTTTAATACAATGTAAATGCTATGTAAATAGTTGTTATACTGTACTGTCTAGGGAATAATGACAAATCTGTATATGTTCAGTACAGATGCCACCATGCTTTTTAATTTCCAATTTTTTTTTGTATCTGTGGTCACTTGAATCCATTGATGCAGCATCCCTAGTGTATTAGTCTGTTTTCACACTGCTATGAAGAACTACCTGAGACCTGGCAATTTATAAAGGAAAGAGGTTTAATTGACTCACAGTTCCACATAGCTGGGGAGGCCTCAGGAAACTTACAATCATGGAAGAAAGTGAAGGGGAAGCAAGGCACGTCTTACATAGCAGCAGCATTTGGAGGGGGAGGGTCGACTGCCAAGCACTTTTAAACCATCAGGTCTTGTGAGAACTCACTATTATGAGAACAGCATGGGCGAAACCACGCCCATGATCCAATCACCTCCCACCAGGTCCCTCCCTCAACATGTTGGGATTACAATTTGGGAAGATATTTGGGTGGGGACACAGAGCCAAACTATATCACCTAGATACAGAGGGCCAACTGTATTTCCTTGTTGATTTTCTGGTTAGATGTTCTATCCAAATTGAAAGTGGGGTTTGAAGTCTCTGACAACTGCTGTTGAACTATGTATTTCCCCCCAATTCTTTCAACCTTTCATTGCACATACTTTGAAGCTCTGTCGTTAGCTGTGTATATGTTTACAAGTGTTAAAACTTATGAGTTGACTTTTTATCATTATAAAATGTCTATCTTTATCTCTGATAGCATGTTACATTTTAAAGTCTATTTTGTCATTATTATAACCACTCCAGCTTTCTTATGGTTCCTATTTGCATAACACAGGGTATCTTATTTGATTTATGATTTTTCAACTTCACAATGGTGAAAATCATTCTGTTTTTCACTTTCAGTACAGTGGTCAATAAATTGCATGATATTCAACACTTTACTATAAAATAGGCTTTGTATTAGATTATTTTGCCCAATTGTAGGCTAATGTAAGTGTTCTGAGCATGTTTAAGGTAGGCTAGACTAAGCTATGTTTGATAGGTTAGATGTATTAAATGCATTTTTGACTTATTAGTCCATTCTCACACTACTATAAAGAAATACCTAATACTGGGTAATTTGTAAGGAAAAGAGGTTTAATTGGCTCACAGTTCTGCAGGCTGTATGGGAAGCATACCAGCTTCTGCTTCTAGGGAGGCTTCAGGAAACTTACAATCATAGCAGCAGGTGAAGGGGAAGCAGGCACATCTTACATGGCTGGAGCAGGAGGAAGAGATACAGGGAGGAGGTGCCACACCCTTTTAAACAACCAGATCTCACAAGAACTCTATCACAAGAACAGCACCAGGGGGATGGTGCTAAGCCATTCATGAGAAACCGCGCCCCCATGATCCAATCACTTCCTATCAGGCCCTACCTCCAGCATTGGGGATTGCATTTCAGCATGAGATTTGGGTGGGGACATAGATCCAAACCATATCAACTTCTATATTTTCAACATACAATGGGTTTTTCAGGACATAACCCCATTGTAAGTTGAGAAGCATCTGTGTATCTTTTTCCATTCTTTTACTTCCAATCTGTTTATATCTTTGAATCTAAAGTGTATTTCCAATAGACAGCATATAGTTGGATATTGTTTTTTAATCCACTGTGACTCTGCCTTTTTTTCCTTTTTTTCTTTCTGCCTTTTCTTTGAATTGTTTAGTCATATTTATTATTTTTTGTGTAGTTGTGTTTACATCTGCCATTGTGCTCTTTGTATTTCGTATATCTTGTGTCTTTTCTGTTCTACCATTCCTCCTTAATTTTTTTCTTTTGCATTGAGTAGATTTTATTTTATTTTTATTTTTAGAATCAGGTCTTGCCCTGTTTCCCAGGCTGGAGTGCAGTGGCCTGATCATGGCTCACTGTAGCCTTGAACTCCTGGGCTGAAGGGATCCTTCTTCCTCAGCCTCCAGTAGCTGGGACTACAGGTGTGTGCCACCATGCCTGGCTAAGTGTGTGTTTTTTTGTTTTGTTTTGCTTTTTTTTTTCAATTTTATTTTTAGAAACTGGGTCTTGCTTTTATGTGGCCTAGGCTGGTCTCAAACTCCTGGCCTCAAGTGATCTTCCTGCCTCAGCCTCCCAAGTGACTGGGATTATAGATGTGAACCACCATGCCCAGCTGCATTGAGTACAATTTTTCTATTATAACATTTTAATTTCTTAACTGATATTTTCACTTTTTGAAAGTTATTCTCTTAATTACTACTCTAGAGCTTACCACATACATTTTATCAGAATTTGCTTCTAACTTATACTAACAAAATTCAATGAGATATAGAATTGTTACTCATATATAGCTCTATTTAATCTTCTTCCTTTATATACTATTGTTTTACAATTATATGTTTGTTATAAACCCACCAATACATTTTTATAATTTTTACTTTATATAATTTTATGTCAATTGTGGAAACAGAAAAGAAATAAGAGCAAGTATATATTGGTAAAGTTTTTAATGTTTACTTTCTTATTTACCATTTATGGTTTTTTTCATATGTTCCTGTACATTCAGGTTACCATCTGCTGTCATTTCCTTTGTACAGTACAACTCTGTTCTCATCCACCTCCTTTGTGCTGTTGTCATATATAATACATTTTTACATCTTAAAGCCTAAACAATATAACTATATAAATTCGATTTATAAAATTGCTTTTTAAATTAATTAAGAGAGATGAAAAACATATATTTATACTTTCATATAATTAAAGAATTACCTTCATCTTTATTCTTTGTGTTTTGGGTGGGTTCTCATTTCTATCTGTGTTTACTTGCTTCCAACCTGAAGAATTTTCTTTGGTTTTTTTTTAAGGTGCATCTAGCAGCAATAAATTATGTTTATATTTATCTGGTAATGCTTTTATTTCATCTTCACTTTTGAAAGATAATTTGCTGGATAGAAACTTCTTTTTTCTTCTTCTTCTTTTTTAGAGACAGTCTCACTCTGTTGCCCAGGCTGGAGTACAGTGGCATGATCTCAGCTCACTGCAGCCTCCACCTCCTGGGTTCAAGTGATTCTCCTGCCTCAGCCTCCTGAGTAGCTGGGATTATAGGCATGCACCACCATACCCAGCTTTTTTTTTTAATAGAGGTGGGGTTTCACCATGTTTGCCAGGCTGGTCTCGAACTCCTGATCTCAGGTGATCCATCCACTTTGGCCTCCTGAATTGCTGGGATTATAGGTGTGAGCCAACATACTTGGCCAGGATAGAAAATTCTTGGTTGAGAGTCTTTTTCTTTCAGAACTTTGAATATGTTATCCACTGTCTTCTGACCTCCATTAGTTCTGATAAGAAGTCTGCTGTTTATCTTATTGGGGCACCCTTGTACATGATAAGTTGTTTTTCTCTTGCTTTCAAGATTTTCTCCTTGTCATTAACATTTAACGTTTTTACCATGATGTTTCTGAGTGTTGGTATCTTTGTGTTTATCCCATTTGGAGTTCTTTGGGCCTCTTGGATGTGCAGTTTAATGTTTTCCAGGAAATATCAGAAGTTTCCCACCATTATTAAAGTATTTCTTAAATTGTGGTAAAATTATATAACATGAGGATCAGTCTACATTCTTAAACACTTTTAAGTATACAATACAATAGCAAAATGCTGTAGAGCAGGTCTCTGGAACTTTCTCAAAACCTTGCATGACTGAAACCCTGTACCCACTGAATAGCAACTCCCCATTTCTCCCTCTCCCCAACCCCTGGCAACCAACCCCTGGCAACCACGATTGCACTTTTTGTTTCTATCAGTTTGACTATTTTAGATACTTCATTTAAGTGGAACTGTGCAGTATTCATCCTTCTATGATGTCTTATTTCACTTAGCATAATGTCCTCAGAGTTCATTTGTGTAGTTGCATAGGACAGGATTTTCTTCTACAATATTTTATGGCTGAATATTTCATCATATGGATATACCAGATTTTCTTTATACATCCATCTGTTGATGGACATCTAGGTTGTTTCCACCTCTTGGCTATTGTGAATAATGCTGCAGTGAACATGGGAGTGCAAACCTATCTTCAAGATTCTGATATTGGCTGGGTACGGTGGCTCACACCTGTAATCCCAACACTTTGGGAGGCCAAGGTGGGCAGATCATGAGGTCAAGAGATCAAGACCATCCTGGCCAACATGGTGAAATCCTGTCTCTACTAAAAATACAAAAATTAGCTGGGCATGGTGGCATGTGCCTGTAATCCCAGCTACTCAGGAGGCTGAGGCAGGAGGATCACTTGAACCCAGGAGGCAGAGGTTGTGGTGAGCCAAGATTGTGCCATTGCACTCCAGCCTGGGCAACAGGAGCAAAAAAACTCTGTCTCAAAAAAAAAAAAAAAGAAAGAAAGAAAGAAATTAAACACCGCCAACCAAGGATCACCAGATATCTGAGGGAAATGGCAATATGAACTTTAGTGTGAGATGTTGGTTCTTGTCTTATGGATGACTCTCTCTTATGGTTTCTCATTTTGTTCACATTTATTTTGTCTCCTCCCAGCAAAATAACACCTAATAGAATCATCTGTCAGACTTTAGTCCTGAGACTACCTTGAGGACTCAACTCCTCAGATACCTCAGAAATTTTTCTCCCTACATTCAGGATGTTTATCTTCTAGGACACTGTTTGTAGGTTTCTAGAGTAAATTATGAAGTTTGCTTTTTTCCTTTCATACTCTGAATGGCAAAATCAATCCCTCTGTAGTACCATGAGTAGTTCACAGAAATCTATTGCGATTACTTAGCTTTTTGTTTTATTTTATTTTATTTTATTATTTTATTTTATTTTATTTTATTTTTTGAGACAGAGTCTTGCTCTGTCACCCAGGCTGGACTGCAGTGGCACAATCTTGACTTACTGCAACCCCCACCTCCTGAGTTCAAGCTATTCTCCTGCCTCAGCCTCCCAAGTAGCTGGGATTAGAAGCACCCGCCACCATGCCCAGCTAAATTTTGTATTTTTAGTAGAGATGTGGTTTTGCCATGTTGGCCATGCTGGTCTAAAACTCCTGACCTCAGGTGATCCACCCGGTTTGGCCTCCCAAAGTGCTGGGATTACAAGCGTGATCCACCACACCCAGCCATACTTAACTCAATTTTAGGCCTCATCCAGTTAGTATTTTTAGCTCAGTCTCCCTGTTCAAGCAGTGCAGTCTCAAGGAGCATCCCATTATAACTAATGATAACCGCCATTTGCAAAAAGAAGATTCCATTGTCCTTTTGTGGTATCTCAACACAGGGCTGCCCTCTTACTGTTCTGACCTCAGTTATCCTTCCCACAGTCTTTGTATCTATGTGACTTAGTGCTTGTTTTTTGTTTGTTTATTTGTTTTGTTGGTTGGTTTTGGATTTTTCTTTTTAATAAGCTTCCTTTCATTGGGTCTCAGAATTCAGTTTTATAGTTTTCACAAATTTTTGGACACTTTTGTTCACTGGAAATGTGTGATTTGGGACTGTTGTTTATACTTGGCCTTTTTGCCTTGTGCTGCCCAAGCTATTTCCTGAGTAGGTTGCTGCTTTTTTCTGTTTTTCCTGATTTGCTTCTGTGAAACCAAGTTGTCTAGATCAAATAGTTTTTTTCATCATCTATTGCACTGATGTACACCTCATTTATTATGAGTCATTTATCATTTATTTTCAACAAATATTTGAGTATGCTATGTGTAAGCCATAAGAAGATACCTTGTTTACAAAGTATGCAGCAATGACATGAATAGTGGAGGCAGCCTCCAATTCCTCCCTCCTGGTAACTCTCCCCAAATCCTTTCTCAGATCTTGCCTTTCCTACTCCAGGAAAGGTCAGCCTGGTTGCAGATTTAAGCCTTTGACCTTGGGCATATTACCTTCCTTCTTCCTTCCCACACCAGTGTTCATTGCTTTACCAGCATGCTTCTCTTTTTCCTCTCCCCAATGGGGTCATATTTGTTGCTTTTTTTTTTATTTGCATTCTGAATATCAGTATTATCCTAGAAGATATTTGTTTGATACAAATATTTCTGTTTATTCTCTAATTCTTTCTTCCATAGTAAAATGCAAGCGATTCACTTTTTTTTTCTTTTTCATTCTTTCAGGCTGTGATTCTAGGATTGAAAAAGAGGAAATGATTCCAAAGCAGGACATTTCTGAAGAATTGGAATCCCAGAGAGCAAAATCAGAAGATCATGTAAGGAATATTTTTAAGGAAACTGAAGAGATGAGTAAAACTGAGGGAAAGTTAGAGAATTGCTGGAGAAAATATGCAGTAGAAGGAGTTAAGAACTCATTCTCCCAGAAGAGCAATTTCAGAGAAATTACCATGAGGTATGTGAAAACCCTCTCTAGAGAGAATGGCCAGAAGTTCAATGCTGTTGGAGAAAACTGCATTACAGACTCAAATCCTGCCAAACATCTTAGAGGGTCTAGAGAGGAGAGTCTCCATCCAAGTGTGTCAAGTGTAGAAAACTTGCAACAACATGAGGACCTCATTAACCTCCAGAGTTTCCAATTAGGAGAAAGAGCCTATCAGACAGATGTGTTAGTGAAAGTGCCCAGACAGAGCTCAGTTCTTAGTGAGAATCAGAGGATGAATAATCCAGAGAGATGGTTTGAGAGTACTGGGTGTGGAAAAACTTACAATCAGAACAGAGCTTTTAACCAGCACCAGAGATTTCATAGTGGAGAGAAGACCTATGAGCACAATGAATGTGGAAAAGCTTTCAGTTGGCCCTCTATCCTCAGTAAACATCAGAGAATCCACACTGGTAAGAAACTCTACACATGTGAGGATTGTGGCAAATCTTTCAGTGTTCACTCATACTTTATTCAGCATTGTAAAATTCACACTAGAGAAAAACCCTATGAGTGTATTAAATGTGGGAAAGCTTTTAGTACACATTCATCTTATGTTCAACATCTAAAAATTCATACAGGAGAGAAACATCATGAGTGTAATCAGTGTGGGAAAGCCTTTAGTCATAGCTCTAATCTAATTCATCATCAGAGAATTCATAGTGGAGAGAAACCTTACAAGTGCAAAGAATGTGGGAAAGCCTTCAACAGACAATCAAACCTTATTCAGCATCAGAGAATTCATTCTGGAGAGAAACCTTATGACTGTAAGGAGTGTGGCAAAGCCTTCAGTACACAATTATTTCTCATTCAGCATCAGAGAATTCATACAGGAGAAAAGCCCTATGAATGTAATGAATGTGCAAAATCCTTTAGCCTGAACCGAACTCTTACTGTCCATCAGAGAATTCACACTGGAGAGAAACCTTATAGGTGTAATGAATGTGGGAAATCCTTTAGTCAATGCTCACAAGTTATTCAACATAAGAGAATTCACACTGGAGAGAAACCTTATATCTGCAATGAGTGTGGAAAATCATTTGGTGCTCGTCTATCCCTTATCCAGCATCAGAGAATTCACACTGGAGAGAAACCTTATGGTTGTAGTGTGTGTGGGAAAACCTTTAGTCAAAAGGGACATCTTATTCAGCATCAGTGAATTCACACAGGAGAGAAACCCTATGAATGTAGTGAGTGTGGAAAAGCTTTCAGCCAGAGTTTTAATCTTATTCACCATCAAAGAACACACAATGGTGAGAAGTCCTATGAATGTAATGAATGTGATAAAGCCTTCAGTTTGCTTTCTTCCCTTGTTCAACATCAGAGAATACATAATGGAGACAAACCCTATGAGTGTCACAAATGTGGGAAGGCCTTTAGCCAGGGGTCACACCTTATTCAGCATCAGAGGAGTCACATTGGTGAGAAACCCTATGAGTGTAATGAGTGTGGGAAAACCTTTGGGCAGATATCCACCCTAATTAAGCATGAGAGAACACACAATGGAGAGAAGCCCTATGAGTGCAGTGACTGTGGGAAGGCCTTCAGCCAGAGTGCACACCTTATCCACCATCAAAGAATTCACACTGGAGAGAATCCCTATGAGTGCAGTGAATGTGGGAAGGCCTTCAATGTTTGTTCCTCTCTCATTCAGCATCACAGAATTCATACTGGTGAGAAACCTTATGAATGTAGTGACTGTGGCAAGGCGTTCAGTCAGCATTCACAATTTATCCAACATCAGAGAATTCACACTGGAGAGAAACCCTACATGTGCAATGAGTGTGAGAAATCCTTCAGTGCATGCTTATCCCTTATCCAACACAAGAGAATTCACACTGGAGAGAAACCCTATGTATGTGCCAAATGTGGAAAATCCTTCTGACAAAGCTCTCACCTTATTCAACATCAGAGAATTCACAGTGGGGAGCAACCTCATACGTGTAATCGATGTGAAAAAACCTTCAGTTAGAGAATAACTCTTAGTAGTCATGAGAAAATCCATACAATTCACATTAGAGAGCAAGTCTATGAATGTAGTAAGTGTGGGGAACTCTAGCGCACAGTCATCTTTCATTCAACATTGTACAGTTCACAGTGGAGAGTAACTGATTAGTCTATAAATTCTTCACAGTTATACATTATATGAGAGTCATACTCGTGAGAAATGAGTCACTTTATGGTTTTCCTTTTGGAGATTCAGCTCTTAAGGGATTTCACTCTCCCAGTGAGCTGCTAACTAAAGGCAGGCTGCTGAAGTATATAGCAGCAATCCCACAATAGCACACCTTGCTTCAGATTCAGAGGATGAGCCCCCTTCTTGAGCCCTGTAGATATGTGAAACTTAATTATTTAGATGCATTTCATGGCACCAGACCCTAAGGTACAGTTAGGTATTTCACTGGAGACCACTTACTTTGCTTTGCTTTGCTTTTTTTTTTTTTTTTTTTTGTATGATTTATTTCAACTTCAAAGAAAGTAGTTGAGATCCTTGCACTTCCAAGTGTGATGGAACCAGGCTAGGGTTTTCTTTGTTTGTTTGGGCCTCTTCAAAACGTTTTTATTCTGTTATAAGGAATATGATACCTTAAGCTTCAATTCACAGGGAAGAGAAACATGATTATAAGCAAAAGTTTGTCAAGGAATAAGGTGAGTCTTTGTGTAGATTAAAATAGTTGAGACCTTGCTAAAAAGTCAGATAACACTGTAATCCACCTCCAGGTTTCCAAGAGTTAAGACGCTGCCAGCAAGGAGCTTGCAGTCTTGTAGCTGGCCCAATATATCCAACTAATTCAAAATGGGAAATTGTACATTTTACTTAAACAGGATTTGGTAGATGGGTCTTCTAGATATGTTGTCATGAAGAAAAATCAGGAAAATGTCCAAGGGTGGGAGCCTGTGGCTTATGGCTTCACTTACCCATCACAGATAGCTATGTTACACTGCAAGAACAGAGTTCATGGCTTTTCCTGAGGTGGCTGGAAACCTTAATCTCCTGAAGTTAAGTCAAAACTTAAATGTCAATTCACCCAGCTCTCTTGCCTGCAGGCTGATCCAGGGACTTAGAGCTTGTTACCCAGTTACAACTTCTTCTAGAGAAGAACTTTTAAGAAGGAAGCAAAAAGAAATTCAGTTTCCCCCAAGGATCTCTTCTTTGAGGTTCCATCAAGAGATGACAAAAGGAGGCTGGGCGCGGTGTCTCACACCTGTAATCCCAGCACTTTGGGAGGCTGAAGTGGGCAGATCACGAGGTCAAGAGATCAAGACCATCCTGGCCAACATGGTGAAACCACATTTCTACAAAATGCAAAAATTAGCTGGGCATGGTGGTGCACGCCTGTAGTCCCAGCTACTTGGGAGGCTGAGGCAGGAGAATTGCTTGAACCCAGGAGGCGGAGGTAGCAGTGAGCCAAGATTGCACCACTGCATTCCAGCATGGCCACAAAGCAAGACTCCAAAAAATATATATATATATGACAAAAGGGTTAGGAAGCTTTTCCTCTGAGGCCCACGATTACACAACCAAATCAGAAAATAATATTTTTTTTGTTTTAAACCTGTTTACATAAGATGGAGGTGTTTACTTAACTAAGAACCTCGGTATTTACTCAAATCCGGTTTTGGGTTTTATGGCTAAAACATTTCTCCAGATTAACCTTATCAGTTTGGAATATGTTTTTATTTTCCATTAAATATTTCATCCAAATCATACTGAATTTTATTTATCATGGCTTTTAATGTTCTCTATTCAAGTCAAATTTCTGTTTCCTAATTACTTGGCTTGGTGATGGCATTAATATTGGTTGGGAGCTAGATGGTCTCTGCTCTATTTGATGATTGGCATAGAGCAATCATACACTTGGTACTTCCTAGCATTTTTTTTTGAGACAGTATCATGCTGTATCATGTTGCACAGGGTGGAGTGCAGTGGTGCAGTCATAGCTCACTGTAACCTTGAACTCCTGGGCTCAAGTGATTCCCCTGCCTCAACTTCATGAGTAGCAGGGACTACAGCTGTGTACCACCACACCGGCCTCTCCTGGCTTCTTAACCACTTACATTAAAATTGAGAGGAGAAAGGCATTTTCAGTTTCTTTAGTTAATAAAAAGAAGCCATTTCTGGAGGAGTTTTATGCCTGTACCAGCAGAGGTTCAGCCTTCCAGGAATCTCATCATGATCCATACTGCTGACACAGGCCTTTGTCACCTGAAGCATTCTTAAAATAAGGAGACTGACATTAAACAGGACAATTGTGAACTCCACTTTGTAAGCATCATACATATCTTACAACTCATTCTGAAGACTCCTTTATTCTTGCTCTTCCCAGAGAGCTACTGTGTTTAGTCATGCTCACTGCACTCACAAGAGAAAAAGAGTAAGTGGCATATTTGCAGGTGTTGATGGTTACAAGAGCATTTTTACTTTTTCCTCCATGTTTGTTCTGCAGCATTTCCATTGATGCATGCTATTGTAGACTTCTTAGGTTGACCTTGGCCTTGACCTCCACCACTAGCTCATGACCCAAAACTGAAGATGTGCATCAGAAAGGGACAGATTTGGTCTTTCTGCTGTAAAAGATATTCTGCCTTAGTGCCTGCTAATTTGTTGTGCATAGTCCTGTGCTGCCAATCTTCCCCACCAATTGTTAAGGTTAATGTGTGTTTTATATGTGTATTCACAAACATTAAAATGTAATCAGTGGATTCCATTATTGCCCATTTTCATGTAAGGTGGGAGGCACTTTGTATGGTTGGGAATCTGTAAGATCTTTAGGACTAAAACTCCTGCCTCTAATCCCAATTTATGAGGCCCTGACTCTCCAGGCAGCATGACTTAGTTGGATTTTTCTCTGCCACGAAACCTGCCAAGGCTTCTTCATCACCCAAAACCCTCCCATGACCAACCTGTATGAAAAGAGGGGCAAAGGTCATTATTAATCACAGACATGCAAAATGATATTACAAGATGTCATTTTACCCTCACTAGGTTGGCAAAAATTAAAGATCTGACAGAGAATGACACCAAATATATTTAGCAACAGTTACTCTCATACGCGGCTGATAGGAGTGGAAATTGGTATGACACAT
This sequence comes from Homo sapiens, assembly GCF_000001405.40. NCBI lineage: Eukaryota > Metazoa > Chordata > Mammalia > Primates > Hominidae > Homo > Homo sapiens. Next base: position 144,973,209 of record NC_000008.11, on the reverse strand, counting down.
TGGAAAATATTTTGGCATTATTAATACAGTTAAAAATTAGCCCTGGCCAGATGCACTGGCTCACACCTGTAATCCCAGCACTTTGGGAGGCCAAGGCAGGTGGATCACCTGAGGTCAGGAGTTTGAGGCCAGCCTGGCCAACACGGCAAAACCCTGTCTCTACTAAAATAATTAGCCAGGTGGTGTGGTGGGAGCCTGTAATCCCAGCTACTCAGGAGGCTGAGGCAGGAGAATCGCTTGAACCTGGGAGGCGGGGGTTATAGTGAGCTGAGATCGCGCCCCTGCACTCCAGCCTGGGCGACAAAGCGAGACTTCGTCTCAAAAAAAAAATTATGTAACCCACAACCCAGTTCCACTCCTGCACATACATGTTGGGGATGTACTTGCATGAGAACTAGAAGATGTGTCCCAAAATGTTTAATAGCAGCTGTTCCTGTAATAGCAACAAAAAAAAAAAAAGAAAAAAAAACAAGTCCAGTGTTCATGGAGAGGGGGAGAAAAGAAGTTTGATTGTAAGTATAATATAGCAGAAAACTACGTCAAAATCAATTACCTGCAGCTACACACATTATTCTTAAAGCTGTCACTTTGCAGGGGAGTGTGGATTGTTCCCAATATCGACCAACTTTGATTGCTTCCTGTAGTGAAACTCCAGGAGACCTGGGAAATGAGGGAAAAGTGTGACCTGAGAGAGAGAGTGCCAAATAATTGGAAGATTTTTCCAGCTTACTGTTGGCAGAAGTGTGGGTGATATGAAAGGGAGCAGATTCTAAGGCTGTTCAACTAGAGATAATGTAATGTTGGATTGGACTGGGTTTGTTATATGAGTGCACACATGGCAGGCTGTGGATTCACTGTGCTAGTTGCAGTAGCAGCTTGTTAATGGAAGTCTATATTTGGTCATGGCCTCCATTGAGTGAGGCTGACATGCAGAATTGCCTGATTTTACAACAGAGAATGGATTCAAAGGTTCAGGAGGTGCAAGAGGGCACTCCTTTCACCCAGGCTTAGAGAAGTGCATTGATGAGGGAATAGTAACGTCCAGGAAAGACTCTGTAGTGGCTGTTTTATATAGTCTATCAAAGGAAGTAGGAGAGACTGTTATGAAAATGGATTTAGGCTGGGCGCAGTGGCTCACATCTGTAATCCCAGCACTTTAGAGGCCAAGGCAGGTGGATCACTTGAAGTCAGGAGTTTGAAACCAGCCTGGACAACATGGTGAAATGCCGTCTGTACTAAAAATACAAAAATTAGCCAGGCAGGGTGGCAGGTGCATGTAAATCCCAGCTACTCGGGAGGCTGAGGCAGGAGAATCACTTGAACCTGGGAGATGGAGGCTGTAGTCAACCAAGATCACGCCACTGCACACCAGCCTGGGTGACAGAGCAAGACTCCCCTCAAAAAAAAAAAAAAAAGAGGAAGGGAGGGAGGGGGAGAGAGAGAGAAGGAAGAAAGAAAAAGGAAAGGGAAGGAAGGAAGAAAGGGGAAAGGAAAGAGAGGAAGGAAAGAAAAAGGAAAGAAAAGAGAAGGAAAGAAAGAAGAGAAAGAAAAGAGGATTTAACTCAGTGGGAATGGTCAGGACCAGATGGCAGCATGTAACCCTGTCATAGACAGGGAAGTTGTCACTGTAACAGGCCCAGGGCCACAACAGTAATGAGAATGGTTTGACCATAGAGGTTTTGACCCTGAGTAATGATGATGGTGACTATGGACTGAAATAGGTAGACCGCCCACTAAAGTCTTTATCAGTATCAGTGAGTCATTAAGCCTTTACAGACACCTGACTTGGATCAGCACAACAGTCATCGACCTTCACTTACTTCCTAGGCTTGAGCCAGTTCAGACCTAGAACCTCATGAAACAAGAGGAGGCTAGATTTCCCTTGAAAGGTCTTGCTACACTTTCCAAATTTTATGCTATAAATCTTATCCCCTTTGCCAAAGGGAATGTGGACATTTACCAGGGTAACTATATATCAGAGGACAAGAATACCCACTTTTTTAAGGATAAGGAAGTAACATCTTGGATGGAGAAAGAAAAATCTGTTAAGCTATTAATCAGACTGGAATAACAGATAAAACCAGCTGTAAAGTTAATAAGAAACTATTTCTGCCAGAGATATATGAGCTGTAGAATGTCATAAAATTTCACCTCTGCTTTCTTACTGAGAAACTTTGTTCTCTTATAGACTAACAGAAACATGTTAGAAGTTATATCAGTAAGAATGGAACACTCTACTCTTTCCTGGCAGATCTGTCACTTTGACATAGAGAAACAGCCTCAATTTACAACCCAATTCATGTAAGAAGTTTTTGGACACCGTATTCTACACCTATCTTAATTTTGTGGTTCCCAAGGAAATGAGCCTGGGTGTACTTCACAGTCCAGACCTGATGACCCATTACTCGCAACCCTGCTTTGCTGCATGCCCATTAAAACACTGCTTTATTTAAATTTCACTTAAACTCCACCCTTCCCCAAACTCTTACAATAACTTATGTTTTCTTTAGTTGGTGAGACACCCCACGGTTCTGGGGTGTTATCACCCTCATTGTAATGGGTCAATAACTCTGATTTTGTTGGAGTGCAGGTTTATTCCTTGTAGTCTGAGGCTGATTGGGCTAGGACAGGGATTACTGGACTTTGGCTCTGAATTGATGTTAAAACCTGGGAACCAATATATTACTGTTGTTCTCCAGGGTAGGAGCTTATGGAGCCAAGTAATGAAGTTGTAGAGTCCCTGAACCTACCCCATGGTTATTTGTCAGACCTAGAATACATAATATCCCTTTCTGTCCTCAAATTGGAGCTTGTGCAGGTGCCTGTAAGAGCAAGAAGCAAACTGTGCATCCAGGAAAGGACAGACAGCCAGGTATCCTGACAGGGACCCCACATCCCTGGTTCTGATGCTGCTTTCATCCCTCTTACCAACATGTCCTGTCAATTCATTCCCTAAGTTTCTCCTTCCCAGCTCAATCCCATGCTCCCTGGGGCCCTGAAATTCCATGGGAAATGAGGACGGGGTATCTGGAACAAGGGAAGAGATGAACCAGTTTTCTCAAGTGAGAGTTGGCCCATTATCACTGTGAGGCCTCTCAGGTGATTCTGTGAGCTGGAAACAAGAGCGTGGCATATAGTAGTTGAAAGTAGGAGCAAAGGGTCCTGGTTGGAGGCTGAGTTGAATCTTTCTTTAGGCACTGACTACTTCAAAATTAGATCCTTAGAGCTCCAGGAATTCATACTCAAGCTGTGAGGTCAGTGACCATAACAGCAAAGCTGAACATGTGCAGTGCTGTGTCCTTTACACAGAGCTGTTGCACCTCACCAGGTGACTGTCATAGCACCAGGTCCTGCTGGGAGGCCACATACTCTCTCACAGAAGGGGCCTGATATTTAGAGATGATGACAATGTGTCCAAAGTCAGGACCTCAACATTTTGCCTCCAAGGTCCAGTGATTCTCCCATGTCTCTATCCTAAGTGAGTAGGACACTGTCAACAAAGAGTGAAACTGTAAAATATTTGAAGAGATTTATTCTGGGCCAAATACAAGTGACCAATGGCCCATGATGCAGCCCCAGAAGATCTTGAGAACATGTGCCCAAGGTGGTCAGGCTACAGCTTGGTTTTATACATTTTAGGGAGACATAAGACATCAATCAATACATATAAGATGTACATTGGTTTGATCCAGAAGGGCGGGACAACTGGAAGCAGGGGCTTCCAATTTATAGGCAGATTCAAAGATTTTCTGATGGGCATTTGGTGCAGAGTTTATCTAAAGACCTAGAATCTGTAGAAGGGAGTGTATGGGTTAAAATAAAGGGTTGTTGAGACAAAGGTTCTTATTATGTAGATGAAGCCTCCAGGTAGCAGGCTTCAGAGAAAACAGATTTTAAATGTTTCTTATCTGACTTTAAAAGGTGCCAGACTCTTGGTTAATTCTCTCCTGGATCGAGGAAAAGACCTGAAAAGGAAAAGGGATTCTCTACAGAATGAAGATTTTCTCCACAACAGCTTTGCAGGGCATTTCAAAATATATCAAAGAAATACATTTTAGGGTAAAATGCTTTCATTCCATTCAAGGCCTGCACTCTGACATATGATGCTATATTTGAGCCAGGCTGGAATTTGGTGTATTATTGTTATAAAAAATCTTAAGATCTCTGTTTTAATGTTAATGCTGGTCAGTTGTACCTGAGCCCCAAAGGGAGGAGAGTATAATGAAGCATGCCTGGCCCCCTCTTCCTGTTATGGACTGAACTAGTTTTTCAGGTTAACTTTGGAATGACCTTGTCTGAGAGGAGGAGTTCATTGTTTGTGGTGGGCTTAGAATTTTAATTTTGACTTATAACCCCTACCCAGCTCCATCCATGGGTCATCCCCAGGAGAGCAGAGCAGAGTGAGAAGAAGGGTCCACATTTTCATTCCCTCGCACAAATTCTTTCTCAGAATCCCATTTCTGAGAAGACCTGGCTCTAGGAACCAAGGACCTCAATGGTTGTGCACCCAAGGCCTATGGGCAGGAGAGGTGACATTTACACCTGCGACAGCCCAGGCTTGAATAACAAAGCCTTACCCTCAAAAGCTCCCACTCTTCATTTCTTTCTGCCTTGGCATTCAGCTGAAAGAGAAAGACAATCAAGGAAAGAGATATATCAAGACCTATTTCTCACTGTCCTTATTCCACATGACCTAAAAGGAAGAAGCTGAGGCAAAATTAATGTAAGTAGACAGTTTATTTAGGCCAAACTTGAGGATTGTAACCCAGGATCAAAGACTTAATTTGTCCTGAAAATACACTCCTGTTAGCAGCAGTTATAGTAGATTTTTTTTTTTTTTTCATTTTTTAACAGAGACAGGGTCTTGCTCTGTTGTCCAGGCTGGAGTGCAGTGGTACAATCATAGCTCTGTATAACCTTGAATTCCTGGGCTCAAGCAATCCTCCCACCTTGGCCCCATCAGTAGCTAGGACTACAGACATACACTACCATGCGCAGCTCATTTTTTGAAAGTCTTTTGTAGAGACAGGGTCTTGCTGTGTTGCTTAGGCTGGTCTCAAACTCCCTGCCTCAAGTGATCCTCACACCTCAACCTCCCAAAGTACTGGGATTACAGGCATAAGCCACCACTTCCAGCCTATAAATTGATTTTTAAAGGGAAAAAAGAGGCTGTTCCTGAGTTATTTACAAAGAATTTACATTAAAATAAGCTATTGATTGGCTTTACATTGTTAAACTATGGGGTGTGGGTTTTAGTGCTCAGCATGGCATGTTTAGGTTAATTTGTAGCTACTTGTGGCAATAGCAAGCAGTTTCAGGAGATGAATGCATAGCTAAAAAGTCGGGGAGTAGGATGTCATTACTGTTTTCTTTTAATGCTGCTCTGGGCCTAATAATTAAAAACACTCACACTCCTCAGATAAAAGCTTTCTCTCATCTCCCCCTCTTGATAAAAAGTCTTTCTTCTAGAAAGCTTTGATGATCAAAATATGAGTGTCAAGGTGTCCCTTGTCACTGGGAATGTTCATTTCCAATAGTCCTGTCAAAGACATTGATTTGTAGCTGTTATTACTTGTGGAATCATCTCTAGCCTTTGGAGTACCACGGAATTAGTTTTCTCAGAACAAGTATAACAATGAGAGATATGTAGTAGAAATATAATGTACATAAGAATTTTAAAAAATTTATATGCCAGAAATTTTTTAAAACCCTATTCCATTGGGAGGTTAATTAAAAACATGAAAATTAAAACCCAGTCTATTTTTAGAGACTTGTAGCAAGGACATGATTTAGGATTTAGTCCAAGTTGTAGGAAAATAATAAGAGCTCAAAAACAGTGGTTGGGGATAGAATCCCATAACAGGTGTACTATAGTTTTTTTCTGAAATTTTTTTCTCTCAAGTCCCCATTTGTTTTTTTTTGTTTGTTTGTTTGTTTTTGAGACGGAGTCTCGCTCTGTAGCAGGACAAGCCACAGACAAAACCCCTCAGACACCGAGTTAAGGAAGGGCTTTATTTGGCCGGGAGCTTCGGCAAGACTCACATCTCCAAAAACTGACCTCCCCGAATGAACAATTCCTGTCCCTTTTAAGGGCTTACAACTCTAAGGGGGTCCACGTGAGAGGGTTGTGATTGATTGAGCAAGCAGTGGGTATGTGACTGGGTGCTGCATGCAGCAGTAATCAGAACGGAACAGAACAGGACAGGGATTTCACAACGCTTTTCCATACAATGTCTGAAATCTATAGATAACCAGTTAGGTCAGGGGTCGATCTTTAACCAGACCCAGGGCGCAGCGCCAGGCTGTCTGCCTGTGAATTTCATTTCTGCCTTTCAGTTTTTACTTCTTTCTTTGGAGGCAGAAATTGGACATAAGACAATATGAGGTGTGGTCTCCTCCCTTAGCTCTGTCACCCAGGCTGGAGTGCAGTGGCACAATCCCAGCTCACTGCAAGCTCCACCTCCTGGGTTCACGCCATTCTCCTTCCTCAGCCTCCACAGTAGCTGGGACTACAGGCACCTGCCACTACGCCCAGCTAATTTTTTGTATTTTTACCAGAGACAGGGTTTCACCGTGTTAGCCAGGATGGTTTTGATCTCCTGACCTTGTGATCTGCCATCTCGGCCTCCCAAAGTGCTGGGATTACAGGCATGAGCCACCATGCCCAGCCCAACTGGTTATGTTACTTTTTTTTTTTTTTTTGAGATGGAGTCTTGCTCTGTCGCCCAGGCTGGAGTGCAGTGGCACGATCTTGGCTCACTGCAAGCTCCACCTCCCGGATTCATGCCATTCTCTTGCCTCAGCCTCCTGAGTAGCTGGGACTATTACTTTAAGACAAAATTCACCATACAGACTTTTTTCTCATACAAAAAGCAGAGGGAGTGGATTGCTCCTGCAGGGCCCAGGAGACACCCAAAATACTGTGAGTGCCCAAGCTGTGAAAGTGGGAAATAGGGATCATTCAACCCCAAACACACATCCTCACTGAGGAACCTGAGGGTCTAGATCACAGGAGAAGGATCTGACCTTACCTGGAGCTGCATCAAATTCGAGAGCCAAGCAAAATACAGGGTTAGAGGAAGCAGTGGGAAAAGCCCTGGGAAGCCATTTCTACCTTGTCTCACAGGGGTCCTTGGGGAGGGCTGCCAGAGGAACTGGGAAAAGACCAAAGGGAGAAGGAAACCTCCAGCTGAACTTTGTAGCAATTCCAACCAAACATGAAGTCTCCTGGCCAGAACTCACATGAGTGTGTGAATTCAGTGTGCAGACTTGGCAGGTGGGGAGGCAAGAATGCCCTCCTTGCTTTCTTAGCTGGGAGGCTGGTAACCTGTAGAAAGTTCCAGCCCTGCTCACCCACTGCTTAGAAACAAACTCAGTGCCATTGGGGGGATGCACAGTGAAAATGAGACTGGCCTTTAGGGTTGCATGGGAGCTAGGTGAGGCCTGTAACTGCCAGCTTTCCTCCACTTCCCTGACAATCTGCATGACACAGCAGAGGCAGCCATAATCCTCCTGGGAACAACTCCATTGACCTGGGAACCATACTCCCAACCCCACAGCAGCAGCAGCAAGCCCTACCCAAGGAGAGTCTGAGCTCAGACATGCCTAACCCTCCCCACACATGATGGTCCTTCCCTACCCACCCTGGTAGCTGAGGACAAAAGTCATATTCTCTTGGGAGTTCTAGGGCCCTGCCCACTGCCTGATCCTTCCTATACTACCACAGCTGATGCTTTCTTGGAAGCACCACCTCCTGGCAGGAGGCCAACCAGCACAAAAATAGTGCATTAAACAACCACAACTATGGACCTTCACAAAGTCCATTTCACTCCCCTGCCACCTCCACTGGAGCAGGTGCTGGTATCCATGGCTGTGAGAACTGAAGATGATTCACATCACACGAGTCTGTGCAGACAACCCCTGATACCAGACCAGAGCCTGGTAGCCCTGCTGGGTGGTTAGGTCCAGGAGAAAAATAACAATCACTACAGCTCAGCTCCCAGGAAGTACTACATCAAAAGAATACCACATGGGACAAAAGAATCTGAACAGTAGCCTTGAGCAGCAGATCTTCCCCTGATATAGCCTACCCAAATGAGAAGGAACCAGAAAAACAATTCTGGTAACATGACAAAATGAGGTTATTTAACACCCCCCAAAATCACACTAGCTCCCCAGCAATGGATCCAAACCAAGAAGAAATCCCTGACTTACCTGATAAAGAATTCAGAAGGTCAATTATTAAGCTAATTAAGGAGGCACCAAAGAAAAGTGAAGTCCAATTTAAGGAAATCCAAAAAATGATACAAGAAATGAGGGGAATCTTTAGTGAAATAGATAGCATAAATAAAAAACAATCACAACTTCAGGAAATAAAGGACACACTTAGAGAAATGCAAAATTTTCTGGAAAATGTCAGCGATAGAATTGAACAAACAGAAGAAAGAACTTCAGAGCTCAAAGACAAAGTTTTTGAATTAACCCAAACCAACAAAGAAAAAAATTAATAAAATGAACATAGCCTCCAAGAAGTTTGGAATTATGTTAACCAAACCTAAGAATAATTGGCATTCCTGAGGAGGAAGAGAAATCTAAAAGTTTGGGAAATGTATCTGGGGGAATAATCAAGGAAAACTTCCCCAGCCTTGCTAGAGACCTAGACATCCAAATACAAGAAGCTGAAAAAAACACCTGGGAAATTCATCACAAAAAGATCATCACCTAGGCACATTGTCATCAGGTTATCTAAAGTCAAGATGAAGGAAAGAATCTTAAGAGCTGTGAGGCAAAAGCACCAGGTAATCTATAAAGATAAACCTATCAGGTTAACAACAGATTTCTCGGCAGAAACTCTACAAAATAGAAGGGATTAGGGCCCTATCTTCAGCCTCCTTAAACAAAACAATTATCAGCCAAGAATTTTATACCCAGTGAAACTAAGCTTCATAAATGAAGGAAAGACACAATCTTTTTCAGACAAATGCTGACATAATTCACCACTACCAAGCCAGCACTACAAAACTGCTAAAAGAGCTCTAAATCTTGAAACAAATCCTGGAAACACATCAAAACAGAACCTCCTTAAAGCATAAATCTCACAGGACCTATAAAACAAAAATACAATTTAAAAAAACCAAGGTGGCCGGGTGCAGTGGCTCATGCCTGTAATCCCAGCACTTTGGGAGGCCGAGGTGGATGGATCACAAGGTCAGGAGATCGAGACCATCCTGGCTAACACAGTGAAACCCTGTCTCTACTAAAAATACAAAAAACTTAGCCAGGCGTGGTGGTGGGCACCTGTAGTCCCAGCTACTCAGGAGGCTGAGGCAGGAGAATGGTGTGAACCCAGGAGGCAGAGCTTGCAGTGAGCCAAGATCATACCACTGCACTCCAGCCTGGGTGACAAAGTGAGACTCCGTCTCAAAAAAGAAAAAACAAACCAAAGTATACCTGCAACAAATACCATAATGAATGGAATAGTACCTCACATCTCAATACTAATATTGGATGTAAATGGCCTAAATATTCCACCTAAAAGATACAGAATTGCAGAATGGGTAAGAATTCACCAACCAAGTATCTGCTGCCTTCAAGAGACTCCTCACCTAACCCATAAGGACTCACATAAACTTAAGGTAAACACGTTAAGGACTCACATAAACTTAATGTCCATTTGCATGGAATATTTTAAGGAAAAAGACATTCCATGCAAATGGACACCAAAAGCAAACAGGAGTAGCTATTCTTATATCAGACAAAACAGATTTTAAAGCAACAGCAGTTAAAAAAGACAAAGAGAAACATATAATGATAAAGGGCCTTGTCCAACAGGAAAATATCACAATCCTAAATATATATGCACCTAAAACTTGAGCTCCCAAATTTATAAAACAATTACCACTAGACCTAAGTAATGAGATAGACAGTAACACAATAACAGTGGAGGACTTCAGTACTCCACCAACAGCACTAGATAGGTCATCAAGACAGAAAGTTAATAAAGAAACAATGGATTTACACTATACTCTGGAACAAACAGACTTAATAGATATTTACAGAACATTCTATCCAATAACTGCAGAATATACATTCTATTCATCAATGCATGGAACTTTCTCCAAGATAGAACATATATAATAGGCCACAAAAGAAGTCTCAATAAATTTAAGAAAATTGAAATTATATCAAGTACTCTCTTAGACCACAGTGGAATAAGCTGGAAATCAACTCCAAAGGAAACCTTCAAAACCATGCAAATACATGGAAATTAAATAACCTGCTCCTGAATTATCATTGGGTCAACAATGAAATCAAGATAGAAATTAAAAAATTATTCAAACTGAACAACAATAGTGACAAAACCTATCAAAACCTCTGGGATACAGCAAAGGTGGTGGTAAGAGGAAAGTTCATAGCCTTAAATATCTTCATCAAAAAGTCTGAAAGAACACAAATAGACCATCTAAGGTCACACTCAAGGAACTAGAGAAACAAGAACAAACCAAACCCAAATCCAGCAGAAGAAAGGAAATAACCAAGATCAGAGCAGAACTAAATGAAATTGAAACAACAAAAACAAAATACAAAAGATAAATGAAACAAAAAGCTGGCTCTTTGAAAAGATAAATAAAATTGATAGAACATTAGGAAGATTAACCAAGAAAACAAGAAAGAAGCTCCAGTAATCCCAGCACTTTGGGAGGCTGAGGTGGGTGAGTCACAAGGTCAAGAGATTGAGACCATCCTGGCCAACATGGTGAAACCTGGTCTCTACTAAAAATACAAAAAATTAGCCGGGTGTGGTGGCAGGTGCCTGTAATCCCAGCTACTTGGGAGGCTGAGGCAGGAGAATTGCTTGAACCCAGGAGGCAGAGGTTGCAGTAAGCCAAGATCACACCATTGCACTCCAGCCTGGGCAAAAAGAGCAAAACTCCATTTCAAAAGAAAAGAAAAGAAAGAAGCTCCAAATAAGCTGAATTGGAAAAGAAACAGGAGATATTACAACCAACACCACAGAAATACAAAAGATCATTCAAGGCTACTAGGAAAAGCTTTATATGCATAAACTAGAAAACCTAGAGGAGATGGATAAATTCCTGGAAAGATACAAATTTAGGAATCCTCCCTAAATCACTGTATGAAGCCAGTATCACCCTAATACAAAAACCAGGAAAGAACATAACAAACAAAAAAAAAAAACTACAGACCAATATCCCTGATGAACATAGATGCAAAAATCCTTAACAAAATGCAGCTAACTGAATCCAACACATATCAAAAAGATAATCCACCATGATCAAGTGGGTTTCATACCAGGGATGCAGGGATGGTTTAACATATGCAAGTCAATAAATGTGACACACCACATAAACAGAATTAAAAACAAAAATCACATGATCATCTCAACAGACACAGAAAAAGCATTTGGCAAAATCCTGTGGGTGAAAGATTACCTAGGTGCCGAGGCAAGAGACAGAAGGCACAAACTGTTTCAGTATAATAAAGAAAATAGTTAGAATAAGAATAGTCATAATACAAATTAGATATAGAGATGATCATGGACAATTATCAATCATTATTATAAACATTAATCATTAACTTTTAATATTACTCTTTGTTGCATTACTAATATAACCTAGGAATAACCACTGGGTATAGGGTCACGTGCTGAAGGGACATTGTGAGAAGTGACCTAGAAGGCAAGAGGTGAGCCCTCTGTCACGCCCACATAAGGGCTGCTTGAGGGCTCCTTGGTCAAGCGGTAACACCAGTGTCTGGGAAGACACCCATTACTTAGCAGATCGTGAAAGGGAATCTCCTTTCCTTGGAGGAGTCAGGGAACAGTCTGCTCTGCCAGCTTCTTGTGGAAGGCTGGATATTATCCAGGGCTGCCCACAGTCATCCGGAGGCCTAAACCGCCTCCCCCCACCCCCGTGGTGCTGTGCTTCAATGTTCACGCTCCTTGTCCACTTTCGTGTTCCTCCCATACTCCTGATTCCTCTTTGAAGTTTGTAGTAGATAGCGGTAGAAGAAATACTGAAAGTCTTAAAGTTTTTGATCTTTCTTATAAGTGCATAGAAGAAAATGTTGACGTATGCTGCCTTCTCTCTCTGCTTTGGCTACGTAAAAGGGAAGAGCCCCGTGTCCTATGATCATGTGACTTGCTTCACCTTGTCAATCACTTAGAATATTCACCCTCCTTATCCTGCGCCCCTTGTATTGTATGCAATAAATATCAGTGTGCCCAGCCATTCGGGGCCACTACCAGTCTCCACATCTTGAGGGTAGTGGTCCTGGGCTGAACTGCTTTCTCTTTATCTCTTTGTCTTGTGTCTTTATTTATTACAATCTCCCATCTCCACATATGGGGAGAACACCCACTAAGCCCCATAGGGCTGCACCCTACAAAATCCAGCATCCCTTTATGATTAAAACCTTCAGCAAAATTGGCATACAAGGGACATACCTCAATGTAATAAAAGCTATCTATGATAAACCCACAGCCAACATAATACTGAATGAGTAAAAGTTGAAAGCATTCCTTCTGAGAACTGGAACAAGACAAAGATGCCCACTCTCACCACTTCTATTCAACATAGTGCTGGAAGTCCTAGCCAGAATAATTAGAAAAGAGAAAAAACAAAGGGCATCCAAACCAGTAAAGAGGAAGTCAAGCTGTCACTGTTTGTTGATGATAGGATCATATACCTAGAAAACCCTAAAGACACCTCCAAAAAGCTCCTATAAATGATAAGTGAATTAGCAAATTTCAGGATACAAAGTTAATGTACACAAATCAGTAGCTCTGCTATACACCAACAGCAACCAAGCTGAGAATCAAATCAAGAGCTCAACCCCTTTTACAATAGCTGCAAAAAATGAAATACTTCAGAATATTCCTAACCAAGGAGGTGAAAGACCTCTACAAGGAAAACTACAAAACACTGCTAAAAGAAATCATAGATGACACAAACAAATGGAAACACATCCCATGCTCATGGATGGGTAGAATCAATATTGAGAAAATGACCATACTGCCAAAAGTGATCTATAAATTCAATGCAATTCCCATCAAAATACCACCATCATTCTTCACAGAACTAGAAAAAAAATCCTAAAATTCATATGGAACCAAAAATGAGCCTGCATAGCCAAAACAAGACTAAGCAAAAAGAACAAACCTGGAGGGATCACGGTACCTGATTTCAAACTGTCAGGCCTCTGAGCCCAAGCTAAGCCATCATATCCCCTGTGACCTGCACGTACACATCCAGATGGCCGGTTCCTGCCTTAACTGATGACATTCCACCACAAAAGAAGTGAAAATGGCCTGTTCCTGCCTTAACTGATGACATTGTCTTGTGAAATTCCTTCTCCTGGCTCATCCTGGCTCAAAAGCTCCCCCACTGAGTACCTTGTGACCCCCCACTCCTGCCCACCAGAGAACAACCCCCTTTGACTGTAATTTTCCTTTAACTACCCAAATATTATAAAACGGCCCCACCCCTATCTCCCTTCACTGACTCTTTTCGGACTCAGCCCACCTGCACCCAGGTGAAATAAACAGCCATGTTGCTCACACAAAGCCTGTTTGGTGGTCTCTTCACTTGGACGTGCATGAAATTTGATGCCGTGACTCAGATCGGGGGACCTCCCTTGGGAGATCAATCCCCTGTCCTCCTGTTCTTTGCTCCATGAGAAAGATCCACCTACGACCTCAGGTCCTCAGACCGACCAGCCCCAGAAACATCTCACCAATTTCAAATCTGGTAAGTAGCCTCTTTTTACTCTCTTCTCCCACCTCCCTCACTATCTCTCAACCTCTTTCTCCTTTCAATCTTGGCGCCACACTTCAATCTCTCCCTTCTCTTAATTTCAATTCCTTTCATCTTCTGGTAGAGACAAAGGAGACATGTTTTATCTGTGGACCCAAAACTCTGGCACCAGTCATGGACTGGGAAGGCAGCCTTCCCTTGGTGTTTAATCATTGCAGGAATTCCTCTCTGATTATTCACCCACATTTCAGAGGTGTCAGGCCACGCAGGGACGCCTGCCTTGGTCCTTCACCCTTAGTGGCAAGTCCTGCTTTTCTAGGGGAGGGGCAAGTACCCCAACCCCTTCTCTCCATGTCTCTACCCCTTCTCTGCCTTTCTGGGGGGCAATAAACCCCCAACTCCTTCTCCTTCACCCTTAGTGGCAAGTCCTGCTTTTCTGGGGGAGGGGCAAGTACCCCAACCTCACATCTCTGTGCCCTGATCCCTTATTTCCATGCCCCAACCTCTTATATCTCTGCACCCTGATCCCTTATTTCCATGCCCCAACCTCGTATCTCTGGACCCCAACCCCTTTCCTGCTTTTCTGGAGGGTAAGAACCCCCAAACCACTTCCCTCCGTGTCTCTACTCTCCCTTTTCTTTAAACTTGCCTCCTTCACTATAGGCAACCTTCCACCCTCCATTCCTCCATCTTCTCCCTTAGCCTATGTTCTTAAGAACATAAAACCTCTTCAACTCTTGCCTGACCTAAACCTAAATGTCTTATTTTCTTCTGCAATGCCGCTTGACCCCAGTACAAACTCGACAGTGGTTCCAAATAGCCAGAAAATGGCACCTTTCAATTGTTTCCATCCTGCAAGATCTAAATAATTCTTGTTGTAAAATGGGCAAACGGTCTGAGGTGCCTGATGTCCAGGCATTCTTTTACACATCAGTTCCTCCCTAGTCTTTGTGCCCAGTGCAACTCATCCCAAATCTTCCTTCTTTCCCTCCCACCTGTCCCCTCAGTCCCAACCCCAAGCGTCACTGAGTCTTTCTAATCTGCCTTTTCTACAGACCCATCTGACCTCTCCCCTCCTCCCCAGGCTGCTCCTCGCCAGGCCGAGCTAGGTCCCAATTATTCCTCAGCCTCCACTCCTCCACCCTATAATCTTTTTATCACCTACCCTCCTCACACCCAGTCCGGTTTACAGTTTCATTCTGTGAGTAGCCCTCCCCACCTGCCCAGCAATTTCCTCTTAAAAAGGTGGCTGAAGCTAAAGGCATAGTCAAGGTTAATGCTCCTTTTTCTTTATCAGACCTCTCCCAAATCAGTGAGCGTTTAGGCTCTTTCATCAAATATGAAAAACCCAGCCCAGTTCATGGCTCGTTCGGCAGCAAACCTGAGACGCTTTACAGCCCTAGACCCTAAAAAGTCAAAAGGCTGTCTTATTCTCAATACACATTTTATTACCCAATCCTCTCCTGACATTAAATAAAACTCCAAAAATTAAATTCCAGCCCTCAAACCCCACAACAGGACTTAATTAACCTCACCTTCAAGGTGTACAATAATAGAGTAGAGGCAGCCAAGTAGCAATGTATTTCTGAGTTGCAATTACTTGCCTCCAATGTGAGACAAATCCCAGCCACATCTCCAGCACACAAGAACTCCAAACGCCTGAACCACAGCTGCCAGGAGTTCCTCCAGGACCTCCTCCCCCAGGAGCTTGCTACAGGTGCCAGAAATCTGGCCACTGGGCCAATGAATGCCCACAGCCCAGGATTCCTCCTAAGCCATGTCCCATCTGTGCGGGACCCCACTGGAAATCAGACTGTTCAACTCACCTGGCAGCCACTCCCAGAGCCCCTGGAACTCTGGCCCAAGGCTCTCTGACTGACTCCTTCCCAGATCTCCTTGGCTTAGCTCCTGAAGACTGACACTGCCTGATTGCCTGGGAAGCCTACAGGACCATCACAGACACTCTAGGTAACTCTCACAGTGGAGGGTAAGTCCGTCCCCTTCTTAATCAATACAGAGGCTACCCAGTCCACATTACCTTCTTTTCAAGGGCCTGTTTCCCTTGCCTCCATAACTGCTGTGGGTATTGACGGCCAGGCTTCTAAATCTCTTAAAACTCCCCAACTCTGGTGCCAACTTAGACAATACTCTTTTAAGCAATCCTTTTTAGTTATCTCCACCTGCCCAGTTCCCTTATTAGGCCGAGACACTTTAACTAAATTATCTGCTTCCCTGACTGTTCCTGGACTACAGCTACATCTCATTGCCGCCCTTCTTCCCAATCCAAAGCCTCCTTTGTGTCCTCCTCTTGTATCCCCCCACCTTAACCCACAAGTATAAGATATCTCTACTCCCTCCTTGGTGACCAATCATGCACCTCTTACCATCTCATTAAAACCTAATCACCCTTACCCCACTCAATGCCAATATCCTATCCCACACCATGCTTTGAAAGGATTAAAGCCTGTTATCACTCGCCTGCTACAGCATGGCCTTTTAAAGCCTATAAACTCCTCTTACAATTCCATTTTGCCTGTCCTAAAACCAGACAAGCCTTATAAGTTAGTTCAGGATCTATGCCTTATCAACCAAATTGTTTTGTCTATCCACCTGCAGTGCCCAACCCATACACTCTTTTGTCCTCAATACCTTCCTCCACAACTCACTATTCCATTCTTGATCTTAAAGATGTTTTTTTCACTATTCCCCTGCACCCCTCATCCAAGCCTCTCTTTGCTTTCACCTGGACTGACCCTGACACCCATCATCGGTCCCAGCAGCTTACCTGGGCTGTGCTGCTGCAAGGTTTCAGGGACAGCCCTCATTACTTCAGCCAAGCTCTTTCTCACGATTTACTTTCTTTCCACCCCTCCACTTCTCACCTTATTCAATATATTGATGACCTTCTTCTTTGTAGCCCCTCCTGTGAATCTTCTCAACAAGACACACTTCTGCTCCTTCAGCATTTATTCTCCAATGGATATCAGGTATCCCCCTCCAAAGCTCAAATTTCTTCTCCATCCGTTACCTACCTTGGCATAATTCTTCATAAAAACACACGTGCTCTCCCTGCCGATCATGTCCCACTAATCTCTCAAACCCCTACCCCTTCTACAAAACAACAACTCTTTTCCTTCCTGGGCATGTTTAGATACTTTCACCTTTGGATACCTGGTTTTGCCATCCTAACAAGACCATTCTATAAACTCACAAAAGGAAACCTAGCTGACCCCATAGATCCTAAATCCTTTCCCCACTCCTCTTTCCATTCCTTGAAGACAGCTTTAGAGACTGCCCCCACTCTAGCTCTCCCTGACTCATCCCAACCCTTTTCATTACACACAGCCGAAGTGCAGGGCTGTGCAGTCAGAATTCTTACACAAGGACCAGGATCGCGTCCTGTAGCCTTTTTGTCCAAACAACTTGACCTTACTGTTTTAAGCTGGCCATTATGTCTCTGTGCAGTGGCTGCTGCCACCCGAATACTTTTAGAGGCCCTTAAAATCACAAACTATGCTCAACTCACTCTCTACATTTCTCATAACTTCCAAAATCTATTTTCTTCCTCATACCTGATGCATATACTTTCTGCTCCCTGGCTCCTTCAGCTGTACTCACTCTTTGTTAAGTCCCACAATTACCATTGTTTCTGGCCCGGACTTCAATCCGGCCTCCCACATTATTCCTGATACCACACCTGACCCCCACAACTGTATCTCTCTGATCCACTTGACATTCACCCCATTTCCCCATATTTCCTTCTTTCCTGTTCCTCACCCTGATCACACTTGATTTATTGATGGCAGTTCCACCAGGCCTAATCACCACACACCAGCAAAGGCAGGCTATGCTATAGTACAAGCCACTAGCCCACCTCTTAGAACCTCTCATTTCCTTTCCATCGTGGAAATCTATCCTCAAGGAAATAACTTCTCAGTGTTCCATCTGCTATTCTACTACTCCTCAGGGATTATTCAGGCCCCCTCCCTTCCCTACACATCAAGCTTGAGGATTTGCCCCCATCCAGGACTGGCAAATTAGCTTTACTCAACATGCCCTGAGTCAGATAACTAAAATACCTCTTAGTCTAGGTAGACAGTTTCACTGGATAGGTAGAGGCCTTTCCTACACAGTCTGAGCAGGCCACCGCAGTCATTTCTTCCCTTCTGTCAGACATAATTCCTCAGTTTAGCCTTCCCACCTCTATACAGTCTGATAACAGACAAGCCTTTATTACTCAAATCAGCCAAGCAGTTTTTCAGGCTCTTAGTATTCAGTGAAACCTTTATATCCCTTATGGTCCTCCATCTTCAAGAAAAGTAGAACTGACTAAAGGTCTTTTAAAAACACACCTCACCAAGCTCAGCCACCAACTTAAAAAGGACTGGACAACACTTTTACCACTTTCCCTTCTCAGAAGTCAGACCTGTCCTCAGAATGCTACAAGGTACAGCCCATTTGAGCTCCTGTAGAGATGCTCCTTTTTATTAGGCCCCGGTCTCATTCCAGACAGCAGACCAACTTAGACTGTGCCCCAAAAAAAACTTGTCATCCCTACTATCTTCTATCTAGTCATACTCCTATTCACCATTCTCAACTACTCATACATGCCCTCCTCTTGTTTACACAGCTGGTTTACACTGTTTCTGCAAGCCATCACAGCTGATATCTCCTGGCGCTATCCCCAAACTGCCACTCTAAACTCTTGAAGTAAATAAATAATCTTTGCTAGCAGGACTATGCTGAATCTCCTTAGGCACTCTCTAATTAGATGTCCTGGGTCCTCCCAATTCTTAGACCTTTTATACCTGTTTTTCTCCTTCTCTTATTCCATTTACTTTTTCAATTCATATAAAACCATATCCAGGCCATCACCAATAATTCTACATGATAAATGTTTCTTCTAATAACCCCACAATATCATCCCTTACCACAAAATCTTCCTTCAGCTTAATCTCTCCCATTCTAGGTTCCCACGCTGCCCCTAATCCCGCTCAAAGCAGCCCTGAAAAACATCACCCATTATCTCTCTATACCACCCCCAAAAATTTTCACCATCCCAACACTTTACCACTATTTCACTTTATTTTTCTTATTAATATAAGAAGACCAGAATGTCAGGCCTCTGAGCCCAAGCTAAGCTATCATATCCCCTGTGACCTGCACGTACACATCCAGATGGCTGGTTCCTGCCTTAACTGATGAGATTCCACCACAAAAGAAGTGAAAATGGCCTGTTCCTGCCTTAACTGATGACATTGTCTTGTGAAATTCCTTCTCCTGGCTCATCCTGGCTCAAAAGCTCCCCCACTGAGTACCTTGTGACCCCCACTCCTGCCCACCAGAGAACAACCCCCTTTGACTGTAATTTTCTTTTACCTACCCAAATCTTATAAAATGGCCCCACCCCTATCTCCCTTCACTGACTCTCATTTCAGACTCAGCCCACCTGCACCCAGGTGAAATAATGCTCACACAAAACCTGTTTGGTGGTCTCTTCACATGGATGCACATGAAACAAACTACACTATAAGGCCATAGTCACCAGAACAGCATGGTACTGCTATAAAAATAGGCACATAGACCAATGGAACAGAATAGAGAACCCAGAAATAAACTCAAATACTTACAGCCGACTAACCTTCAACAAAGCATACAAAAACATAAAGTGGGGAAAGAACACCCTATTCAACAAATAGCCCTGGGATAGTTGGCAAGCCACATGTAGGAGAATAATCCTGGATCCTCATCTTTCACGTTATAAAAATCAACTCAAGATGGATCAAGGACTTAAATCTATGACCTGAAAATATAAAAATTCTACAAGATAACATCAGAAAAACCCTTCTAGACATTGGCCTAGGCGAAGATTTCATGACCAAGAACCCAAAAGCAAATGCAACAAAAACAAAGATAAATAGGTGGGACTTAACTAAAGACCTTTTGCACAGCAAAAGGAAGAGTCAGCAAAGTAAACAGACAACCCACAGAGTGAGAGAAAATCTTCACAATCTATACATCCAACAAAGGACTAATATGCAGAATCTACAAGGAACTCAAACAAATTAGCACGAAAAAATAATCCCATCAAAAAGGGGGCTAACAGCCGGGCGTGGTGGCTCACTCCTGTAATCCCAGCACTTTGGGAGGCCGAGGCTGGTGGATCACCTGAAGTTGGGAGTTTGAGACCAGCCTGATCAACATGGAGAAACCCCATCTCTACTAAAAATACAAAATTAGCCCGGCATGGTGGCGCATGCCTGTAATCCCAACTACTCAGGAGGCTGAGGCAGGAGAATTGCTTGAACTCAGGAGGCAGAGGTTGCAGTGAGCCAAGATCACACCATTGCACTCCAACCTGGGCAACAAGAGTGAAACTCCATCTCAAAAAAAAAAAAAAAAAAAAGTGGGGGGTGCACTAAGGACATGAACAGACAATTCTCAAAACAAGATATACAAATGGCCAACAAACATGAAAAAATGCTCAACATCACTAATGATCAGGGAAATGCAAATCAAAACCACAAAACAATACCACCTTACTCCCACAAGAATGGCCATAATCAAAAATCAAAAAATAATAGATGTTGGCGTGGATGTGGTGAAAAGGGAATACTTCCACACTGCTTGTGGGAATGTAAACTAGTACAACCACTATGGAAAACAGTGTGGAGAATCCTTAAAGAACTAAAAGTAGAACTACCAAGAAATACCATTTCGTCCAGCAATCCCACTACTGGGTATCTACCCAGAGGAAAAGAAGTCATTATACGAAAAAGATACTTGTATATGCACGTTTATGGCAGCACAATTCACAACTGCAAAAATGTGGAAGCAGCCCAAATGCCCATCAATCAACGAGTGGATAAACAAACTGTAGCATATATATATTTATATATATATGTGTGTGTGTATATATGTGTGTATATATGTATATATCTATACATATATAGAGAGTAGTATTCCATCATACATATATATATGATGGAATACTACTCAGCCATAAAAAGGAGTGAATTAATGGCATTCACAGCAACCTGGATGGGATTGGAGACTATTATTCTCAGTGAAGTAACTCAGGAATGGAAAACCAAACATCGTATGTCCTCACTCGTGAGAGGTAGCTAAGCTATGAGGATGCAAATGCATAAGAAGGATACAATGGACTTTGGGGACTGGGACTCAGGGGGAAAGTGCAGGAAGGGCGTGAAGGATAAAAGACTACAAATTGGGTTCAAGGCATACCGCCCAGGTGACGGGTGCACCAAAATCTCACAAATCACCACTAAAGAACTTACTCATGTAACCAAACACCACCACCTATGGAAATAAAAATTTAAAAACCTATGGAAATAAAAAAATTAAAAATAAATAAAAAAATAAACATAAGTTCCAATTTCAGGCCATCTCTTTGTGAATGCATATGACTGTACACTTTCAGAAAAAGGTATGTCACATCTTGAATGCTTTGCTGCTTAGAAATTTCTTCTGCCAGATGCCCTAAATCATCTCTCTCAAGCTCAAAGTTCCACAGATCTCTAGGGTAGGGCCAAAATGTCACCAATCTCTTTGCTAAAGCATAGCAAGAGTGACCTTTACTCCAGCTTCCAATAAGTTCCTCATCTCCAACTGAGAGCACCTCAGCCTGAACTAAAAAAAAAAGGGGGGGGGGTTATCTAGACAGTGTTTCTTAAATTCCAATAGAGTTTGTCATGCATTTTTTATTATGTATTCCTGATTTTGATAGTTTAATCTGCCTGCAAAATGAACGTCAAAATATTTGTGAGGTTTTTTTTGGTTGTTGTTGTTTGTTTCTTTTTTTTGAGACAGGGTCTCACTCTCTCATCAGTGCAACATGTGATCCCGGCTCACTGCAGCCGCACATTCCCCGGCTCAAGCAATCCGCCCACCTCAGCCTCCTGAGTAGCTGGGACTACAGGCGCACACCATCACACCTGGCTAACTTTTGTATTTTTTGTAGAGATGGAGTCTCCCTATATTGCCCAGGCTGGTCTCAAACTCCTAGCCTCAAGCCATCCGCCCGCCTCGGCCTCCCAAGTGCTGGAATTACAGGCGTGGGCCACCGCACCCAGCCTTATTTGTATTCTTTATGTCCAAGTGTACAATTCATTTCCGTATTAGAAACGATCCATGCACAATCTCACGAAAACATGTTATCTACTGAAGGAATCTGAATTCTTCCATTTATCTATCTAATCACTTACTGATTGAATGATTCAGTTCTTCCAAAAAACGTATCCTTAGGTTTTTATCAAACTACCGTCTGTTCCGATTCTGGGGGCCTGTATATTAAAATCTCCCACTACACGAGTATATCTCATTATCTCTGCATTTCTATTAGTGTCCCCTTTTCTTCAGTTGCCGCCTTGTTCAGTGCACGGGTCAACTCTGAAAAAAAGGGGAACAGAAGGGTCTCTGGCCTCAGGGCTAGTGGGACCAGGTCTGGGGCTGAACCACAGAGTCGCCCCGGCCTCCCGCCATCTAGAGAGGCTACGCTGCCCCAGATAGAACGAGCGGCGGGCCGGAATTCGGGGCGGGACTTCCGGGGGTCAGCCGGCGTTGGCTGAGACGTCTTCGTGCCACGGTGCTGCCTCCTTTCCAAGCGCGACCCGTTGAGGTTAGTTCCGCGAAGCTCCACGCCTGGGACCCTGCGTCTGGTTGTCCCTGATGCCCCCGTGGTTGGGGGGCCCAGGGGCCTCTCAGGGCTCAGACGGGGCGGGCAGCGAGCTGGGGACCCCGGGCGGGGGCGGAGCCGCGCGGGGGGTTGTGGGAGCGCGGGGGGGGCGGGGCGGGGGCAGCTCGGCCTGGGCTGGAGGTCAGAGCCTCTGGGGGCTGCCTCCGGTAGGGGGTCTCCGGGGAGACCCCGGGGTAAGGTCGCCGCGAGGGGCCGAGCCAGGACTCCGCCCACAGGCTGGTGGCGTTCCCGCCTGTCGGTGCCACCATTCGAGCTCGGGCGGAGCGACGGGGTGAAGGGGTGGCCTGCCCTTCCACACCTGTGGGATATCTCATCAGGTGGGACGAGAGACTGAGAAAAGAAATAAGACAAAGTGTAGAGAAACAACAGTGGGCCCAGGAGACCGGCACTCGGCACACTAAGGACCTGCACCGGCACCGGTCTCTGAGTTCTCTTAGTTTTTATTGATTATTATTTTCATTATCTCAGCAAGAGGAATGCAGTAGGAGAGCAGGGTGATAATAGGGAGAAGGTCAGCAAAAAAAAGCATGTGAGCAAAAGAATCTGTGCCATAATTAAGTTTAAGGGGAGGTACTATGCCTGGATGGGCACGTAGGCCAGATTTGTTTCTCTCCACCCAAACATCTCAGTGGAGTAAAGAATAACAAGGCAGCATTGCTGCCAACATGTCTCACCTCTCACCATAGGGCAGTTTTTCTCCTGTCTCAGAATTGAACAAATGTACAATCGGGTTTTATACCGAGACATTCAGTTCCCAGGGGCAGGCAGGAGAGAGTGGCCTTCCTCTATCTCAACTGCAAGAGGCTTTTCTCTTTTACCAATCCACCTCAACACAGACCCTTTACGGGCGTTGGGCTGGGGGACGGTCAGGTCTTTCTCATCCCATGAGGCCATATTTCAGACTATCACATGGGGACAAATCTTGGACAATACCCGGCTTTCCAAGGCAGAAGTCCCTGTGGCTTATCGCAGAGCATTGTGCCCCTGGTTTATTGAGACTGGAGAATGGCGATGACTTTTACCAAGCATCTGCTTGTAAACATTTTGTTAACAAGGCACATCCTGCACAGCCCTAGATCCCTTAAACCTTGATTCCATACAACACATGTTTTTGTGAGCTCAAAGTTGTGGCAAAGTGGCTGGGGCAAAGTTACAAATTAACAGCATCTCAGCAAAGCAATTGTTCAAGGTACAGGTCAAAATGGAATTTCTTATGTCTTCCTTTTCTACACAGACACAGTAACAGTCTGATCTTTCTTTCTTTTCCCTACATGGGGCAGCAGTGCGATGGGGTGGTTCCCAGCGCATGGGAGACAAGGGTGGGTTCGTGGTTCCTGGTGTTCCATGAGAAGTCAGAGATGCACTGAGCAGAGCTGGGGGAGAAAGGGGGTTTCGCTCAGCCTCAGATGTCCTGCCTGGGAGGCCCAGTCAGTAGTGGAGTCGCTCTGCGTGTGGAGGAGGTACTCTGGGAAGGGAGGAGAGTTTGGGCCAGTTCTTCCCCAAGGGGGAAGGTGCTGAGGGATCGGCCAGGGCCCATCCTGTGGCTGCTTGCTATGGGAGGGTGGTGGCTGGCTCTTCCAGTTGTGTGACTCCTAAAGAGCAGGCTTAGCCTCTAGCCAGGAGACTCCACTTCCAAGCTTGTTCAGGCTGTTGGCCGAATCTGTTTTTCTTGAGGTTGGTCCTCAGAAGTGCTGGCTGCCAGCCTGAGTGATCCTTAGCTCTCCGAGGTCCTTCCATGTGGCCCTCAGATCTTTCTCAGGCTTTTAAGGGCTCATTTGATTAGATTGGGTCCACCAGGGTAATTCACGTCCATAACCTTAATTCCCTTTGCAAAGTCCTTTTTGGTATGTAGTGTAACATAAGCACAAGTTCCAGGGATTAGGATATGGACCTGGGTGAGAGGGGGCATTTATTCTGTGTCCTGGTAAGCAAGATCCCACACATAATGAAGTGAGAAAAATAAGGTGTGAAGCCATAGCATAGTTGGGTGTAATTTATCATTAAAAGGCAAACATATGTTTATATATTTGCTGTGTAAACCTAGATTAATCTGGAACGGTACACTAGAAACAAGGGAAACTGTGTGGATGTTTGGGGAATTTTTCACCATAAATCCTTTTTACCTTTTAAATTTTGAGGTGACTATGCCCCTATTCAGAAACAATGAGAATTTAAAGTATTTTTAAATAAAATGAACTAAATAAATATTGCAGATTATTACATCACCACTTGGATGGGGAGAGGTTTCCCTCGAGGAAACTGGGCATCTGCACTGTAAGGGCAGGCAGATGCAGTCACAGAGGGCCTTGTCACCCCCATCGCCCATGTCTCCTCCATTTCTGCTGCCACGTGGTAGGCACCTTAGTGCTGTACCTGCTTTGAATCTCATCTCCCACCATTCCTCTGAGCACCCTGCCAAGTTAATCTTGAGATATTAGTTTTGTCTCTCCTGACACAGAAATGTGGCCAGTGTTTCACCTTCATCTGGCAGCCAAGGCCCCTTATCATTGGTCCATAGTAACCATCCCTGTGAGCTCTGTTCATATCTCCTTGCCTTCTCCTTGATGGTGATCTGAGTCCAGGAGCACCACCCAGCCCTTCTTTCTTCCCCACATGGCCTATGGGTGACACGTACCATCACGTTGACTCCCTGCACCATCCTTCTGCCACCTTTCTTCACATCCCCTTTGCAGATCCCCTTGACCACACCCTCATTCTCAGCTGGTGCTCATGAAGGACAGAAGAGTCAATGTCAGTACAATGTGAGTGAAGGGCTGAGGTATGTCAGTGCTCCCAGTGGGCACCCGGGCAGGGTATGGTGCATTTACACAGTGAGGGGTGGGGGAATCAGTAACATGTGAGGAGCCCGTCATGCCGCCACGTGGGAGTGTCCTCTCTCCTGCTCACAGGGAGTAGTTAGGACTGGAGATGAGCCCAAGTTTGTGAATCTTAACAAGGGTGTTGATGCCTCAAGACTGGACATAATCACCAAGGAAGTTGGTGGCAGTGCAGAAGTGCACACTGGGGTGCCAACATGAAATGGGGAATGAGAGGCTAGGAGGGAGTAGCTGGTGCAAGTAAAGATGGGAACACCTGCTGTGGGTGCTGCCAGGATGGTGCAACTCAGATAGAACTGACCACTAGGATTTGGTAGGCGTTGACACATAATGATGACATGTGGGGCTGCAGCACAGGCTGCCCCTGGCTGTTCACCCTTTGGAGCTGCTGTTCTCCCACTCTAGGTGGGTCTGGCCTGCCCAGCTTCAGAGCATTGTGAATGTCAGCAACAAGGAGTGAGAAGAGTGGTCACAGCAGGATACAGGCCCACAGCAGGATACAGGCCCACAGCAGGATACAGGCCCCACAACAGGACACAGGCCCACAGCAGGATACAGGCCCGCAGCAGGGTACAGGCCCGCAGCAGGGTACAGGCCCCACAGCAGGGTACAGGCCCCACAGCAGGACACAGGCCCCACAGCAGGACACAAGCCCAACAGCAGGACACAAGCCCAACAGCAGGACACAGGCCCACAGCAGGACACAGGCCCACAGCAGGGTACAGGCCCACAGAAGGGTATGGCCCACAGCAGGGTACAGGCCCCACAGCAGGACACAGGCCCACAGCAGGGTATGGCCCACAGTAGGGTACAGGCCCACAGCAGGACACAGGCCCAACAGCAGGACACAGGCCCAACAGCAGGATACAGGCCCACAGCAGGACACAGCCCCACAGCAGGACACAGGCCCACAGCAGGACACAGGCCCACAGCAGGGTACAGGCCCACAGAAGGGTATGGCCCACAGCAGGGTACAGGCCCCACAGCAGGACACAGGCCCCACAGCAGGACACAAGCCCAACAGCAGGACACAGGCCCAACAGCAGGATACAGGCCCACAGCAGGACACAGCCCCACAGCAGGACACAGGCCCACAGCAGGACACAGGCCCACAGCAGGGTACAGGCCCACAGAAGGGTATGGCCCACAGCAGGGTACGGGCCCCACAGCAGGACACGGGCCCACAGCAGGGTATGGCCCACAGTAGGGTACAGGCCCACAGTAGGACACAGGCCCAACAGCAGGACACAGGCCCAACAGCAGGACACAAGCCCAACAGCAGGATACAGACCCACAGCAGGACACAGGCCCACAGCAGGGTACAGGCCCCACAGCAGTACACAGGCCCCACAGCAGGACACAGACCCTGTGGGGGCTGCCCTCCTATCATGGCAGGTCTGGGCACCATGACCCACTTTACCTTAGGGTCAGCATCTTGCCCCTTTGTACTGTGGCCCTGGCTTTTGAGTCTGTGTCTCCATGGCTGACTCCCTCTTTTTAGGTCCAAGATCAGGAAACACAGCATCAGCCCCTGAGACCTGGCAGCACCAGGCCCTCTTCAGGTCTTGGGCTGCAGGGGTGGAGGAAGAGACCCCGGCCTGATGGGAGGATGAATCCCTAGAGCTAGCCTGTCTGTAGACTCACCTGTGTTCTTGCCGGTTTTCAGGTCCTTGTCATGCCCAGCCTCAGAACTCGCCGTGAGGAGGCAGAGATGGAGCTCTCAGTTCCAGGACCATCCCCCTGGACCCCTGCAGCCCAGGCCCGTGTGAGAGATGCTCCTGCTGTGACCCACCCTGGATCTGCAGCCTGTGGTACCCCCTGCTGTAGTGATACTGAGCTGGAAGCCATCTGCCCTCACTATCAGCAGCCAGGTACTTTAAGAACAGTTCTCCGCTGGTGCCCTTATTCTGGGGAAGTGATGTCCATGGAACCCTGTGCTTACCCCTAGGAGGCATCTGTGTCATCACAGGTAGGGAGGGTGACGGGGTACTCTGACTCAAGGAGCCAAGGCTGGATGTCAGCAAGGAAGTTAACCTAGCCTGGCCCCTGGCACCTTGAGCAGAACTGTGATTTCCCCACTTGACACGAAGAGGTATGACATGATGGCCACCAGCGTCCTTTGATTTGCCCTATACTCCTGACCCCTTCCCAATTCAACAACCAGGCTGGTGGCAGCCCTCTCCCCTCAGGACTCTACTCTGGTCCAGGGCTTTGTACTGTGGTTACCCATACAGTTGGCCATCTAAAGCCTAGGAAGAAAAGCTGAGGAGTTTCTTGTGGGGAAATAGAGGCATTCAAAAGCACCCTTGGCCCGGGTGTGGTGGCTCATACCTATAATCTGAGCACTTTGAGAGGCCAAGGCAGGAGGATTGTATGAGGCCAGGAGTTCAGGACCAGCCAGTATAACATGGCAAGACCCTATCTCTACTAAAAAATTAAGAAAGGCTGGGTGTGATCACTCTCGCCTGTAATCCCAGCACTTTGGGAGGCCGAGGTGGGTGGATTGCTTGAGGCCAGGAGTTCGAGACAAGCATGGCTAACATGGTAAAACCCTGTCTCTACTAAAAGTACAAAAATTAGCCAGGTGTGGTGGCACATACCTGTAATTCCACCTACTTGGAAGGCTGAAGCACAAGAATTGCTTGAACCTGGTAGGCAAGGGTTGCAGTGAGCTAAGATCATGCCACTGCACTCTAGCCTGGGCAACTGGAGTGAGGCTCTGTCTCAGAAAAAAATACATAAATTTGAAAAAAAAAAAAGCACCTATATATTTTGGGGAATCCAGGAAGTCACATGCATGCGCAGGACTGGGTGTGTGCTCAGAAAAGACCTGTTAAGACCATAAGCTTTCTCAAGAACTCTGTCTAATCTCTAGGCTCAGTGAAGGCAGTCAACTCAGAAAGAGTTGTAAACAGCGTTTAAAAAGTACCCCAACACAGAGTCAATCCACAAAGACTGGGAGAAGTGTTTTGTGTTGGTTTTTCTCTTGATAAAATCTCTGTCAAAACACTGGTTGAACACAAGCTAAAGAAAAAGACTTCAGTGACTGTACTCGACAAAGAATAGTCTTTGCAAAAATAGTTTGGAAAAGTCACTAAATGAACATGTGACTCTAGTCTTCAACAATCAAAAACAGCAAAGCCTGGAGGGGGGATACCACATTTTAATATTCAGTTGTGCAGTTTTTAACAAAGCAAAAATCATGAAGCATATAACGAAGCAAAAAAATATGTCCCATTCAAAGGAAAAAAGTAAACTGACAAAAAGTGTCCTGGAGAAAGCACAGACATTGGACTTAAGTAGACAAAAACTTCAAATCAACTGCCTCAAATATGCTCAGAGAGGTGAAAGAAACCATAGAGAACTAGGCTGGGCATGGTGGCTCACACCTGTAACCCAGCACCACGGTGGCTCACACCTGTAACCCAGCACCACGGTGGCTCACGCCTGTAACCCAGCACCACGGTGGCTCACGCCTGTAACCCAGCACCACGGTGGCTCACGCCTGTAACCCAGCACCACGGTGGCTCATGCCTGTCATCCCAGCACTTTGGGAGGCTGAGGCAGGTGGATCACGAGGTCAGGAGATCAAGACCATCCTGGCTAACAAGGTGAAACCCCATCTCAACTAAAAATACAAAAAATTAGCTGGGCATGGTGGCAGGCACCTGTAGTCCCAGCTACTCTGAAGACTGAGGCAAGAGAATGGCATGAACCCAGGAGGCGGAGCTTGCAGTGAGCTGAGATCACACCACTGCACTCCAGCGTGGGTGACAGAGTGAGACTCCGTCTCAAGAAAAAAAAAAAGAAAAAAAGAAAAAAAAAAACCATAGAGAACTAAAAGAACCAGGAAAATGATGTGTGAACAAAATGAAAATATCAATAAGAAATACAAATTGTAAAAGAAACATAGAAAGTCTGGAACTAAAAAATGAAATGGAAATTTTGCTAGAGGGTTTCAGCAGTAGATTTGAGCAGGCAGAAAAATCGGCAACTTGAAGATAGGATAATTGAAATCATTCAGTCTGAGGAGAAAAAAGATCTAAGAAAAGTGAACTTAATGGCTGGGCGTTGTGGCTCACGCCTGTCATCCCAGCACTTTGGGAGGCCGAGGCAAGCAGATCACTTGAGGTCAGGAGATCGAGAGAATCTTGGCCAACGTGGTGAAACCCTGTCTCTACTAAAACTACAAAAATCAGCTAGGCGTGGTGATGCATGCCTGTAGTCCCAGCTACTCTGGAGGCTGAGGCAGGAGAATCGCTTGAACCCAGGAGGCGGAGGTTGCATTGAGCCGAAATCGTGCCACTGTACTCCAGCCTGGGTAATGGAGTGAGACTCTGTCTCAAAAAAAAAAGAAAAAAGAAAAGTGAACTTAATGGACCATGAGACACCATCAAGTAGACCAACGTGCATAGTAGGGATGTTCAAGAAGGAAAAGAATAGAGAAGGGGATGGAAAAAATATTTGAAGAAATAATGGCTGAGAGTATCCCCAATGTGATGAAAGACATGTCTACACACACAAGCAGTTCAACAAACTGAGTAGAGTCTATTTAAAGAGATCCACACCAGGTCTCTTTCTAATCAAATTGTTGAAATACAAGGAATCTTGAAAGCAGCAAGAGAGGAGACCTATCCCTGAACAAGGGGTTCTGGGTAAGATTTCTAGCCAGTTTTTCATCAGAACCCATGGAGGTCAGAAGGCAGTGGGACGGCTTAGTTAAACTGCTAAGAGGGGGAAAAAAACCTGTCAACTAAGAATTCTGTTATCTGGCAAAATTATTCTTCAAAATGAAGGAGAAATTAAAACATATCCAGGTAGATAAAAGCTGAGGAAGCTTGTTACAAATAGACTGCCCCACAAGGAATGCTTTTAAAGGGAGTCCTGAAGGTTGAAATGAAAGAACACTAGACAGGGACTCAAAGCCATACAAAAATAAAGACCTCCAGTAAAAGTAACTACATAGGTAAGTATAAAAGTTAGTATCCCTATATTTTGGTTTCTAAGTACACTTTGTATTAAGTTGGTGCAAAATTAATTGTGGTTTTTGCCATTACATATTTCCTAAGTGATCTAAAGAACAAATGCATAAAAGGTCTGCATTATAAGTCTATGTTTTTTACCCCACTATGTATAAAGGTGTAATCTGTGATGACAACAACATAAGGGGGGTAACATCTGTAGAGAAGCAGAGATTTTGTGTTACTGAGACTAAACTGGTATCAGTTGTTTTAGGATGTTAGAACGTTCATTGCAATCATCATGGTAATCAGTAAGAAAATATCTTAAAAATGGGCTTGACGCAGTGGCTCACACCTGTAATCCCAGCACTTTGGGAGGCCAAGGCAGGCAGATCACCTGAGGTCAGGAGTTCGAGACCAGCCTGGCCAACATGGTGAAACCCTGTCTCTACTAAAAATACAAAAATTAGCTGGGCATGGTGGTGGGCACCTGTAATCCCAGCTACTCAGGAGGCTGAAGCAGGAGAATTGCTTGAACCCAGGAGGCAGAGGTTGAACTCAGGCAGAGGCATGAGATTGTGCCACTGCATTCCAGCCTGGGTGACAGAGCAAAACTCCACTTCAAAAAAAAATCTTAAAAATGGGCCAGGCATGGTGGCTCATGCCTGTAATCCCAGCACTTTGGGAGGCCGAGGCGGGCAGATCACAAGGTCAGGAGATTGAGACCATCCCGGCTAACACAGTGAAACCCCGTCTCTACTAAAAATACAAAAAAATTAGCCAGGCAAGGTGGTGGGCACCTGTAGTCCCAGCTACTTGGGAGGCTGAGGCAGGAGAATGGCGTGAACCCGGGAGACGGAGCTTGCAATGAGCCAAGATCGCGCCACTGCACTCCAGCCTGGGAGACAGAGCGAGACTCCCTCTCAAAAAAAAAAAAAAAAAAATCTTAAAAATGGACACAAGAGGCCAGGCGCGGTGGCTCACGCCTGTAATCCCAGCACTTTGGGGGCTGAGGTGGGCAGATCATGAGGTCAGGAGATTGAGACCATCCTGGCCAACACAGTGAAACCCCATCTCTACTAAAAATACAAAAAATTAGCCGGGCACGATGGCACCCGCCTGTAGTCCCAGCTACTTGGGAGGCTGAGGCAGGAGAATCCCTTGAACCTGGGAGGCAGAGGTTGCAGTAAGCTGAGACCATGCCACTGCACTCCAGCCTGGGTGACAGCGAGACTGTCTCAAAAAAAAAAAAATGGACACAAGAAGTAAGGCAAGAATTAAAATGGTACACTACAAAAAAGGTAATACCTAAGAATACAGCAGTAGAGGAACTGAGGAACAAAAAGGTAAAAGATTTATCAAAAATAAATAAAATGGCAGAAGTCCTTCCTTTTCAGTAATTACATGTGAAGTCTCCAGTCAAAAGGCAAATATTGACAGAATGTGTAAGAAAACATGGTCCAACTATATGCCACAAGAGGCTTTAGATTCAAAGACACAATAAGTTTAAAGTGAAAGGTGGAAAAATATTCCATGCAGAGAATAACCAAAAGAGAGTTGGGGTGACTATACCAATATTAGACAAAATAGATGACAAATAAGGACAGTATGTATTTATAAAAGGGCAGAGTCATCAAGAAGATATGGCAATTATAAGCAGATACACATCAAAAAAAAGAGCTCCAAACTATCTGAAACAGACATAGACAGATTGGAAGGGAGAAATAGCTCTATAGTAATAGAGACTTCAGTACTCCACTTTGAAAAATGGATAGAACATCTAGACAGAAGATCACTAAGGAACTAGGGGATTTGAACAGCGTTACAACCCAACTAGACCTAATGGACGACCATCACTGTGGTCTAAATGTCCCCCCCAACCCCTCCCCTCTCCAGTCATATCTTGAAATCTAATCTGCAGTGTGTCGTTATTAAGAGGTGGGGCCTTTGGGAGGTGACTGGGCCATGAGAGCAGAGCCCTGTGAATGGGATTATCTCCTTATAAGAGGCCTGAGGGAGCTTGTTAGCTTCTTTTCTTGCCCTTCTACCATGTGAATACACATAGAAGGGAATACCTAGGAGGAACCAGCTCTCATCAGGCAGTGAATCCACTGGCACCTTGATCTTGAACTTCCCAGCCTCCAGAACTGTGAGCAATAAATTTCTGTTGTTTATAAATTACCCAGTCTAATGTATCTTGTTACAGTAGCCCAAATGGGCTAAGACAGAAGTATATAAAATACTCCATTCAGAAAAGAAGATATACATTCTTCTCAAGTGTACATGTAACACAAACCATATGTTAGACCACAAAACAAGTCTCAATAAATTTAAAAAGATTGGAATTACACAAAGTATCTTCTCTGACCAGCAACAGCGGGGAAACTGGAAAGTTTACAAATGTATAGAAATAAAACAACCAATGGATCAAAGATGAAATCAGACAGTTAGACAATACCTGCAGATGAATGAAAACACAACATACCAAAACTTATGGGATGCAGTGAAGGCAATGTCAAAAGGGAAATTTATAGCAATAAACACCCTTGTTGAAAAGGAAGAGAGAGGCCAGGTGTGATTGGGAGGCTGAGGTGGGTGGATCGCTTAAGCCCAGGAGTTCGAGACCAGCCTGGGCAACATGGTTGAGACCCCATCTCTACTAAGAATACAGAAAATTAGCTGGGCGTGGTTGCTTGTGCTTGTAGTCCTAGTTACTTGGGAGGCTGAGATAGGAAGATCACCTAAGCTTAGGAAGTTGAGGCTGCAGTGAGCTGAGATCATGCCACTGCATTCCAGCCTGAGCAATGAGAGTGAGACCCTGTCTCAAAAAAAAAGGAAAGAAAGATATAAGTCAGATTTAAAAGTATAAATCTTTTAAAGGACTATAAAAGAAGAGCAAATAAAATCCAAAGCTAGCAGCAGGAAGAAAAAAGAAGGATTAGAACAGTGTTAAATGAAATAGAGTAGAAAATAGAATCAACAAAATCAAACGTTGCTTTTGTGAAAAGATAAAGTTGATAAACCTTTACTTAGATTGATTAAATAAAAAAGACACAAATAACTAAAATCAGAAGTGGAAGTGGGAACATTACTAGTGACCTTACAAAAATAAAAAGAGAATATTGTGACTAATTGTACACCAACAAATTAGATAACCCAGATGAAAGGGACAAATCAATAGAAACACACAAATTCCTAAAACTGACTCAAGCATAGGTAGAAAATCAGAACAGACCTCTAACAGAGATTGAGTTAGTAATAAAAACTCCCAATAAAATAAAGTCCAGGACCACAATGGCTTTTTTTTTTTTTTTTTTTTTTTTTTGAGACGGAGTCTCGCTCTGTTCCTCAGGCTGGAGTGCAGTGGCACAATCTGAGTTCACTGTGACCTCTGCCTCCTGGGTTCAAGCAATTCTCCTGTCTCAGCCTCCTGAGTAGCTGGGACTACAGGCACGTGCCACTATGCCCAGCTAATTTTTTGTATTTTTAGTAGAGACCGTGTTCCCCAGGCTGGTCTCAAACTCCTGAGCTCAGGCAATCCACCCGCCTCGGCCTCCCAGAGTGCTAGGATTACAGACTGAGCAACCGTGCCTGGCCCACAATGGATTTAAAGGTGAATTTAATGAATTAATACCAAACCTTCGCAAACTCTTGCAAAGGAGGAGAGAACACTTTCTAATTCTACAAGGTCAACTTTACACTGATTCCAAAGCCAGATAAAGATATGGCTTGAAGACAAGAAAAGAAAATTACAAACCAATATCCTTTATGGCTAGAGATATAAAACTCCCAACAAAGAAATAGAAAACTGAATCCAATAGCATATGACCAAGTGGGATTTAACCCAGGATATAAGGGTGGTTCAACATAAGAAAACCTAGTGTTGTAATTCATCACATTAATAGAACGAAGGAGAAAAACTATGATCATCTCAATTTATGCAAATAAAACATTTGGCAAAATCTAACACTTTCACAGTTAAAAAAAAAAAGCATTCATAAAACTTGTAATAGAAGAGGACCTCCTGAACATGATAAAGGGCATTTGTGAAAACCCTCAAGCTGACATCATACACAGTAGTGAAGAACAAAACTCTTCCCCTAAGGTCAGTAACAAGACAAACATGCCACTCTGCAGCCTTGTATTGCAAGTTCTAACCAGAGCAGTTAGTCAAGAAAAAGAAATAAAAGACATCCAGTTGGGAAATGAAGTAAAATTCTTTTTCCATAAGATGTGAATCCGTATATATGAAATCCCAGAGAATCCACAAAAAAGCTATTAGAGGTAATAAACAAACCCAGCAAAGTTGCAGCAACTGATCAACACACAAAATCAGTTGTTTCTGTATACCAGCCATGAACAGTGTGAAAAGGAAATTAAGGAAGGAATTCCATATACAATAGCATCAATAGGGAAAATTAAAACCTAGGACTAAATTTGACCAAGGAGATTTAAGACTTGTCCACTGAAAACTGCAAAATATTGTGGAAAGGAATTAAAGAAATCACAAATAAATAGAAGGCATCATGTGTTCATGAATTGGAAGACAATATTAATCATCCAAACTACCTAGAGTGTTCTACAGATTCAATGCCATTCCTATCAAAATTACAATGGCCATTTTTTGCAGAAACAAAAGACGATCCTCAAATTCATATGAAGTTACAAAGAGCCCTGGGTAGCCAAAACAATCATGAAAAATAACGTCAGAGGACTTAGACTTTCCACTTTCAAAACTTGCTACAAAGCTGCAGTAATCAAAACAATGTGGTACTGGCACAAAGACATACAGACTAGTGGAATCAGATTGAGAGTCCAGAAATAAACGCATACATATGTGGCAGGTGGATTTTCAACAAGGGTACCAAGTCCTTTCAATCAATGAGAAAAGATAGCCCTTCTGCAAATGGTGCTGAGACAAGTAGATATCCAAATGTAAAAGAATGAAGTTGGGGCCGGATGTGGTGGCTCATGCCTGTAATCCCAGCACTTTGGGAGTCCAAGGTGAGAGGATCGCTTGAGGCCAGGAGTTTGAGACCAGCATGGGCAACATAGCAAGACTCTGTCTCTACAAAAAAATACAAAAAAAAAATAGCCAGTTGTGTTGGTGCCTACTCCAGGGGTGCTGAGGCAGGAGGATCACTTGAGCCCAACAGCTCAAGGCTACAGTCAGCTGTGATCACCACTGCACTCCAGCTTGAATAGCAAAGCAAGACCCTGTCCCAAAAAATGAGTGAAGGTGAACCCCTACCTTATGCCATATACAAAAATTAACTCCAAATAGATCAACAAGCTAAATATAAGAGCTAACAACTCTAAAATTCTTAGAAGAAAGTGTAGGGGTAAATCTTCCCAATCTTGGATTTGGCAGTGGATTCCTAGATATGGCACCAAAGCATGAGCAACAAAAGAAAAAAATAAATAAATTGGACTTCATCAAAATTTAAAACTTGAATATCAAAATATATTATCAAGAACGTGAAAAGAAGCCAGGTGTGGTGGCTCAGCCTGTTACCCAGCATTTTGGGAGGCCAAGGCAGGCAGATCACCTGATGTCAGGAGTTTGAGACCAGCCTGGCCAATATGGCGAAACCCCATCTCTACTAAAACTACAAAAATTAGCTGGGCATGGTGGCATGTGCCCGTAGTTCCAGCTACTCTGGAGGCTTTTGCTTGAACCCAGGAGGCAGAGGTTGCAGTGAGCCAAGATCGCACCAGTGTACTCCAGCCTGGATGACAGAGCAAGACTCTGTCTCAAAAAAAAAAAAAAAAAAAAAGAGAGAGAAAGAAAGTGAAAAAAGCATCCTGCAGAATGGGGGGAAATCTGCAAATCATATTTTTTATAAGGGTGTAGTATGTAGAATATATAAAGAAGTCTTACTTCTCAACAACAAAACACAAGCAACCCAATTTAAAAATGGGCAAAGGCTGGGCACGGTGGCTCACAACTGCAATCCCAGAACTTTGGGAGGCCAAGGCAGGTGGATCACTTGAGGTCAGGAGTTTAAGACCATGCTGGCCAACGTGATGAAACCCTGTCTCTACTAAAAATACAAAACTTAGCTGGGAGTGGTGGCATGCACCTGTAATCCCAGCTACTCAGGAGGCGGAGGTTGCATTGAGCCGAGATCATGCCACTGCACTCCAGCCTGGGTGACAGAGCAAGACTCTGTCTCATAAATAAATAAATAAATAAATAAATAAGGGGCAAAGAACTTGAATAAACATTTCTCCAAAGAAAACATATGAATGGCTAACAAGCAAAAGAAAAGATGCTTAACATCATTAGTCATTAGAGAAATGCAAATCAAAACCATAATGAGATTACTATTTCACATTCATTAGGATGTCTATAATCAAAAAAACAAAAGATAAAAGAGGATGTGGAGAAACTGGTATCCTCATACATCGCTGGCTGGAATGTAAAATGGCATAACTACTCTGAAAAATAATTTGGTGGTTCCTCAAAAGTTTGAACATAGTACTACTCCTAGATATATACTCAAGATAATTGAAGACACATACTCAAACAAGTACATGCATATCATGTTCACAGCAGTAGTATTCATGATAGCCAAAAGGTACAAACAGCCCAGATGTCTGTCAATGGATGAATGATTAATTGTGGTGTCTACATACAAATGAATATAATTTAGCCATGAAAAGGAAGCACTGTACCTGCTACACGCGGATAAACCTCTGAGATGTGCCGAGTGAAAGAAGCCAGACACAAAAGGTCACATACTATATAATTCCATTTGTACAAAATATCCAGAATAGGTAAATTCGTAGACACAGAATACAGATTAGTGGTTGCCAGGGCCTGGAGGGAGAGGAAGATGGGGATAAACTGCTTAATGGGTAAGAGGTTTTACTTTGGAGTGATGGGAATGTTTTGAAAATAGAGGTGGTGGTTGCATAACATTATAGATGTACTAAATGCCGCTGTTCGTTTTAGAATGATTTTATGTTATGTTAATTTCACCTCAGTAAATGTTTAAATCAAATGAAAACAACTTGCTGTAGGAGATGAAGAAGTAAGGAGCACCCCATCTGAGTGTGAGATGCCTCTGGGGTTTGTCCAACACACAGCCCAGCCGAGGCTCTGAGGGAGGTCGTGGTGCAGCCACTGATGCATCACAGCCACACGTGGCATTCACACAAGCATGGTTTATGACTTGGGTAATTATCCAAGCTGTTCCACAAACCTGGAGGTCACTCATCGTAAAAGTCTTTAATCATAAAGATGTGTTTCCTCTTCACAGAAGGTGTGTTTTGTTCTGGAAGGGCTCAGAGTCCTTGTCCTTTTTTCCAATTGGGTGTCAGAGTACAGTGCAAGCAACTGTATTTGCTTTCAAATCTTTTTCTTCACCTTTAAGCCCAAATTTTACTGACTTTTTAAAAAGATGTTCTTTGGCCGGGCATGGTGGCTCACACCTGTAATCCCAGCAGTCTGGGAGGCCGAGGCGGGTAGATCACCTGAGGTCAGGAGTTCGAGACCAGCCTGACCAACACAGAGAAACCCTGTCTCTACTAAAAATACAACAAAATTTAGCAGGGCATGGTGGCACATCCCTGTAATCCCAGCTACTCGGGAGGCTGAGGTAGGAGAATCACTTGAACCCAGGAGGCAGAGGTTGTGGTGAGCTGAGATGGCACCGTTGCACTCGAGCCTGGGCTATAAGAGCCAAACTCTGTCTCCAAAAAAAAAATTTTTCTTAAAGGAAAATAAAATTTTTTATTTTATATTTCCTTTCTGTAGAGGAACTCATTTTTTCCCCACAATTCTTATATTACAGAGAAGAATTACATTGAATTTAATCAGTCCAAAAAGTGATCTCTCACCCTTCTCACGTACAGAATTCACCTTTAGTTCCTGTCTCAATAAAAGACTTTGATCTATCTAAACAGTGGCTCGGGCTAGACAACCCGTTCCTCATGGTCGCCATCTCTTCATCCACACCAGTGACATCTCATCTCAGCCAGAGGTCACCAAATCCAGCTAGTGGGCTGGTTTTTATGTCCTGCAAGCTAAGAATGCTTTTGAGGTGTTTTTTAAGGGTTTTAAAAACAACAAAGAAGACCATATGACAGAGATCATACAGCCGTAATGTATGTATGATCCTCCTCTCTGACCCTTCACAGAAGTACCTTCCTGACTCCTGTCTGTGTTGTTGCCAGAGCCTTCTTCATCCTTCCTTGGGTCACTTCTCCACACAGCCAGAAGAGGGCAACGGTCTCCCAAGTCAGGGTCTTGGCAGGGGTGGAGGATGGGGGACAGCGAGTCCCAGGACATCTCTGTCAGGGCTGAAGACTTCTGTTCAGACCTCACCTGTCCCAGCAGCCCCCATTCCTCATTGCTCCTGGGAGCCCAGCAGCATGTAGATGCCACATTTCCCAGACACCCTCTGGAGCCAGGGCTGGGGCTTCTGACATGGAGAGCTGAAGCTCATGGGGGACATTGGGGAATCCCCTGCAGCCCATGTGGAGTGTATAACAGCAGGCCTGCCAAAGGGCAGCAGGGTGGTAAAGAAAGGCACCCACATCTGTGTGCTGGCACGTAGGGCAGCTCTGTGGGAGAGGAGAGGCCTGATCCCAGACTCCAGGAAGTAGGGAGCTGCAAGAGGGTGTTCTGGCTGAAAGTGGCACAGCACGATGTGTCTGCACCACAGGTGTCCAGTGACCCAACATGAAGTGTCACCAAGAGACACGTGGGTGCAGTGGGTAGAGGGGCAAGTCCCAGGAGGGTCATGGTGAGAGCTGGGCCGGTTTGGATCTTTGTTGACACCACAGCTCCTTGGGAACAGACAATTCCAGACTGGAGGTGGAAATGGAATGCTGTTATGGCAGATTCTGGAAGTCCCAGACAGGGAGAGGCAGGGAGGGAGCAGAGTGGACGCCGCAAGGTGGGAGGGGCATTGGAGGGGCATCCTTCACACCCACTCAGCACTACCGACTACAGCTAGACCAGAGGTCTTCCACTTTGGGGGATGCAGTCCTGTTTCAGGGAGTGATCCAGGCTGTGGGTGACAGCCAGGGTGGGGGCAAGGAAAGTAGGTGGGGTGCTGGCATTTATGATCAGG
The DNA here is from genome assembly GCF_000001405.40 of Homo sapiens. NCBI lineage: Eukaryota > Metazoa > Chordata > Mammalia > Primates > Hominidae > Homo > Homo sapiens. Next base: position 144,933,837 of record NC_000008.11, on the reverse strand, counting down.
GAAGGGCTCTCCAGCAAGGCCTGTGCAAGGGAAGTGGGTAGCACGAGGGCCATGTGGAGAGTGCTCTGGGCAAGGCAGACCCAAAGGTGGACACATCTGCCCTGCTCAGAGTATAGCAGGAGCAGAGGTAGAGGTGGGGTCTAGGAGGGCCAGGAGGCACTGAGAGGATGTTTGAGTGCATGACAGTGCTGGGTCTGATGTCACCAGGCTGTGGGCAGGAGGGGAGGTTGGGGGCCAGGGAAGCTGCTCAGCATCCAGGTGGCAGTGTGGCCTGGGATGTCAGTTTGAATGAGAGACTCGTGACATCTTCATTTGAGTAAGGGACACAGGGACATGAGGGTTTCTTTGTTCTGCAGGTGTGAAAAGGGGAGAGGGAGATGCTGAAGCCTTTTCTGGCAGACACGGAGCTTTGTGTGCATTTCTGTCTGCGGAAAGATGACGCACATTGTTACGAGGCCAGAAGTCATCCGCAAACACCAGTCAGAATTGTGGGTTTTCAGAGGTACAGGTGGCTTTGACAGGACACAGCAGTCTCTAAAGGGTCCTCTGTTGAACAGGATGGAATCTGATGTTCCACACAGGTCCCTGCCGCACAGGAGTGGTTGAATGATGCCTCCATGCAACTCAACTTGCCAGGCCCTGAGAGCCAGCTGGGTTTCTTCTCTGTGTACAACGGGGTCTCTCTCCACACTAGTGACTCCTAAGACCAAGCTCAGTGCCATTAGCATGCACTGACAGAACTGGAGATAGGCTGGTAAGGCTCACACCTGGCAGTGTGGACAGAAAAAAGGGTGAAATATGTAACAGTGTAAGGAGTGGTGTGAGACGTTTTTCTGGTACAGGTGGGAGAAGTGAGAAGCACCTGGATTTGGGCTGCACTCTGAGGTAGAGCTGACAGGACTTGCCAGTGGTTTGGTGTGGGTGTCGAGGAAGAGGGGAGTCAAGGGACAGCCAGGATTTTGGCCTGAGCCAGAAGGTAGACCGCAGTAACGTTTGCTGAGATGTGGAGTCCCAGGGAGGGTGGGTCCGTGGTCATCAAGAGCTCTCACTCATCTGCAGCCCCATGCAGCCTAATCACCCAGTGCTCCTCCCACCCCTCCCTGATGCCCTCTGATCTGGACTGCCACCCCAGAGGATCCCCTGCTCCCCTTGCCTCCTCCACAGTTAGTGGGTGCAACTGTGACTGTCTATGTTCCTGCTCCTGCTGCAGCACTGCCTTCCAAGTGATATTCTATTTATTGTTTCAGATTGTGACACCAGGACTGAAGACAAGGAGTTTCTTCACAAGGAAGACATTCATGAAGATTTGGAATCACAGGCAGAAATATCAGAAAACTATGCTGGTGATGTTTCCCAGGTACCCGAGCTTGGAGATCTGTGTGATGATGTATCAGAAAGAGACTGGGGAGTCCCCGAAGGCAGGAGGCTGCCACAGTCCCTCTCCCAGGAGGGGGACTTCACACCAGCTGCCATGGGGCTCCTTAGGGGCCCCTTAGGGGAGAAAGATCTGGACTGTAATGGTTTTGACAGTCGCTTCAGTCTGAGCCCAAACCTGATGGCATGTCAGGAAATCCCTACAGAAGAGAGGCCACATCCATATGACATGGGTGGCCAGAGTTTCCAGCACAGTGTGGACCTAACTGGTCATGAGGGGGTTCCCACAGCTGAAAGTCCACTCATATGTAATGAGTGTGGGAAAACCTTCCAAGGAAATCCTGACCTTATTCAGCGTCAAATAGTCCACACTGGGGAGGCTTCCTTTATGTGTGATGATTGTGGGAAAACCTTCAGCCAGAACTCAGTTCTTAAAAACCGTCATCGATCTCATATGAGTGAGAAAGCTTACCAGTGCAGCGAATGTGGGAAAGCCTTCCGAGGGCACTCAGACTTTTCTAGGCATCAGAGTCACCACAGCAGTGAGAGGCCTTATATGTGTAATGAATGTGGAAAAGCCTTCAGCCAGAACTCGAGCCTTAAAAAGCACCAAAAGTCTCACATGAGTGAGAAGCCCTATGAATGCAATGAATGTGGGAAGGCTTTTAGGCGGAGCTCAAACCTCATCCAACATCAAAGAATCCATTCTGGGGAGAAACCGTATGTGTGCAGTGAGTGTGGGAAGGCCTTCAGGCGAAGCTCAAACCTCATCAAACACCACAGGACTCACACAGGAGAGAAGCCTTTTGAGTGTGGCGAGTGTGGGAAAGCCTTCAGCCAGAGTGCACACCTGAGGAAGCACCAGAGGGTCCACACTGGAGAGAAGCCTTATGAGTGTAATGATTGTGGCAAGCCCTTCAGTCGGGTCTCCAACCTCATTAAGCACCACAGGGTTCACACTGGAGAGAAGCCCTATAAGTGCAGTGACTGTGGGAAAGCATTTAGTCAGAGCTCCAGCCTTATTCAGCATCGGAGAATTCACACTGGAGAAAAGCCTCACGTGTGTAATGTATGTGGAAAAGCCTTTAGTTATAGCTCAGTGCTCCGAAAGCACCAGATCATCCACACGGGAGAGAAGCCGTACAGATGCAGTGTCTGTGGGAAGGCCTTCAGCCACAGCTCAGCCCTCATTCAGCACCAGGGCGTGCACACAGGCGACAAGCCCTACGCCTGCCACGAGTGTGGGAAGACCTTTGGTCGCAGCTCCAACCTCATCCTTCACCAGCGAGTCCACACTGGAGAGAAGCCCTATGAATGTACTGAATGTGGAAAAACCTTCAGCCAGAGCTCAACCCTCATTCAGCATCAGAGGATTCATAATGGGCTGAAGCCCCATGAATGTAACCAGTGTGGTAAAGCCTTCAACCGAAGCTCAAATCTCATTCACCACCAGAAAGTTCATACTGGGGAAAAACCCTACACCTGTGTTGAATGTGGTAAGGGCTTCAGCCAGAGCTCACACCTCATTCAGCATCAGATAATCCACACGGGCGAGCGCCCCTACAAATGCAGTGAGTGTGGGAAAGCCTTCAGTCAGCGTTCGGTCCTCATCCAGCACCAGAGGATTCACACTGGGGTGAAGCCCTATGACTGTGCTGCTTGTGGGAAAGCCTTCAGCCAGCGATCAAAGTTGATCAAACACCAGTTGATTCACACCAGGGAATAGGCTGTTGGGCTGGCAGGAGTGAAACCGAGCATAGTTTCCTCTCCAACTCCTCTTTGGCCATTGTCTCAGCCTCTGCCACTTCCCAGACCGAAAGCCTGGACTCAGCTCACTGCCTACATCCAGTGGCCACATAGCCTGGGACCCTCCTTTGAAACATCCTTTACAGGCTCCCTTCTCACTGCCACTGCTCTTGCCTCTTGTGATGTCTTGGGTTTGGGCTTGTTTTTACAGCTTGTGAACGGACTGCACGTTTGTTACAAGGGAGAAGATTATGGAGGCTGCATATTCATGAATAGAGTTTATTATTATAATGAAAAGTTACCAAAAAAGTAAAGTGACGTTTGGTTTGAGATAACCATAGTAGTTTGTTTGATTGGTAATGAGTTGTGTGGCGTGAATTCTTTGTCACTGGCTGTAATTGATATTTTAGGTAAGTCGAGAGTTTTTCAGGTCCAGTTGCTCTGTCATCTTCCCCAGAAGTGGTACCTACTCATCACCACCAATTCCCTGCCCTTCTTTGTCCCTCCTGTTCCAGAATTTGAACCCAAGGCTCCCCCGCCACCCTACTTTTCTTTATACAGATCTGCAATCTGAGGTCAGCTTTCTCCTCTCACTGGTCTGCTGTGACTTAGGCCCCCATATCCTGTTCTGGGCTGCTGCACAGTTCCACATGGCTGTTCCAGCTTCTAGTTTCTGGGCCACAGAGGAAGCTCTCTCCATGGACCTCATTTTCATGCCCATGAGCTTCCAGGCTGTTTTTTCCACCTAGTAAGTGCCCTGCCTTGAGGGCCTAGCTCACTTACCCCCATCCTTAGTTCTCAGAGCTGTGCTCCTGTTCCCTGAGCAAGGAGAAAGCCCAGATGCTGAGAGGCCCCTCCCTGCTGGCCAGCAGGTCTGGGGGTGTCAGGACACAGTTTCATGGAAAACCTAGCCCTGACCTGTTTTAGATAAAAGTTTTGTTGGAACACAGCTATGCCCATTTGTTTACAGATAGCTGTGGCAGCTTTTGTACCACAGAATTGAGCAGTTGTGATAGATCCCATATGGTGCACAAAGCCAAAGTATTTACTTCTGGTCCTTGATAGGAAAGTTTGCTGACCCTGCCTTAGGATGCTCCCTGTGACCTAAGTTGCCTCTTGGGACTCAAGAGTTCTTGCAGGAGTTAAAGTGTGTTTTGTGACCAAGGGACTATTCTGTACTGTGGAGTGGTTGGCTGTGTGCAGGTGGGTGATTGCTGCAGAGTTCCCACAGCCACAGAGCATCCATCCTCTTTACCACTCCCCAACACACAGTACGCCCTCTGGAGAGATGCAAGACCTAAGTGTTGACTGAGTTCTTACTGCAGTTAAGAGTTTTGTGAAGATTGAATAAAATGGTATGTGTAAGTGTTTTATTTTATTTTTTTGAGACGGAGTTTCGCTATGTCACCCAGGCTGGAGTGCAATGGCGCGATCTCAGCTCACTGCAACCTCCACCTTCCGGGTTCGAGTGATTCTCCTGCCTCAGCCTCCCAAGTAGCTGGGACTGCAGGCGCCCACCACCACACCCAACTACTTTTTGTATTTTTAGTAGAGACAGGATTTCACCATGTTGGCCAGGCTGGTCTCAATCTCTTGACCTCGTGATCCACCCGCCTCAGCCTTGCAAAGTGCTGGGATTACAGGTGTGAGCTGCCATGCCGGGCCATGTAAAGTATTTTTAACTGTACCTAGTCCTTGGCAATCTCTGCTAGGCATTACTAACATTAACCAAAAATTAGTATCTCACAGAAACACTAAGAGAGCTGATGAAATAGACTGGAGTCCGAGATTCCAGGAAAGAATCCAGAATCATCCCATGGAGCTCCCCTGCCAAGGGAACTGCTGACTACTTAGGAATCCCACGGCTCTGCTGTGACCTAGGTGAGCATGCGGAAGTCCAATTTTCCTATTTAACTCTGCTTTAAGTCTTGTGCAGACAGATCTGAGCACTTGAACCAATTCTTATTCTCCACTAGCAGCAAGGGAGGCCAGGAAGTGTAGATGGTGGCTTCTGTGTTGGAAAGGCTGCAGAGAGCTTCTAAAACATGAGGTTCTATGAGATTTTGAATAGTCATAAATGATATATGTCCACTATAAGCTACGTTTTTGTAGTTTTTAAATTGTGAAATAATTTCCCACACAAAAGTATTATGAGTACCGTAAAGAACACCCAAATATCTTTACTCAAATTCCCGTTAGCATTTTGCCACGTTTGCCATATCATCTTCTTCTCCCTCGCAGTAGATAACTTTGGCCCTGAGACTAAGTTGCAGATGTGATGCACCTTACCCCTAAATACATCAGCATGTGCTTCCTAAGAACAAGGGTGTTCTCTTTCATGACCACAGTATTCGCTGGAAAATGAATTGGGTTTTTTTGAGGCAGGGTCTTGCTCACCCTGGCTGGAATGCAGTGGTGCAATCACAGCACACTGCAGCCTCAACCTCCTGGGCTCAAGCAACCCTGCCACCTCAGCCTCCTGAGTAGCTGGGACCACAGGTGTGTGCCACCACCCCCGGGGAGGTTACTTTTGTTTTTTGTAAAGATGGGATCTTTCTATGTTGCGCAGGCTGGTCTTGAACTCCTGGCCTCAAGTGATCCAACCAAAGTGCTGGGATTATAGACATGAGCTATTGTGCCTGGCCAGAAAGTGAGTGTTGGTGACATGCTCTAATCTATAAACCTTGTAAAAGTGCTGGGATTATAGACATGAGCTATTGTGCCTGGCCAGAAAGTGAGTGTTGGTGACATGCTCTAATCTATAAACCGTATTAATGTTTTGCCAGTTGTCCTGGTAATGCCCTTTATAGATTTCTTTTTTTTTGAGATGGAGTTTTACTCTTGTTGCCCAGGCTGGAGTGCAATGGCGTGATCTCGGCTCACTGCAACCTCCGCCTCCCGAGTTCAAGTGATTCTTCTGTCTCAGCCTCCCAAGTAGCTGGGATTACAGGCATGCACCACCACGTCCAGCTAATTTGTATTTTTTTTAGTAGAGACAGGGTTTCTCCATGTTGGTCAGGCTGGTCTCAAACACCCAACCTCAGGTGATCCACCTGCCTTGGCCTCTGAAAATGCTGGGATTACAGGCATGAGCCACTGCACCCAGCCTATAGAAATTAAAAAAAAGAAAAATTTCCTGGCTGAGGATCCAGTCTGAGATCACCCATATGTAGTTGTCATGTCCTTCCATCTGGAGTACTTCTTTAGTCTCTTTTTTTCTTTTTTTGAGACAGAGTCTCACTCTGTTGCCCAGCCTGGAGTGCAGGGGTGTGATCTCGGCTCACTGCAACCTCCACCTCTCGGGTTCAAGCAATTCTCATGCCTCAGCCTCCCGAGTAGCTGGGACTACAGGTGCATGCCACCATGACTGGCTAATTTTTTTTATTTTATTTATTTATTTTTGTGTGTGTGTGATTTTCAGTAGAGACAGGGTTTCACCAAGTTGTCCAGGCTGGTCTCGAACTCTTGACCTCAAGTGATCCTCCCACCTCAGCCTCCCAAATTGCTGGGATTACAGGCATGAGCCACCATGCCCGGCCAGTCTCTTGTCTTTCAAAGATAAATATTGCCATCTTGGAAGAGCATGAGGCAGTTATTCTGTAGAGTGTACTTCACCTTGTGTTTGTCCAGTGTTTCCTGATGATTTTGCCAGGAACCATGGAAGAGATGTGCCCTTGGTATGTCGTATCAGGAGGTCCATGATGGGTTTTGTGGTCCCTTCAGGTGATGTGATCTTTATCACTTGGTTAAGACTGTGACTGCCAGGCTTCCCCACAGTAAAGGCCCAGCTGTGGAGTAAGTTCTTTTCCTAGAAGCCGGGTGCCTTTCTGTGGAGAATAGTTTTTAGAAAACAAGATCTGGGTGTTAGGTGTGCTCACTGTCATGAGGGTGTCACTCTTCTGGGCCCTCTCAGCAGGGAACTAGGAAATAAATGTGTGTGTATCTATGTAAACACACCATCTTGTATCAATTTCCATAGCCATCAATGTATTTAAAACCATGAATTCATTCCAGTGCCACCAATTCCAGTCCAGTACCACAGGGTTAAATCTAGCCTTCCCTTTCTCCATACTTGTAGCCCCCAACACCCCCTTTTTTTTAAAACAAAAATATGGTCCCGATTATCCTCAGTATATTTACACAATAAGATTTTCTCAATCTTGGAATATACGAAAAGTAGTTTTTGAATTGCTGATCCATAACCACTGTGTAACAACAACCTATTCATGGTCCAATATCTGTCTACTGGCTTTTGCACTTTGATTTGAGTCTATATAGTCAAAATACTGCACACAAAAGATACTTGAGTCTTGGTTTTGTCTTGGTTTTTTTCTCTTTCATGGTGGCTATGTTATTCACATGCAACAATTAGTTGTATTTGTTTTTGTTGTGTTCCTTATTAGTGGTTTCCCTCATCCTTGTTGATTTCCTTTTTATATAGGTAAGTGATCTCCCTTTTTAAACCATAAAATTCTTCAGAGGGACATTAGGAAAAGAGCGACATGAATAAATACTGAAGTCTATCTTGTTTGTTCATAGACTCAATATCATGAAGATGAAAATTTTTCTTAAATTTATCTGTGAATTCAGTGCATCCCCAGTCAAAATCCAAATAGGAAGCATTGGGGAACTAGTCCAAATTATCTCAAAGTTCACGCAGAAAAAGACACATGTAAGTAGCAGGTGTCTTAATGTTTGTTTGGTGGCAAATAAAGACATCCACTCAACTAGCATAAGTTAGAAGGGCATTTCTTGTCATGGGGAACAGGAAGTGAGTGCCATCAGGAACAATTGCAAGCTCTTTGTTCCTCTGCATCCATTTCATTCTTTTCTCTTTAGATGTGGCAAGGAAATGGCTGCCCCACAGTCTGCTCCCCAGTTCACTTGTCCTCACACGTCTAGGGACAGAACCAATCTGTGAAAGTTGCTGTGTCCTCAGTTCATGGCCTCTAGGAGAAAGTCTGACAGGGCCAGCCTCAGTCAGGTAACCCAGTTCAGTCACCTCTCTAGGACAGCAGGGTGTAGGTCTAAGCCCGCAGGCCAGTGCCAGTGGGTGGAAATCAAGATTTCTCTTTTGGGCATGTGGAACTTGAGGTGTCTGTGAGAAACAAGAGAAGTTGAGATCTCAGTTAACTATTAATCTGGAGCTTAAAGACAGATTTGGGGTGGAGATGTAAATTTGGGAGTCATTAGCATTTTTCTTAAATGAGATATGCATCTTTGGGAAAGCATGAGTTACCCTGGGAAGATCATTAGAGGACTCGGGACAGAGGCCTAAGATTTCCCAGCTTTGAACATTCTGGTGGAGGAAGAGAAGCAACAAAGGCGCTAGAAGGGAAGAGACAGAGGTGACCAGGAGAGGAACCATCTCATCAAATGCTGAGGAGGAGGGAGTTGAGACTTGACTTCAGGGAAATGGCTGGTGGTCCTGCCAGGGCCCATCTCAGTGTAACAGAGGGACAGAAGCTGGGTGGCATGTGAGGGTGGCTGAAAGGTCTGCACAGTCAAGGAGAGCAAAGGTGGTGGGGGCTGGTGGAGCTGAGAGGGAGGGAGAAGGAACAAAGATCCCCTAGAGGTTGAGGGGTTACTCTTGGATAGACAGACACCTCCTGCATTTCCAAGAAGAAAGGAGAAAAATGGGGCAAATGTAGTCAGTTTGTAGGTTTGGTGGGATGGTTTCAAGGATGCAGGAGGCAAAGTCCTCAGTTGCAAATGGGGAGGGAGAGGTTGTGAGAAATTTGAAGAGAGAAGAAAGTGTGGAAGTGTCGACTTGAAGATGGGAAGGTCGGTCCCACAGGCTTGAGCCTGTGCTCACCTCAGAGGCCGGCACTCCACCCACAAGGTGTTGGCTGCCCACACACCCCACCCCAGGTCTCACCGTCACCTCCACTACAGCGCCCTTTCCCAAGGCAACACCCAGAATTTCAACAGCAGCATGGCCCTGTTACCCTCCTAACTCGCCTGCCCAGTCTTTCAACATCATGCTGGCCAATCTGCTGACATGTGCCTCATCAGTCAGGCTCCTCTCTGGCCTCATGTTTCTCCCTTTCTAGCCTGGATTTGATTACTCATTGTTCCAGTAAACACTTGTTGAATGCTTTCTATCTGCCAGGCATGAGGCGCCAAGGTGCAAGGATACAACAGGAACAAGAGAGGCATAAGTGTCTGCCTTGTGGAGTTTAGGTGCCAGTGGGAAGAGAAAATGACCTGATGGTGATGATTGCTGGAAAGCAACACTAAAGCAGGGAGGGATTGGGGTCCATGTGGGGTCCAGGAGGGGTTTGGTTTTAAATGGGGACAATCAGGGAAGGTCTCACTGAGATGACATTTGAGCAGTGATGCAAAGCACGTGAGAGAGTGTCAAGTGAAAATAAAAGGATATTCACGTATCAGGCAGAGAGAATAGTTAATGGGACACCAGGCCTGAGACCTGGAGTGTTTCAGGGCAGCATGGCTAGGAGTAGAGTGAGCAAAGGAGAGAGGTGCTGGGGTGTGTCATGAAGGTCTGTGGCCATGACAAAGACTGGCTTTTACTGTGTGTGAGATGGGGAGATCCTGGAGGGTTCTGAGCAGAGGAGGATGACCTGACTTGCATCTGAATATGATCACTGCTGTGTGGAGAAGAGACTGTGCATTCCTGACTGTGTTTGCTCCCTTCTAACTCCGTTTCTTCCCGTGAGTCCGCCCTTCCCCTCACCTCAATGCCACTGGGAGACAGCCACCAGGACACCCACTGCAGCTGAGGCACAGGGTAGTGGCCACACTGATGGATGCAGTGGACTGTGCAGGGGCCACAGGAAGGTGCTGCCTAGGACAAGTAAATGACCAGCTCCTCCTGGTCTCTGGTGCTGCCCAGCATCCAGCCAGATTTGACACATGTTGGGGTGCTTCATCCAAAGCCTAGGGAATTTTAATTTCAGTACGTCGTCACGTTTCCAAAGAGAAATAGTCTTGAAATTTCTGTGAATCACAAATTTGTTTCTTCCTTTTGACCTTGGTGATGTCCTCAGCAATGTGTTTCTCAGGGAACAAATACCAAGTCCATATGATGGAGAAAGCCTAGGTCATACATTTACTGACTCCATGAGCCTGAGATGTCTCTGTTTAGTGGGGGCTGGGGCATGAGGAAGATGATAGGAAAGCTCTTTTTTTTTTTTTTTTTTTTTTTTTTTTGAGATGGAGTCTCACTCTGTTGCCCAGGCTGCAGTGCAGTGGTGCGATCTCCACTCACTGCAAGCTCTGCCTCCCGGGTTCATGCCATTCTCCTGCCTCAGCCTCCCAAGAAACTGAGACTACAGGCACCTGCCACCATGCCTGGCTAATTTTTTGTATTTTCAGTAGAGACGGGGTTTCACCGTGTTAGCCAGGATGGTCTCGATCTCCTGACCTTGTGATCCGCCCACCTCGGCCTCCCAAAGTGCTGGGATTGCAGGGGTGAGCACCTGGCCTTTCTTTTTTAAAATAAAAATCTTAGTAGACTAATTATTTTTCTCAAAAGACCCTTAATTATTTAGATAAGTACTTAATATCATAATTACTTACCAAATACTGGGCTTTCATGATCATGAAACAGAGAAATTGGAGAGAGGAGAAGAGAAACAAAAAAGGAGGGGAGGGTGGAGAGAAGAGACACTCATTCCATCTGCTGGGACTGACAGTCTGAGTATTGACCCCCAAACCTTCCACCGTAAAAGGTCCTTCCCTTTCTCCCAGCAGCGGCCATGTGGCCCCTGCCATGCACTCATTGCCCTAGCTGCTGCATGTGTCTCAGAATGGTATTCGTAAAATGGCTTGAAACTGCCCCTATAAACTTTATCAAATTAATCTGGGAAGAAGAGGGGGGGAAATGAAAATAAACAAAGCTTGCAGCACATTCAGCATTCATCATTAGGTCAGCTACTCCCTGACATGCCTCCACATAGTCATTTGGTGCCGACGGCCTAGAATCACACAGGCCCTAGATTATAGTTCCCTTGAACTGCTCTGTAGATAACAACTTGAACATCATGAAATGTTAAGTTTTCCCTTTGAGATACGCCTTCAGATCCTGCATACTTTTAAGACCACTGACTGAGCTGGTCGGAAAGATGCCACAAGGAGCTGACCACACCAAAGAATGCAGTTTCCACGTCCTGATGATGTCATCCCCTTTGCCCTGGCCAATCAACTACCCCCATTTTCCAGCCCCTCGCCCTCCATGATCCCCTTAAAAACCCCAGATGGATTTGAGGGTCTCCTCCCATCTCCTTACTTGGTGCCCTGCAATAATTAAACTCTCTGCTGCATCCCTGCTGTCTCAGTGTCATTGGGCTGTTACTGTGCAGCCAGCATACAAACCTGTTGGTCCTATAACAGGCTTAATCAGTGAACAAGTGACAACTGGTGCCCACCCCCACCCCTGCCCACTCTGGTGCTGCCAATCCTCAGCTGTCATGTGTGATCCCTTCTCACCTCATGCAGGGGCTGGGGCCTACCCAGGACTGCAGCACTGAGGTGGTGTCATCACATGCTGTACAGAAGCCCTTGAAAGGGTTGTGGCCCAGATTTCAAATGTGACTTGCCCAATTTAATTTTTTTTAATTTTAAAATCAACATAATTCTAGAAAATGCAGATTTGAAAAAGGGAAAATATGTATCACATGTATTTCCACCACTTAATACGTTCCCTAGGGACAACACTTCCAAACTGAGATTTAATGTCTGTTAAGCTCTCTCTAGGACCATTTTTGGCAGGAGCATGAAAGAATCCTTAGCAAGTTTAGATGGACAGAAAAATACACATGAGCAAGGAGGAAGGATTACACATTGTATCCAGAGATATACCCTTTATACTGTATGGAGGAAGGATTACACATTGTATCCAGAGATATACCCTTTATACTGTATGGAGGAAGGATTATACATTGTATCCAGAGATATACCCTTTATACTGTATGGAGGAAGGATTACACATTGTATCCAGAGATATACCCTTTATACTGTATGGAGGAAGGATTACACATTGTATCCAGAGATATACCCTTTATACTGTATGGAGGAAGGATTACACATTGTATCCAGAGATATACCCTTTATACTGTATGGAGGAAGGATTACACATTGTGATTCTACTGTAGGAAAACAGCCTGTTGCACAGCAGGAGTGGTGTCATCTTCAAGCAAAATCACCATAATGGCCAATGGTTGACTCCTGCACCAAGGTCTTTACACAATGCCTGTAGCATAGATAACCCCTCAAAGATGCTTACCTAACTTCTCCAGCAGTCATGAATTTTGCAAGAAAGTCTGAGATGTGACAGCTGTACATGTTTTACCAAAAAAGCTTTCTCTATAAACAATACTTTCTGGAGGACAGGTGTGGGGATCCACTATCTCCAAGCCTCCTGAAACCACTTCTGTTTGCAAATTCCTATTAAATGTTTATTTTCTGAGGAACTGGATTTGTCAGCCTCTTTCTTCAGCCTCTCAGCTTTTGGGGGTAGGTTTGCATAGACCTGCTTACCATGGAACATTTGGCAATCCCAGCTGAGAGACCAAGAAATGGGTGGGGGAAACCCCAGAGTGGCAGTCACTTCCACGTGCAGTGCTGCAGCTCACTTTTTAGGTACTTGTGGACAACCTCATGAGTGTGAGGACTCCCTGAAAATGCCAGCGGCTTTAGGGGGATTGGGAATAGAGAGCCATCTGTCATACTGTGGTAAGGAAGGGCGGTGAGCCATAGCAGTGCGATGGCCACTTCTGTGGGCTGCCCATTTGGCGACAGAGCCCAGCTAGCAGCAGAAGTTAATGTAAAATGGCTTGAGGAGGAATTGTCATTAGAGAAAAGATCTTTTTAAAGGAGCTCTGTGGTCAGAATTCACCTTAATTAAAAACAGATATTAAGGCTCTTATATATTTTGCAGTGGGGGAGAAGACCTTTCTGCTTTTTTCTATTTTGGACGCTGTTTCTGGGAATTATTTTTTTCAGTCAGCTGAAACACCCTCTGCCTTTTTCATATTATATGTTTGGCCCCTCTGGTTTGATGCTGGCATGACTGTTGCCTTCTGGAAAGCTGAAGAGCTCCTGCCTTTTGCCTTCTGGAAGGCTGAAGAGCTCCTGCCTTTTGCCTTCTGGAAAGCTTAAGAGCTCTTCAATTTGGCTCCTCTAAGACTTGTTCTTCCATTTCCTCCCACTTCTGCTTCTCCTTCCCTTTGCCATCTTTGATACCACATGCAGAAATCTAGAGACTTTTAGCAGTCCTGAGACCCCTTGAAGAAGACAGAAAAAGGCATCACACATCCCCTTTTGGGAGTCCTCTGCCTTCCTTGTAGAGTCCCAAGTCATGAGAAGGCTTCTCTCAAGTGTAAAGTTCTGCTGTCTTTGGCATTGATTTCCTGATCCCTTTAGCTTTGGGGGATACCGGGAATTATTTTATACTGCGAGATAACCAGGACCTTTGGATGTATGGTGGTTGACAAGTCCCTGGTGAGGGCTGCAGTTTTGGAGATGGCTGACAGTGTTTGTAATGAGTGGTTATTACTGTAGGGAGCTACTCATTTCCTTATGTGTTTGATAAGAAAAACATGGTTTGGACACATAGAAGCCATGGAAACACTCACCACTGAGAGATAAGCCTCCTGTGGGGGATGGGCTGATTGGTGATCGGCCACTCAGACTCAGGGAATGTCTTTGCTGTGAGGTGCACTGTGGAAGCATCACTCTATCCCATCCCGTGGCATTGCCCTCTTTTGGGGGACGCAGGATTCTGTGTAAAATGGAATCCTTGATTTTGGGAGATCTAAGTGTTTTGCCTTCTAGTTGCACCTGCTTTTCACATATACAAGTATTAGAGCCAGGAAACTGCAAGTGCCTTCTTGGCCCTATTAGTTAATGGGCTCTACCCTGAGCTCAGCGGTCCAGTTGGAAAATGGAGGCTCAATTTGAAGCTACCTATCTAAATGAAATTAGTTTCCTTCTAAAATGCTATGGTGAATTCCTATGATTTTGTGTTACCTTGGCATCCATTTTCTGCCATCCTATAACACACTCAGACTCCTTTTTAAAAAGCTTACGCCAGGTGCGGTGGCTCACGCCTGTAATCCCAGCACTTTGGGAAGCTAAGGCAGGCAGATCACAAGGTCAGGAGTTCAAGACCAGCTTGGCCAATATAGTGAAACCCCATCTCTACTAAAAATACAAAAATTAGCCAGGCGTGGTGGTGGGTGCCTGTAGCCCCAGATACTTGGGAGTCTGAGGCAGGAGAATCACTTGAACCCAGGAGGTGGAGGGTGCAGTGGGCTGAGATCATGCCACTGCACTCCAGCCTGGGCGACAGACCAAGACCCCGTCTCCAACAACAACAAGAAGTTCCTCCCTGGCTTGGCACGGTGGCTCATGCCTATAATCCCAGCACTTTGGGAGGCCAAGGCAGGTGGATCACCTGAGGTCAGGAATTCGAGACCAACCTGGCCAGCATGGTGAAACCCCGTCTCTACTAAAAATACAAAAATTAGCCAGGCATGTTGGTGGGCACCTGTAATCCCAGCTACTTAGGAAGCTGAGGCAGGAGAATTGCTTGAACCTGAGAGGCAGAGGTTGCAGTGAGCCGAGATCCCACTATTACACTCTAGTCTGGGCAACAGAGCGAGACTCCATCTCAAAAAAAAAAAAAAAAAAAAAAAAGCTTAAATTCTTGCTCTGTGCTATGAGATGTAAATTTGTTACCCTTTTTTCCTCTAAAACTCAGTAAGGGCTTTGATCATGTGGGACAGATAAACTTTAACTTGTTTCATTTTCAAAGTTTGAATCCAACTGTTGTTTTAAACTAGTGAGTTTTACCTATCTCATTGCTAAAATTTTAAAATCAAAGCTATAAAATCTTTTTTATGTGTGTGTGTGTGTGTGTGTGTGTGTGTGTGTGTGTGTATGTGTATGGTGTCTACATGGTACCAAATTGATTTCTAAATAAGTGCTCATAAGTTAATAAGCCCAAATATTTTTCAAGTTCATGTGACTTTAGTAATCTTTGGTAAATAAAACCAGTTTTTAAATTGTTGGTAAGATAGGAGTGGCTTCAGGGTTGTCAGTATTAATTTACACATGTTCTCCTTGGTCTACTAGTCAGACAGGTTTAGGATATCTCTGCTAGATGTTTTAAGGTCATAAAACTGTTGCTTCTGTGATATTTTTGATGCTTGTTTAACTTGTCTGTGAGCTTAGGTCTTAGAACCATTCAATTATGGGCTCTAAACAAATGGCCATGGTGAGGCCTGGCGACATATGTGGAGTTCTGTCTGCCCCAGCTGTGCCTCCTGACTATGCTGGGAAATGTCAGACATCATCTTCACATCTGTCCTCTGTAACGAGCTCTCTATATGTAAATTCAGGACCCAGATGGGCCATGCTCTCCATAGTCATCCCTGGGTGCCATGTGGGTACTTCCCAGAATGACTGGGGAAGACATTAGGAAGGTACTTATGTCATAGTTTCAAAATTATTTTCAGTAATTTTAAATCTTAACGTCATGTTTTGCCCAGCACTTTGGAAGGCCAAGGCAGGCAGATCACTTGAGGTCAGGAGTTTGAGACCAGCCTGGCCAATATGGTGAAACCCCATCTCTACCAAAAAATACAAAAATTAGCTGGGTGTGGTGGCACGTGCCTGTAGTCCCAGCTACTGGGGAGGCTGAGGCACAAGAATCCCTCAAACCTGGGAGGCAGAGGTTGCAGTGAGCCGAGATTGCACCACTGCACTCCAGCCTGGGTGAAAGAGTGAGACCCTGTCTCAAAAAAAAGTCATGTTTTGTTACATTAAGTAATACATAAAATATCTGATCCATTTCTAGGTAACTTAAAATACTGAAACATTATTAAACATAAGTTTAAGTTTATACACTTTAGCTAGCATGTTTTTTTTTTTAATTTTTTTTTTTTTTTTTTGAGACGGAGTCTCCCTCTGTCACCCAGGCTGGAGTGTGGTGGTGCCATCTCAGCTCACTGCAAGCTCCACCTCCCGGGTTCACGCCATTCTCCTGCCTCAGCCTCCCTAGTAGCTGGGACTATAGGTGCCCGTCACCATGCCCAGCTAATTTTTTGTATTTTTAGTAGAGATGACGTTTCACCATGTTAGCCAGGATAGTCTCAATCTCCTGACCTCATGATCCACCCTCCTCAGCCTCCCAGAGTGCTGGGATTACAGGCGTGAGCCACTGTGCCCGTTTTGAGACAGAGTCTCACTCTATCACCCAGGCTGGAGTGCAGTGGCTCAATCTCGGCTCACTGCAAACTCCACCTCCTGGGTTCAAGCAATTCTCCCACCTCAGCTTCCTGAGTAGCTGGGATTACAGGCGTGCACCACCATGCCCGGCTAATTTTTGTATTTTTAGTAGAGACAGAATTTCACCATTTTGGTCAGGCTGGTCTTGAACTCCTGACCTCGTGATCTGCCCTCCTCCACCTCCCAAAGTGCTGGGATTACTGGCATGAGTGACCGCACCCAGCCTAACGTCTTATTTCTATAAGGTACAGAAAAGCTAAGTATATTTAGACATGCAAAAATTGAGTAAATGTCTTCCTAAAAATTTATGAAATAGTTTTTATTTACAAATACTGATACAGAACAGTTCAAAATTACTTTCTAAGTTTTTCATTGGAAATTAGGGCTACTAAAACTGTAGTTAATATATGTAATTAAAACTACTAGATATAGGCTGGGCACGGTGGCTCACTCCTGTAATCCCAGCACTTTGGGAGGCCAAGGCGGGCGGATCACGAGGTCAGGAGATCCAGACCATCCTGGCTAACACGGTGAAACCCCATCTCTACTAAAAATACAAAAAATTAGCCAGGTGTGGTAGGGGGCACCTGTGGTCCCAGCTACTCGGGAGGCTGAGGCAGGAGAATGGCGTGAACCCGGGAGGCGGAGCATGCAGTGAGCCGAGATCACACCACTGCACTCCAGCCTGGGCAACAGAGTGAGACTCCGTCTCAAAAAAAAAAATAAAAATAAAAAACTACTAGATATAAAAGAAACAATTGTATATACAGAGTATACAAAGAAGGATATGTTTTTGGTGAAGAAGTTTATAAAAAAAGATATGAGGTCTGGTGCAGTGGCTCAGGCCTGTAATCCCAGCACTTTGGGAGGTCGAGGCAGGTAGACACTTGAGGTCAGGAGTTTGAGACCAGCCTGGCTAACAGGGCAAAACCCTGTCTCTACTAAAAATACAAAAATTATCTGGGCGTGGTGTCACATGCCTGTAGTCCCAGCTACTCGGGAGGCTGAGGCAGGAGAATTGCTTGAACCCAGGCGGCGGAGGTTGCAGTGAGCTGAGGTCATGCCAGTACACTCCAGCATGGGTGACAGAGCCAGACTCCGTCTCAAAAAATAATAATAATAATAAAACATCAGGATGTGGTTTGTTTTTTTTGTTTGTTTGTTTGTTTTTTGTTTTTTGAGACAGAGTCTCGCTCTGTCACCATCTCGGCTCACTGCAAGCTCCACCTCCTGGGTTCACACCATTCTCCTGCCTTAGCCTCCTGAGTAGCTGGGACTACAGGTGCCTACCACCACACCCAGCTAATTTTTTTTGTTTTTTGTTTTTTTGGTTTTTTGTTTTTTTTAGTAGAGACGGGGTTTCACCATGTTAGCCAGGATGGTCTCGATCTCCTGACCTCGTGATCCACCTTGGCCTCCCAAAGTGTTGGGATTACAGGTGTGAGCCACCGCGCCCGGCCGGTTTGTTTTTTTCTTTTGTTTTGTTTTCTGGAGACAAAGTCTGACTCTGTCACCCAGGCTGGAGTGCAATGGTGTGATCATGGCTCACTGCAGCCTCAAATTTGTGGGCTCAAGTTATCCTCCTACCTTAGCCTCCCATGCAGCTAGGACTATAGGGGTGTGCCACCACGCCCAACTACCTTTAAGTTTTTTATTTTTATAGAGACAAGGTCTCACCATCTTGCCCAGTGTCATGTTGAACTCCTGGGCTCAAGCAGTCCTCCTGCCTCGGCCTCCCAAAGTACTGGGATTACAGGCATGAGCCACCACACTCAGTGGTTTTTGCTAAAGAAAAAATAATTTTCTCTAGTTTAGAGGTTATTTACAGGTTGTTTCAAAATGAAAGAAAAATCATGTAAGTCTAAAGGGATCTAAAAATTTGGGAAAAGGAAAAAAATAGAAAAAATTTGTAAGAAGTCATAAATGGGTTCTGGAAATCTTGTGTGGTCAAAAGCTGAGATTGGATGGATTAGTTTATAAGGTTGTATTAAAATTAGCTTTAGTATTGATAATGGATTAATATAAAAATAAAATTTGGTTTTCTCTTTTGAACAATAATTTCATGTATAATATTAATAACAGACAGCAAAATATTTTTGTTCACCTTTTGAGTAAACTCCAAAAAAATAGGGAGAGGAGAGACAGATTCTGTCTCATGCTGTCTTTCTTAGGTCTTTTAGTTGTTCAAAAAACTGAGTCTCCTCTCTATCATTATTTTTTATTATTTTAATTTATTTAGTTTTTCTTCTGCCTATTGAAGAGTAGAGGTTTTTGCTTTCTGAAATCTCTGAATTATCACTTTGGCTAAATGAATGACTATTATCTTACAGTGACCTGTCATCCTATGTTGATCGAGTGTTTTAAACCTTTCTTATTTTAATATCTGGTGTTTTAAACCTTTGATATTTGACACACTTCCCAAAATCACGTTTCAAATTCTAAAATTAAATCTTTTTGACCTGAACTAACTTGGACGTAACAGTTAGGGCCCCTGGTGGCCAGGCATGGTGGCTCATGCCTGTAATCCCAACACTTTGGGAGGCCAAGGTGGGCAGAACACTTGAGTCCAGGAGTTCAAGACCAGCCTGGACAACATGGTGAAACCCTGTCTCTGCAAAATATACAAAAATTAGCTTGGCATGGTGGCTCATGCCTGAGCCTGGGAGACAGATGTTGCAGTGAGCTGAGATCGTGCCACTGCACTGTAGCCTGGGTGACAGAGCAAGACCATGTCTCAAAAAAAAAAAAAAAAACACAACTTGCCACATTGTTTCCAGGCACAGTGGCTCATGCCTGAAATCCCAGCACTTTGGGAGGCCAAGGTGGGAGGATCACTCACAGAGTTCAAGATCAACGTGGATAATATAGCAAGACCCTGTCTCTACAAAAACATAAATTAATGAATTTTGAAAAACCAGGCCAGGCACAATGGCTCACACCTGTAATCCTAGCACTTTGGGAGGCCAAGGCAGGCAGAGTGCCTAAGCTCATGAGTTCAAGTCCATCCTGGGCAACACGGTGAAACCCCATCTCTACTAAAATACAAAAAATTAGCCGGGTGTGGCAGCATGCACCTGTAGTCCCAGCTACTCAGGAGGCTGAGGCAGGAGAATTGCTTGAACCCAGGAGGTGGAGATTGCAGTGAGCTGAGATTGCGCCACTGCACTCCAGCCTGTGTAACACAGCGAGACTCCGTCTCCAAAAAAAAAAAAAAAAAAAAAAAATTAGGGTCCCTGAAAGGCCAAGAGAGATATATTAGGCTAATTTGGTATGTTAAAATTATGTAGGAAACATTGTCAAATAAGAAATGGTGTCTAGGCCAGGCACGGTGGCTCATGCCTGTAATCCCAGCACTTTGGGAGGCCGAGGTAGGTGGCTCACCTGAGGTTAGGAGTTCGAGACCAGCCTGGCCAACATGGTGAAACCCCCATCTCTACTACAAATACAAAAATTAGCCAGTTGTGGTGACACATGCCTGTTTTAAGTTTCTTCATGATGTTTTTAGTTGGCTCATTAATGGAATAGGTTATTTTTTTTCCATTTTGGCATACAAATTGTCTGTCCTCTATCTCTCTGTCTCTCTTTTTTAAAAAAAGAAACAGGATGTTACTCTGTTGTTCAGGCTGGGGTGCAATGGCACAATCACAGCTCGCTACAGCCTTGACCTCCCAGACTCAAGTGATCCTCACATCTCAGCCTCCACAGTAGCTGAGACTACAGGTGTGTGCTACCATGCCCGGCTAGTGTGTGTGTGTGTGTGTGTGTGTGTGTGTGTGTGTGTGTGTTTGCGTTTGTGTGTGTGTATAGAGACAGAGTCTCATTATGTCGCCAAAGCTGGTCTCAAACTCCTCAAGCATTCCTCCTGGCTTGGCCTCTCAAAATGCTAGGATTACAGGTGTTAGCCACCACACACAGCCCAGATTCTCTTTTTGATTGTAATCTTTCTGCACATTATATTTCTACTATTCAAGTTATTGTTACATATCTCTCATTTTACTTCTTCTGAGAAAACAAAAATGGTATTTGTATTAGTCTGTTCTCACGCTGCTGATAAAGACATACCCAAGACTGGGCAATTTATAAAAGAAAGAGGTTTAATGGACATACAGTTCCACATGGCTGGGGAAGCCTCACAATCATGGTGGAAGGCAAGGAGGAGCCAGTCACGTCTTACGTGGATGGCAGCAGGCAAACAGGAGAGCTTATGCAGGGAAACTCGTTTTTATAAAACCATCAGATCTCATGAGACCCATTCACTATCACAAGAACAGCTCAGGAAAGACTTGCCTGCATAATTCAACCACCTCCCACCAGGTTCCTCCCACAACGGGAACTGTGGGAGTTACAATTCAAGATGAGATTTGGGTGGGGACACAGCTAAATGATATCATTCCACCCTGGCCCCTCCCAAATGTCATCCTCACATTTCAAAACCAATCATGCCTTCCCAACAGTCTTCCAACGTCTTAACTCATTTCAGCATTAACTCAAAAGTCCACAGTTCAATGTCTCATCTGAGACAAGGCAAGTCCCTTCTGCCTATGAGCCTGTAAAATGAAAAGCAAGTTAGTTACTTCCTAGATACAATGTGGGTACAGGCATTGAGTAAATACAGCCATTCCAAATGGGAGGAATTGGCAAAAACAAAGGGGCTACAGGCCCTGTGCAAGTCCAAAATCCAGCAGGGCAGTCAAATCTTAAAGCTCCAAAATTATCCCCTTTGACTCCATGTCTCACATCCAGGTCATGCTGATGCAAGAGATGTGTTCCCATGGTCTTGGGCAGCTCTGCCCCCAAGCTATTCCTTGGCCCCTTTCAGTCATGGCTGGAGCAGCCGGGACACAGGGCACCAAGTCCCTAGACTGCTCACAGTAGAGGGACCCTGGGCCCAGCCCACAAAACCATTCTGTCCTCCTAAACTTCTGGACCTGAGATGGAAGAGGCTGCTGCAAAGGTCTGTGACATGCCCTGGAGACATTTTCCTCATTGTCTTGGTGATTAACATTAGGCTCCATGTTATTAATGCAATTTTCTGCAGCCAGCTTGAATTTCTTCTCAGAAAATGGGATTTTCTTTTCTATCTCATTGTCAGGCTGCAAATTTCTCAAACTTTATGCTCTGTTTCCCTTTTAAAACTGAATGCCTTGGCTGGGCATGGTGACTCACCACTGTAATCCCAGCATTTGGGAGGCAAGGCAGGCAGATCACTTGAGGTCAGGAGTTCAAGACCAGCCTGGCCAACATGCCAAAACACCATCTCTACTAAAAATACAAAAATTAGCCAAGCATGGTGGTGTACATCTGTAATCCCAGCTACTCAGGAGGCTGAGGCAGGAGAACCTCTTGAACCCAGAAGGCAGATGTTGCAGTGAGCCAAGATCATGCCACTGCACTCCAGCCTGGGTGACTGACAGAGGGAGACTGTCTCAAAACAAAACAAAAAAACCTGAATGCCTTTAACAGCACCCAAATCAACTCTTGAATGCTTTGTTGCTTAGAAATTTCTTCTGCCAGATAACATAAATCATCTCTCTCAAGTTCAAAGTTCCACACATCTCTAGGGCAGGGGCAAAATGCTGCCAGTCTCTTTGCTAAAACATAACAAGAGTTACCTCACCTTTGCTCCAGTTCCCAAGAAATTCCTCATCTCCATCTGAGATGACTTCAGCCTGGATTTCATTGTCCATATCATTTTCAGCATTTTGGTCAAAGCCATTCAGTAAGTCTCTAGGAGGTTCCAAATTGTCCCACATTTTCCTGTCTTCTTCTGAACCCTCCAAACTGTTCCAACCTCTGCTGTTACCTGGTTCCAAAGTTGCTTCCACATTTTTGGGTATCTTTTCAGCAACTGGTACCAATTTACTGTATTAGTCTGTTCTCACACTGCTGATAAATACATACCCAACACTGGGCAATTTACAAAAGAAAAAGGTTTAATCGACATACAGTTCCACATGGCTGGAGAGGCCTCACAATCATGGTGGAAGGCAAGGAGGAGCAAGTCACATCTTACATGGATGGCAGCAGGCAAAAAGGAGAGCTTGAGCAGGCAAACTCCCATTTTTAAAACCATCGGATCTCACAAGACTCATTCACTATCACCAGAACAGCACAGGAAAGACTCACCCCCAGTCATTCAACCAGCTCCCACCAGGTTGCTCCCATGACGTGGGAACTGTGGGAGCTACAATTCAAGATGAGATTTGGGTGGGGACACAGCCAAACCATATCCGTATTCCAAAGACTAGAGATGATTCAACGAAGCTGGCAAATCTCCCTCCTCTGGAACCCTACTGGGCCCAGTCTGTTTTCTGTCGGCAATGCTCTGCGGCTAAAGCTATATATCAAGCACTCTCCCTGTGTGCCCAGGGACTCCTCCAGAAGAGGAGGGCATGTGAGGTTGTAAGGGTGGGTTTCACTGAGTGGAGTGTAGGAAAATAGCCTGTCGCCTGGCAAGAATGATGCCCTCTTGAGGCAAAACCACTATGATGAGCAGTGGTTGACTCCTGCATACCAAAGGGTCCTGCAGCAAGGTCTTTATACAATGCCTGTAGCATAGATAACCCCTCATAAGGATGCTTATCTAACCTCCCCATTGGTCACAAGTTTTGCAGGAAAGTCTGAGACATAACCAGCTGCACATGTTTTACCAAAAAAGCTTGCTACTTTTTGGAGGGCAGGTGCAGGGATCCATCATCTCAAAGCTGCCTAAGACATTGCTTCTGTTTCTAAGTCCCTGTTAAATGTTTTCTTCTGGGAAACTGGACTTATCAGCCTCTTTCTTTGACCTCTCATCTCTCTCTGCCTTTGGCGGTAGATTTGCATAGACCTGCTCCCTGCAAAACATACTTCTCACATGGCATAATGAGCAATCTGGGGCCATTTTTTGATGTTTGATAATTGTCAGTGTTTAAGTCTCACCCTCCCTCTTTCCTTTGTGCTCACATCTGGGGAAACTGGTAAGAAAGCCTGGGTGCTCCCTCTGGTGACACTGGAAGATTCGAACCACACAAGCCCCTGCCTGTATGTGGGAACCTCCCATCAGTCCCACCCCCAACCACAATAAAAACCCAGTCCAGCCTCCTTTCCTTGCTGTCTCAAGCCATTTTGGACCTGCCTGGGAAGCCTCGCTGCTGCCCTCAATTATGTATAAAATAAACCTTTTCACACCCCCCTTGGGGTGTATGTTTTTGTGTGACATCATCAGTCTCAAAATTGTGGGTGGGTCATCTGAGTCTGCAGGTAACCACACAGTCGGCACTGTCAGCAGATGTCTGGGTGATGACCACCCCACCCAGTGGTATGGCTTCCATTGCCTCAGCATATTCATTCACCAGCTCTCTGCTGGCTGGCCAGCATGTGCTCTGAGCTGTACTGCTTTGTGTGTCATTGTTGAGTCCAACAGAACCCTCCAAAAGAAGCTCCAGGGCCTGGGGGGAAAATAGGGCCTTTACTGGGCAAATTTCAGCTGGACCACTCGCCTAAGGCTTGAGGGTCAAGAACCACAGTCACCACCAGCCCCTGTTGTGTGTGGGGAGGGGTGGGGAGCACCGTGGCTCCCAGAGACCCCATGTGGCTTCTGTGTGCAGAGTTTTCTCTGCCCATGGGCTAAGGTCTGAGCAGTTCCAAATGTCAGAACATCAACTGTGGAGACTGCTCCCCTATGGAAATTTGATATAAGCAAATGATGGGTTAGGGATAAATGTCATATGTGGGTATTGGAATAACCAGCTAGCCATTTGGAAGATAAAATTAGATCCATTCTCCACACCATGTAGCAGAATAAACTGCAAATGGAACAGAGAGGTAAATGTAAAGAAACAAAACCAAACAAGTACTAGGTGAAAACATGAATAAATTATTCTAGAAACTGAGAGGGAAATTTTTACTACTACTAAAAATCAAGAAACAAAAGAGAAAATATCGATAAATTTAACCACATGAAATTTTTTTACATGACCAAAACCAACATAAAGTAAAAAAATGACAAACTGAGAAAAATATTTATAACATATTACAGCTAGCACATATAAAATAATATACAAAAGATTATTTTAAGATTAGACTTGTCAGGCCGGGGTGGTTCCTACCTGTAATCCCAGCACTTTGGGAGGCCAAAGTAGCAGGACCACTTGAGCCTAGGAGTTCAAGACCAGCCTGGGCCACATAGGGAAACCCTGTCTCCACACAAAATTTTTTTTTAATTAGCCTGGTGCGGTGGCACACTCCTGTGATCCCAACAACTTTGGAGGCTGAGGCAGGAAGATTGCTTGAGTCCAGGAGGTTAAGGATACAGTGAGCCATGATGGCACCACTGCACTCCAGCCTGGACAACAGAGCAAAACCCTGTCTAAAAAAGATTAGGGTATCATTTTCAACAAATGTTGAAACTACTGAGTAACAATATACCAACGAATGAACTCCAGTCCTTACCTCATACAATGTATAAAAATCGACTCAAAATGTATGATCAACTAAATGTATAAAATTTAGAAGAAGAAAACATAGGAGTTCGGGCACCGTGGTTCACGCCTGTAATCCCAGCACTTTGGGAGGCCGAGGCAGGTAGATCACAAGGTCAGGAGTTGAAGGCCAGCCTGACCAACATGGTGAAACCCCATCTCTACTAAAAATTAGCCAGGTGTGGTGGCACGCGCCTGTAGTCCCAGCTACTCAGAGGCTGAGGCAGGAGAATGGCTTGAACCCAGGAGGCACAGGTTGCAGTAAGCCAAGATCGCGCCGTTGCACTCCAGCCTGGGCAACAGTGCAAGACTCTGTCTAAAATAAAAAAAAAAGAAAGAAAGAAAAAAGAAAAAAAGGAAAAAAAAATAGGAGAAAACCTTACAGATCTTGACTTGGCAAGAATTAATTAATTTTATTATTATTAGTTTTTGTTTTATTGAGTGCTTGTGTGCTAAACACTAAGTGCCGGGGCTACATCAGTGAACAAGCAGCCTCCACCTCCAGGTTCAAGGGGTTCTCCTGCCTCAGCCTCCCGAGTAGCTGAGATTACAGGTATCCACCACCATGCCCAGCTACTTTTTGTGTTTTTAGTAGAGATGGGGTTTCGCCATGTTGGCCAGGCTGGTCTTGAACTCTTGACCTCAAGTGATCTTTCCGCCTTGGCCTCCCAAAGTGCTGGGATAACAGGCATTGGCCACCGCACCCAGGCTATTATTATTTTTTGAGACAGGGTCTCATTCTGTCACTCAGACTGGAGTGCAGTGGTGTGATCATGGCTCACTGCAACCTTGACTTCCTGGGTTCACTCCCACCTCAACCTCCCAAATAGCTGGGACTACCCGTATGTGCCACTATGCCCAGCTAACTTTTGTATTTTTTGTGGCCACGTTCCTCAGGCTGGTCTTGAACTCCTGGGCTTAAGCGATCTGCCCACCTTGGCCTCACAAAGGGCTGAGATGACAGGTGTGAGCCACTGTGCCCACCCAAGAATTTACTAAATAAGAAACAAAAAGTATGAACTTTGAAGGAAAGAAATCCATTAATTCCTTTATCAAAATTTAAAACTTTTGCTCCTCAAAATGAAATGAAATGAAAAGGTACAACTGTGAGAAAGTATTTGCAAAACATATATTTGCAACATAGGACCAGTATCCAATCCTATAAAGAACTCATAATAAGACAAATGACTATTTAAAATGGGCAAAAAATGTAAACAGCTGCTTCACCAAAGAATATATGTACACAGCAAACAAGCACATGAAAAGACCCTCAGCAACATTAAGCATTAAAGAAATGCAAATAAAAACCACAATGAGGCTGGGCACAGTGGTTCATGCCTGTAATCCCAGAACTTTGGGAGGCCAAGACAGATGGATCACTTGAAGTCAGGAGCCCGACACCAGCCTGGACAACACGGCAAAACCCTGTCTCTACTGAAAATACAAAACTTAGCCGGGCGTGGTGGTGCGCACCTGTAATCCCAGTTAGTTGGGGGGTGAGGCAGGAGAATCACTTGAACCCGGGAGGCAGAGGTTGCAGTGAGCCGAGATCACGCCAAGGCACTCCAGCCTGGGTGGCAGAGTGAGACCCCATCTCAAAAAAAGAAAAACACAATAAGATGCCACTGTACTTCCACCAGCATGGCTAATTTTGTACAAATTGACAATACCAAGGGTAGGCAAGTATATGGAGCAACTGGAGCTGCCACATACTGCTCGAGGGGGGGTCAAGTGGTGAAAAACACTTTAGAAAGAGGTTGACAGTTTCTTTAAAACAAAAGCAGGCCAGGCGCAGTGGCTCACACCTGTAATCCCAGCACTTTGTGGGGAAGAGGCAGGTGGATCACTTGAGGTCAGGAGTTCGAGACCAGCCTGGCCAACATGGTGAAACCCCATCTCTACTGAAACTACAAAAATTAGCCAGGCGTGGTGGTGCCTGCCTGTAATCCCAGCTACTCAGTTGGCTAAGGCAGAAGAATTGCTTGAACCCAGGAGGCAGATGTTGCAATGAGCCTGGATCACGCCACTGCACTCCTGCCTGGACAACAGAGTGAGAGTCCATCTCAAAGAAGACAGAGAGAAAAAAAAGAGAGAGGGAGGGAGGGAAAAAGAAAGAAAGAAAAAGGAAAGAAGAAAAAGAGAAAAAAGGAAGCATAGATACACACAAAAACTTACATACAAATGTCTGTAGCTAAAAAATGGAAACAACCCATGTCCAATATCTGGTGAATGGATTAAAAAGTTATCGTACATACATACAATGGAGTATTGCCCAACAATTTAAAGGAACAAACTATTGATATATGCAGCAAATGGCTAAATCTCGAAATAACTATGCTGAGTGAAAGAGGCCGGACCCACCCATACTCCAAAATAATGTATCTTCTATGATTATATAATATCATACAAACTACAAACTGAGTTAGAGTGACAGAAAGCAGACCCAGGGATGGGGGCGTTTGGGGCTGATGGACCTGTTTAGTATCTTAATTGTGGGGATAGTTTCACAGGCATCTACTTAGGTCAACATTTTCATCAAACTAAAAGTATGTTCAATTTATTGTCTGTGCAATTTATACCTCAATAAAGCAACAAAAATACAGCAGTAAGGACATAGCAGTCAAATATATTTTTAAAAATCAATTTATTATCAGCCTTATAGTATATTTCCCCATAAGAAATGTTTATTTCTCTTCTCTGAACAGAGTATTTCTAAATATCCTCAGTTGTACATATTAATTAGGTTGAGGATAAACTGAATGATAGTTAATGAAATCAGATCTGAGGATATGAATTTTAAATTGATTTTTAAGTTTACTCTTTATCACTTATCTGGTGTCAAATTGATTACCTGTAAGTTCTCACATTGCATCACAAAAACACCATCAGGGATTTTTGGCAATTTTTTTTTTTTGAGACGGAGTCTCGCTCTGTCACCCAGGCTGCAGTGCAGTGGCGCGATCTTGGCTCACTGCAAGATCCGCCTCCTGGGTTCACACCGTTCTCCTGCCTCAGCCTCCCAAGTAGCTGGGACTACAGGTGCCTGCCACCACGCCTGGCTAATTTTTTGTATTTTTTTTTTAGTAGAGATTGGGTTTCACCGTGTTAGCCAGGATGGTCTCGATCTCCTGACCTCGTGATCCGCCCACCTCAGCCTCCCAAAGTGCTGGGATTACAGGCATGAGCCACCGTGCCCAGCCTGATTTTTGGCAATTTTTAATGTTAAACATGGCACTTTACCCAGCTGAAAAAACACATTTTCCTAATCACCCTTGGAGCTAGAATTGGTCTTGTAACACACTTTAGACCAAAAATACATAAGTAAAAGTCACAGGGTGCAGTTCTGAAAGACATGGGGTTGGCTGAGCATACATTTGATTTTGTCTTTTGTTTTTTCTCTTTCTGCCTGGAATCTGGATGTGATTCTAGTGATGAAGCAGTCTTCTTGCAATCATGAGGCAAAAAAAAAAAAAAAAAATGAAAGCTGCTTATTAAGATGGCCAATGGAAAATAAAGGGGGAGCCTAGAGGCCTGGTGGCATTGTGTGGCCTTGGATGGGCTCCGTATTCCTAGAAAAATTGACTCATAAAAAAAACCACCTATTTGGTTCAGCCACTGTAATCAGCTTTCTGTTGTACAGTCAATGCCAATCTTAAGTGAGATAGTAACATAATATGTTAAATTGGTTAAAAAAAATGTGAACACAACCTCAAAAGAATAGTTTCCAGCATAGCACTTCTGGTCTCTCTCTCTCTTTCCATACACACACACACACACACACACACACACACACACACGTTTGTATGGTTTCTGGCTCATAACTGCCATAGCCCTTGTTACACTCGTTTGTTATAACATTGGATGCATTAGGCTTCAGAGAACAAAATCTCTCTGACCTCCTGCCCGCAGGACCCTAATCTTCCCCTACCTCTCTGATTGTGGGTCATAAGACCATCATTCCAGAGAGGGTCCCACCTCATAGCCTGGTGGAAAAAATATCGATGTCATGAAGCTTCCATGAAAACCCAAGAGGACTGGGTTTGTAGAGCTTCTGGAGAGCCGAACACATGGAAGTTCCTGGAGGGCTGTGTGCCCTGCAAGGGCACAGAGGCTCTGCACCCCTCTCCCCATGCCTTGCCCTACACATCTCTTTATTTGTATCCTCTGTAATATCCTTCATTATAAACTGGCAAACATAAGTAAGGGTTTCCCTGAGTTCCGTGAGCTGTTCTAGCAAATCAAACCCAAAGAGGGAGTCATGGAAACCCCAACTTGAAGGAAGTCAATCAGTTCTGGAGGCCCGGGCTATGACTCACGTCGGGGACTGGGGAGTCGTGAACTGACTTGAAGGAAGTCAATCAGTTCTGGAGGCCCAGGCTGTGACTCCTGTCGGGGATTGGGGAGTCGGGAACTGAGCCCTCATCCTGTGGGATCCGGCACTATCTCCAGGTAGACAGTGAAGGAGCTGAACTGGAGGACACCCAGTAGAATTGATGGCTTGCTGATGAGGAGAAATCCCCATATATTTTGGGGCTACATAAGTCTTCTGTGTTGTTAGTATGAGAGCAGAGGAAAAATAGGGTTTGAGAGTTTTTCTGAAACAATTTTCTGGTCTCCTAAGGTAGGTGTGGGTTTGAATCCCACTTGTGGCAGTGTGAGAGCAGAAAAAAAAACAGTTTGAGTTTTTCCAAAACAACTGGTGTCAAAACATGGCGAAACCCCATCTCTACTAAAAATACAAAAATTAGCTGGGCATGATGGCAGGCGCCTGTAATCCCAGCTACTCAGGAGGCTGAGGTAGGAGAATGGCTTGAACCCAGGAGGCAGAGGTTGCGGTGAGCCAAGATCATGCCATTGCACTCCAGCCTGGGCGACAACGAAACTCGGTCTCAAAAAAAGGATAAAAAATAAAAAAAGTAAACTGTATACTCATGAACGATACGTAAATTGTGTGTATATATATTATATATATCATATACGATTTGTTGCAGGGACTGTGCCTTACACCATTGTGGCACATAGTTAACAGTTCCTGTAAGGCTGTTGTCTTTGCATCTGATGCTGGAACAGGGCAGACAGTTGGGAAGGGAAGATGGATGTAAAGTGAGGAGAGACAAGTTGAGGTCTGTGACCTCAAGCTGGAGCCCAGGATGCGCTGAAACCCCTTTGTTGCCCTATAGGAGAAGCTGGAGCCTTTAGTCTTGGAGCTGAAGGAGCCAGAGGAAGAGGGGGCAGCTGCTGCCTCATGTCGCCCAGGTGAACCAGCAGACACAATGGCACCTGCCCAGACCTTCTGTAGTCCTCACCATCTCTGGACACACTCTGTAATTCCTACATTTATTCTGCGTATTGCCTACTGTCTCCATTCACATGTATGGTCCAGAAAGACATGGATTTGTTAGGCACTTGCTTGTTCACTGATGTAGCCCCGACACTTAGTGCTTAGCACACAAGCACTCAATAAACATTGTGCTGTTGAAGGAAAAAGAGTGACAGAGACACAGAAGGGACGTGCTAGAGAGGATGTCAGCTGCTAAATCTAAGTGAAGGGCACGGAGGTATTCATTGTATTATTCTTTCAACCTTTATGAATGTATCAACATTTGCAAAATAAAAAAGTTGTGGAGGAGGAAGAAAAACAAAAACCAGGATGCACTGAGGTCTGAGGTGAAGGTCCTAGGAGCATCAGTTCTCTGTTGGGATCAAGGTTGCTGGGACAGAGCTTGATCCCTGTCAACTGCTAAAACAATCCAGGACAATCCAATAGTAGAGCTGAATTTTGATTACCTTGGTCCTGAGCTTCACAGCCCTTTGGCAGAGGAAATCCTGTGACACTGAGGTGTAACCACAAGACTGGCCCAAACTGACCCTATTCTGTTGGTAACAGGAGGTATAGCAGAGCCAAAACTGAAAGTCATGTAACCCGGACATGCACAAAGGAGGAAAATCATAACTCGGAACCAACGTTTCCTCCCTGTGGAGCCAAGAAGACAGGGACATGACCGGAGCTTGAGGGGCGGAACGCTTTCAGAAGGGAAGGGTCCATTATCCTGGAAGATCTGGTGCTGAAACCTGCCATTCCACACCTTACCATAAATGGCCAAGTTTAAAGCCCTCCTATTGAAACCTGCCCGCCAGCACTTCTGTGTGCCAACCTGTCCTCCCTAACCCGTCGACTTTGACCTAAGCCCACATGTGGGAGCCACATTTGAGCCATGCCTCCGGTCTCCTTGGCCGTCGACCTTGAAATAATAAAGCCTTCTCTTTTCTCAAAAACTGGTGCCACCGTTTTGGCTTCTAGTGCGCCAGGCAACGGGCCCATTGCTCGAAACGCGCGTGGTGGATGGTAGCTCCGTGAAGTGCGAACCCCTGCCCGCAAGGGCTGCTAAGTTCGCTGAAGCGTAGCACAGACTTCGCGTCTGCCTGGTGCGCGGCAAGTACGGAATTATCGCCACATCCTCCCGGCCTCCGCTCCCAACAGCACGGGCCGGGCACTCGCTTCAAGCCTACCCCCTAACCTTAAGCCTTCCCCGCCGCCCCCACGCAGCCCCCAGCCCCGCCCTGTGGGGAAGCCTCTTGAGAGTCTGGGCCCGCCCACGCGCCCAATGGACGACGCGGACCTGACCTTCGGGAGTGGGGCCAGCAGAAGGTGGACTAGGCGTCAGCCTTCCCGTCCCCTGACACCGCTCCAAACCAGCCCCACCCTCCCTGCCGCGGCTGTCAGGTCCTGGGCTGTGCCCGAAGCCTCCACACGGGTGTGGCCCGCGCCCTCGTGAAGGCCCGCCCCTCTCCCCCAGGTGCGCGGTGTAAACACACCAAAAAGCAAACACCAGGGCCGAGTGGGCGACGGAGACGGTCGCTGTTCAGTGACGCCCCCTGTCGGGAGCACGCCGGGCCGGACACAGCGAAGAGCGGCTGCGCCTCGGACCTCGCAGCACTCAGCCTCCTAAGTGGGAGGAATAACCTCACGCAAGTCATCAAACAAGAGGACTTCAGTGTTGCAACGAAGGAAGAGAAAGGGCCCCTGAGAAGGCGACATTCGCACTGCAGCGGCGCAGGGACCAGCCAGGCGGCTGAGGGCAAGGTCGTTCCCAGCAGCGGGAACCGCAAGGGCAAAAGGCTCGGAGGGGGGAACGAGCTCGAGTTCCAGGACGGCCGAAGCCAGCGCAAGTCGAGGAGGGACTGCGGGGCCGGCAGGGGTGTCCTCCACAGGGCGACGGCGGCAGGAGCTCGGGAACCGGGACTGCGAGCGGGTAAGGCTCGGCGATGGGCTGTAACCTCCGCGCCCGGAAGTGCGGCCGGGGAGCCGGCCGGGCCCATTGCCCAGAGGTGTTCGGCCCCTCTAGGGATCGCGGAGGTCTGGCTCTCGGTGGCTCCTGAGAGCTCCCTGCAGTCGGTCACCGAGAAAGGCTTCGGGCGGGCAGGCGGGCCAAATGACGTAAACATGCTTGCCCTCCAGGATTGGCGAACTCGGCTGTGGGGGCGGGAACTGAGGGGCAGGAGCCCCCAGGGATTGGCGGCTGCGCAGACGGGGCGGGGCAGCCCTTTGTCTGAAGGTGCTGCGGGATGCCGTTCCTTCGCGCGTGAGGCTGCGGCTCTGACGGTGAGTGGGGGGCGCGTGTCGTCGCCGGCCAGGACCCTCTCCCATCACGGACACCGGAGCCGGTGCGTCCTCCACACGAATCGTGGACTCTTCCCCGCGAGCACGCACTGCCTCCTGCGTTTACGCTGGTCCCCTCCCCTCACGGACGCGCGGCGGCCTCCTCCCCAGGGCCAAGGCCGCGCCCTCTCCCCCGTTCGGGGTTCCCACCCTTCCCCTCGCCCGGCCTTGGACCCCCTCAGGCCCTCCCGCACCCCCGTCCGCCTCGGACGGCCTCGGTCCCTTCCCCGCCCCTACCCCCTTGGGCCCCGTCAGACCGGCGTCCCTCCCACCTTGGATCTCCTCAGATCTCCGGCCTTCCTCCCCCTCGTGCCCTCCCGCGCGCTTTCTACCGGGCGCCGTGCCTAGGGCCAGGATGGCCGGAGTCCTAGGGGCGCAGTCCGGACCCCCGGGCCGCTCTTCTTGCCGCGCTCCTCGGGGTCTCGCGTCCCCTGGGATGGGCCCGGAAAGGGGTGGGGAGCTTCCCCAAAATATAAAAATGGAGGTTTTTTCTGTTTGATGCACATCCTGAGGAGCCCCATGAAGACCCCGGCGGCGCACCGGGAGCGCCACTTTACTTAGCTATAAAAAGTCTTCCCGCGTCAAGACGAAAACGAGCTGCTTTCGTTTCAGCAGTTGGTCGAGTGTGCTACTTGCCGGGTGTCTTATCCTCTCCCCATTTTGCTGTCGATGCTGTCTTTTCTGTTACTGTGTTAGAGCCCTATTTTAATGAATGAGCCCAACTCTTTGCAACACAGCAAATATTTTCCTTGTTGTTTATTGGCTTAATTTTAAAATTGAAAATAATATGCAATACTTCTTCTAATGCAGGCATGTCAGAAATATATAAAAGTCATCCCCCCCGACACTCTGCCAGTGTATGAAGAGGCAGGAGCTGTGAACAGTTTCAGAATTTTTGAATGCCGTTAGAGCTTTAGGCACGCACGCACACCCTTTTTTCTGTCATCAAAGGGAAGCTGGTGTCGTTTGACTAACACCAGGGGCGGCAGGGGGCGCTCCACTCGTCCTCCGCCGGGTGGGTACTCGCAGATTTTTCAGTTCGTAACTTGTCTTCTGGACATAGGTTTCTCTGTCCGGTGGTCTCTACGAAGTGGGTAAGGGTGGGAGATTGCCATTGACATTCCCGCCCTGGACGGGACTCTGGTCCTGTGGGCTTTGACAGGTCACTGCATTCCTGCCAGGTCGACGTTTTGCGTTTATTGGTGAGATTGAAATCCCTTCATTTGTGTTTTCGCCATTTGTATTTCTTTGTGATTTGCCAGCTCATATTTTTTTCCATGTATGTTGAAAACATGCTTCTCAATTTGTCTTTTGACTCTGATTATGGTGTTTGATTCTGGTTTGGGCTTTTTCAAAATAGAAAATTTAAAATTTTTAGGAGTCAAATATTTTGCCTTAAGGCATTTTGGGCTTTGTGCTGTGTTTTAAAGGGCTTTCCCCACTCCAAGATTATTTTTAAAATAAACTCTTGTTTTTCTGTGGTACTTGTAAAATGTTGGATACGTCTGGAATTTATTTTATTGTGGGGTGAGTTTGGAATACAGCTTTTGGAATTCCTTTTTTCCTCTAAATCATAGCCATTTCTAACACCATTGATCTTCCCATTGATTTGAAAAACCGCTTTTGTCATATACTAAATTGTTGCATGCCTTTAGGTCCATTTTTGGAGTTTGGTAGCTTTGATGTGCATATGATTTTGATTTATAAGCTGCAGATCTGTGGAGCTCTGCTTTTTGCTTTTGGTATTTTGCTTAGAACAGCCCTTCCCACATGAAATAATAAAAATATACCTGTATTTTTATTAAAGTTCTTTTTTATTGAATATAATAATTATACACATTTATGGGATACATGTGATATTTTGATACAAGGATAGCATACAATGTATAATGATCAAATCAGGGTAATTAGGATGTCTGTCACCTCAAACATCATTTTTTGTGTTGGAAACATTTCACATCTCTTCTTCTGGTTGTTTTGAAATATACAATAAATTATTAACTGTAGTCATCTTACCGTGGTATCAAACACTGGAACTTATTCATTATATCTGACTGTATGTTTGTAGTCATTAACCCACTTCTATTCATCTCATACCTCCCCCCAACCCCACCCTTCCCATCCTCTGGTAATCATCATTCTACCCTCTACCTCCATGGGACCAACTTTTTTAACTCACACATACGAGTGAAAACATGCAATATTTGTCTTTCTGTACCTGGCTTATTTCAATTAACATAATGACCTCCAGTTCCATCCCTGTTGCTGCAAATGACATAATTTCCTTATTTTTATAGTTGAATCATATTCCATTGTGTACATATACCACATTTTCTGTATCCATTTATTTGATGTACATTTCGGTTGATTCCATATCTTAGCTATTGTGAATAGTGCTGCAGTCAACATGTATGTTCAGATATCTTTTTGATATACTGACTTCCTTTCTTTTGGGTATATAACAAGCAGTGGAATTGCTGGGTCATATGGTGGATCTATTTTTAGTTTTTTTCATATGCTTGTTGGCCATACATATTGTCTTTTTTTGATAAATTACTCAGATCATTTACCTGTTTTTAAATCGGATTAGTTGTCTCTTTCTATTGAATTGTTTGACTCCCTTCTGCATTCTGGTTATTAATCCCTTATCGGATGGATAGCTTGTAAATATTTTCTTCCATTCTGTATGTTGTTTCTTCACTCTGCTGATTGTTTCCTTTCCTGTACAGAAGCTTTTTAGTTGATGTAATTCCATTTGTCTAGTTTGCTTTTGTTCCTGTGCTTTTGAGGTCTTACCCAAAAAATGTTTTCCCACATGAGTGTCCTCAAGTGTTTCCTTGATGTTTTACAGTTTTCTTTATAGGGACTCTGCATTTCTAAGGTTTAATCTTGTTTCTTGTTGCTATTTGTTGAATAGATTTTTTTCCATTCATATTTTCTGATTAGGTGTTACTGGTATATAAGAAAGCTATCAGTTTGGTTGTTTTTTTGTTTTGTTTTGTTTTGTTTTGTTTTGTTTGTTTGTTTATTTGCTTTTTTTCTTTTGAGATGGAGTCTCACTCTGTTGCCCAGGCTGGAGTGCAATGGCGCGATCTTGGCTCACTGCAAACTCCACCTCCCAGGTTCAAGCAATTCTCATGCCTCAGCCTTGGGAGGAGCTGGAATTACAGGCACGTGCCACCACACCCAGCTAATTTTTGTATTTTTAGAAGAGACGGGGTTTCACCATGTCACCCAGGCTGGTCTTGAACTCCTGACTGTTGGGATCAGGCCCCCCCAAAATCTGGCTATAAACTGGCCCCAAAACCGGCCATAAACAAAATCTCTGTAGCACCGTGAAATGTTCATGATGGCCATAATGCCCACGCTGGAAGGTTGTGGTTGTGGGTTTACCGGAATGAGGGCAAGGAACACCTGGCCGGCCCAGGGTGGAAAACCCCTTAAAGGCATTCTTAAGCCACAAACAATAGCATGAGCGATCTGTGCCTTAAGGACATGCTCCTGCTACAGTTAACTAGCCCAACCTATTCCTTTAATTCGGCCCATCCCTTCGTTTCCCATAAGGGATACTTTTAGTTAAATTAATATCTATAGAAACAATGCTAATGACTGGCTTGCTGTTAATAAATACGTGGGTAAATCTCTGTTCAGGGCTCTCAGCTCTGAAGGCTGTGAGACCCCTGATTTCCCACTTCACACCTCTATATTTCTGTGTGTGTGTCTTTAATTCCTCTAGCGCCGCTGGGTTAGGGTCTCCCCGACCGAGCTGGTCTCAGCACCTGACCTCAGGTGATCCACCCACCTTGGCCTCCCAAAGTGCTGGGATTACAGGCATGAGCCACTGTGCCCGACCAGAAAGCTATCAATTTGGATACATATTTCTGATCATTAATTCTGGAAAGGTTGCAGGTTAGGGTTAGTTTAGGTTAGTTAGGGTTAGTTTAGATTAGGTCAAGTTTAGCAGTGTTTCGCCTTGTGCTCACAAGTGGCTCAGAAGCTGCCTCTCTTGAAAGTGCTTTCACCCTAGCGGGTAGGGGCTCCTTGGTGATGAAGAGGGAGCAGTGCTTGTTAGCAGAAAGTCCAGGGAGTGAGGATGATGAGGAGCAGGAGAAGGCAGTGGCCCTGGAGGAGATCCTGGAAGCTCATCCCAGATCAGGAGACTCCAAATGTGCCTGTCCCAGTGTGTGACCATGTGCAGGGTCCTCTGGAATGACAGGCACACTGCTTTGTCACATCAAGACAGTCAGGAATTCCAAAAAGAGTGATAGGAATGTCTCACTGCGATGTGGCTTTTGATCACCTAAAGAAAACTGGAAAGCCAGTTGCTGCTAATAACGTTGATCTATTGTTTTTGTTTTGGATTATTCCTTAGGGAAATTTTCAAGATTGAAATTCCTGAGTTTGAAAAATTAGCTCCTTATGCTGCCACCTTTGTAACCAGTGGGTGGGAGGGATCATTGCTCAGCCAGTGCCCTGAGTGGGTGTTCTTTATATTGCCCATTTGTTAGCTGTTGGCATGGCCTCAAGAGGGGGCTCCTCAAACTCCACTTCCAGTATTCTGTGGCGGTGATCTCCAGCCTGTCCCAGCCCCTGGCCCTGGAGCCTGGCATCTATAGAGGACTCGTCATTAGCCTGTCTTAATTTTTTAAAACTGTCCACATCATCCTCCTTCCCTGCCTGAACTGTGTTCTCATGGAGCAAAGCTTGGAGTTGGACGTCAGAATCCCGTGAAGTGTGGATGGAGTGTGTTGTTAAAAGCCAGTTTCTGGCACCCCCGATAGCTCTTACATTTTCCTGTCTTGAGTATGCAAGGTTTAGGTTGAGGTCCATGGTGTTTGCCTGGCCTGGTATCCTGTTACAGGCTCGTTCCAGGAAACTGAAACCTTTATCTGCCATAGTGTAAGTAAGGAAAAAATTTAAACTAGTTAATACCACTTTTAAAATGTATTTTGTTCATATTTTTTTTTAATTTTTATTTATTTATTTAT
The DNA here is from genome assembly GCF_000001405.40 of Homo sapiens. NCBI lineage: Eukaryota > Metazoa > Chordata > Mammalia > Primates > Hominidae > Homo > Homo sapiens. Next base: position 144,896,353 of record NC_000008.11, on the reverse strand, counting down.
TTATTTTGAGACAGGGATTCATTCTGTTGCCCAGGGTGGAGTGTAGTGGTGCAGTTACAGCTTACTGCAGCCTTGACCTCCTGGGCTCAAGCAATCTTCCCATCTCAGCCTCCAGAGTACCTAGGTCTACAAACCAGCTAATTTTTTAAATTTTTTTATAGAGACGGGGTCTCACTATATTGTCCAGGGTGTTCTTGAACTCCTGAACTCAAGCAATTCTCCCACCTTGGCCTCCCAAAGTACTGGGATTATAGGTGTGAGTCACCATGCCCAGCCATTTTTGTTCATTTATTACCAGAATACAATCAGACTTTGTGATAGGATTTTTTTTTTTTTTTTTTTTTTGAGACAGAGTCTTGCTCTGTTATGCAGGCTGGAGTGCAGTGGCACAATCTTGGCTCACTGCAACCTCTGTCTCCCAGGTTCAAGCTATTTTCTTGCCTCAGCCTCCTGAGTAGCTGGGATTACAGGTGCCTGCCACCATGCCTGACTAACTTTTTGTATTTTTAGTAGAGACGGGGTTTCACTATGTTGGCCAGGCTGGTCTCGAACTCCTGACCTTTTGATCCGCCCGCCTCGGCCTCCCAAAGTGCTGGGATTACAGGTATGAGCCACTGCGCCTGGCCGATTTTTTTTTTAATTAGCAATATGTGATGGTCATCTTTCAATAGAGACCTGATACTGCATTTTGTGTGATGCTTTTCTAAGACTCACCCCAGGTGGCAGTCTTTCCCTTTCACTTCTCCTTGCCACACACTTGTTGACAGCCTGGTATTGTCCTTTGGAGTATTTCCTCTGTGTGTTAATCAAATAGATAATAACACCTTATCCAGCAGCATCCTCCTCTGAGCCAAGCCTGTTCTTAGCGCTCTCCTCTCACCAACCACATGATCTCCAGGCCTTCAGAGGAGTGTGTCATCTGGATTTATAGGTGGGGCCTCAATGCAGCTGGCCCAAGTGAGGCAGGTGAACCAGTCCCAGGTCCTTGTGACACACATACCCTTCATGGGCTCGGGGTCATAGTTTACAAAATGAGATTTTCCCCTGCATGCTGGCCCCATGCTGCATTTTCACTCACCCATCTGGTGACCTGACACAACATACATCTTTCTCTTTAGCAGGTGTGTAACTTGTATGTGGAAGGACCAACGTAGCATTTGCCTCAGCAACATCCTTGAATCTGCACCCTCACCCACATCCATTCTTATCAGGTACCCACTATCCAAGGGCCAGTCTGATTTGCCTAAATACTGCTAGGTCGCCTTCTTAAGAGTATGAGAAACTCCACTTTCCCATGCCTGCCAGTTTAAAGTGTTGACTCCGTACTTGGCTATTACAGATGGCATAAAGTGTGAGCTCATTCCTCTTCATTCATTTATTCAACAAACAGGCCGGGTGTGGTGTTCTCAGGCCTGTAATCTTGACACTTTCGGAGGCCAAGGAGGGAGGATCCCTTGAGCCTAGGAGTTCAAGACCAGTCTGGGCAACACAGCAAGACCTCGTCTCTACCAAAAAAAAAAAATTAAGAAATTATCCAGGCATGGTGGTGCAACCTGTATTCCTAGCTACTTGGGATGCTGAAGTGGGAGGATCACCTGAGCCCAGGAGTTGGAGGCTGCATTGAGCTGTGATTGAGCCACTGTACTCCAGCCTGGACTACAAAGTGAGACCCCGTCTCTAAGAAATTAATTAAAAGTTTAAAAAAGTACATTGCCTGGCAATTTGTAATCATTAGCCTAGAAGTAATTAAAAAAAAAAAAAAAAGGTCGACCACTGATTACTCTGTTGGGCCTGCTTCTTGGTCTGCTGGTGCAGGAGAAAGGGATAGGATGAGAGCTGGGTGAGGCCAGGGCTGCTGCGGTGGGTGGGGCAGAGGTCTCTAAGAGTTGGATGGGGAGCACAGGCCAAGGGATAAAGGGCTGCAGGGCTCTGAGGAAAATCACAAAGTTTGGGGCATGCCCATAGGAGCCAGTGGGGTCCTGGGAGGACCTTGGAGCAGAGGACAGTCACTGTGTTCTCACAGGAAGGTAGATGGAGGGGCTGGGCAGACAGACGGTGCTGGGAGTCTGTCTGCCCAGATGGGAGCTGCCGAACATCTAGGGGTGGTTGTCATGGGGCAGGGAGGGCGAGATGGGCAACATGGTCAGGTTCTGGATGTGCTTGGAAGGTGAATAGAAGTGTGGGAGTGAAGAAGGAAGGAGGCTGATGCACAGGCTCACAGACCAAGCTGGGGGTAGAAATGATGGTAGAGGGGGTGCTTGGTTTGGGATGTTAAATGTCTGAGATGCTATGAGACACCCATATTGAAAGGTTGAGTCAGAGGGAAGGGGGATCACGAGCTCAAGTGTACCAAAAGAGCTACTGGGCTCAACTGACTTTTCAGACTCACAGGACAACCATGCCTAGCAGCAGCTTCTCGGAAAAGCTGGCCAGCATCATCCAGCAGCCATCCAGGGAGTACTGAGGTGCATAAACACAAGATGCAGGTAGGAGGAGGAGTTAGCCTAGTCGAAAGCCTCGTGGTCATACAAGCCAGCACCTCCTGTGTCAAGAGAACTGGCTGCAAGACCTGCTAGGGAGGCCCTGAATGTACTTCCTGTGGTTGTTCATCATTGAGTCACAGCCCAGGTGTGATTGGTCCGTAGAGAGAATGACCATCCACCTCTGCCAGGTTTCCAGGGGACCAGAGCTGTGCATTCACCCAAGGTCAAATTCGCATGCAGGGCTAGGCGCAGTGACTCAAGCCTGTAATTCCAGCACTCTAGGAGGCCAAGAGGGGCATATCACTTGAGCTCAGGGGTTCGAGACCAGCCTGGGCAACATGGTGAAACCCCGTACCTACAAAAAGTACAAAAATTAGCCGGGCATGGAGGCAGGTGTCTGTAGTCCCAGCTACTCAGGAGGCTAAGGTAGGAGGATCGCTTGAGCCTGGGAGACGGAGGTTGCAGTGAGCCTAGATCATGCCACTGCACTCCAGCCTGGGTGACAGAGCGAGATTCTGTTTCAAAATAAAGAAATGGCAGATCTGTGCGCTGGTGGGTGACCCATGGAAAGGGTCAGGGTGTGGCAGGAGAGAAGGCACTTCTGCCCTTGAGGGTAGGCAGATGTCAGACAGGGGGACCAGGAGCACATGAGGCCACTGTTAATGCTCACACTTGGTCTTCATCTTAATCCAAAATTGGTTATTGTTGGGCTGGGCGTGGTGGCTCATGCCTGTAATCCCAGCACTTTGGGAGGCCAAGGCGGGTGGATCACCTGAGGTCGGGAGTTCGAGACCAGCCTGACCAAGATGGTGAAAACCCATCTCTACTAAAAATATTTAAAAAATTAGCCGAGCGTGCTGGTGGGTGCTTGTAATCCCAGCTACTCGGGAGGCTGAGGCAGGAGAATTGCTTGAACCTGGGAGGCAGGGGTTGCGGTGAGCCAAGATCACCCCATTGCATCCCAGCCTGGGTGACAGAGCAAGACTTCGTCTCAAAAAAAAAAAAAAATTGGTGGCTGGACACGGTGGCTCACGCCTGTAATCCCAGCACTTTGGGAGGCCAAGGCGGGCGGATCACCTGAGGTCGGGAGTTCAAGACCAGCCTGACCAACATGGAGAAACCCTGTCCCTACTAAAAATACAAAAAAAATTAGCTGGGCATGGTGGCGCATGCCTGTAATCCCAGCTACTTGGGAGGCTGAGACAGGAGAATCACTTGAACCCAGGAGGTGGAGGTTGCGGTGAGCCGAGATCTCGCCGTTGCATTCCAGCCTGGGCAACAAGAGTGAAACTCTGTCTCAAAAAAAAAAACAAACAAAAAAATTGGTTATTGATGTATCCCATCTGGGTACACACAAGTTACTAAAGGAACCACTGATTTCCTGCTGAACTAAAATGTAACATTTTTGTTATCTTCCAATTTCCCACATACCTGTCTGGCTTCATCTGTTCCTCTGTCAACAACTTGTTGGTTTAATTGCAGCGGCTTCCTACCCACCCTTGGCTCTGATTCCTGGCAAGGCAGTCCCCACCCTCTGTTCTTTCCAGTTAAATTCTTGGCTATTCTCTAGCATCCATTCTTCTTATGAATTCTCAAGTAGTTGTAGTCATTCCTTTAAAAGACTTCTGTTGGAATTCTAATTAGAGTTGCATTGCGCTAACACAGAAGTGTGCTCACACACACATTTGGAGGGAATGGGCATTTTTGGAGAACAGCAGCACGGGGGAGGGTTGAAAGTCAGTCTCTCTCCAACTGTGTTTCCCTGTCCTGTTCTTCAGAGGCAGGCAGTTAGTTTATTGTGTATCTTCCTGAAAGTTGTCTGTGCAAATATATACATGTATCTGATGTGTGTTTTTTTTGTTTTGTTTTGAGACAGAGTCTCAGCTGAGATGATCTCAGCTCACTGCAACCTCCACATCCTGGGTTCAAGTGATTCTCCTGCCTTAGCCTCCTGAGTAGTTGGGATTACAGGCACCCGCCACCACACCCAGCTGATTTTTGTTTTTGTTTTTGTTTTGAGATGGAGTTTTGCTCTTGGTTGCCCAGGCTGGAGTGCAATGGCATGATCTCGGCTCATCGCATCCTCCACCTCCTGAGTTCAAGCAATTCTCTTGCCTCAGCCTCCTGAGTAGCTGGGACTACAGGCGTGCACCACCACACCCGGCTAATTTTGTGTTTTTAGTAGAGACGGGGTTTCCCCATGTTGGTCATGGCTGGTCTCGAACTCCCAACCTCGGGTGATCCGCCTGCCTCGGCCTCCCAAAGTGCTGGGATTACAGGCATAAGCCACTGCACCCGGCCTGATTTTTGTATTTTTAGTAGAGACGGGGTTTCACCATGTTGGCCAGGCTGGTCTCAAACTCCTGACCTCCGGTGATGTGCCTGCCTCACCCTCCCAAAGTGCTGAGATTACAGGTATGAGCCACCGCGCCCACCTATATCTGATGTTTTATAGACACTGAGATTATGATGTCCCTTGACTTCTGCCCCCAGCCCTGACACCTATTTTGTCACTCTTAAAGCACCCTGTTTGTTGTGGTGCCCATCTGAGCCAAGCATGTGAGGGGATTGGTTGCTTTGTTATACCACGTTTTTCTGGAGTGATCTACCACCTTTGGTCACCTGGTTGGTTTCTGTATCCCTGTCACAGTATCTTCTTTTTGATGCTCCAGAAGACTGCGAACCCTATCCTGTACAGGACCAAATGTGTCAGGAAAGCTCTTGCCCCGCTCCCCCTTTTTCCCAGCTGTTTGGGTGTGTGTCAGATACCTTTGCTTACCTTGTCCTGTTACGTTCCAGCACCAGCCCCACTACCCCAAGCATCCCCTTCTCACTTGATGACAAGTCTTCCTTCAGCTGCTCAGACCAGATCCCTAGGCCACTGTTGACTCAGTTTGTCCAGAACTGACCACTTCCATGCCTCCCCTTCAAATACCTGGTTGAACCTGGTGCCACATTGGGGCACTAGGGCTGCCTAAGGGTGGGGTGAGGGGAGTCTTATTGTCACCCTGGTGGCCAAGGCTTTCTTAATTGGGAGGGTGTTTGGGGAAGCAGCTTGGCCTGATGCCTGTATCCCCCACATGACTTGCGGACAGTCTGGTACTTGTGTGAGGGCCTCAGGTATAGAACACACAGAGCCTTGGTGAGCTGGTATCCTTGTGTATGGCAGGACCATGGGCCGGGACCAGGGTGCAGCAAGTGCCTTGCACCTGGTGTTCAGAGAGCCCAGTACTAGCTGGGCAGGCCCAGGAACTGTGTGTTCAGGGCCTGGACAGGCTCCTGAACCATAGGGTCAGAGTTCATGGGGGAGGCAAGGCAGACCAAGGCTGCAACAGTAGCAGCTCCTTGCACCTGACCTCAGTGTGCCCCTCAGTGACTCTGAATGAGGCCCAGGGATCCCCTGAGGGCCCCCTAGGAAGTTACGGTCTCAAGGCCATGCCCCTCACTTGCCCCCTCCTCTTCCTCAGCCCCATAGGCTCCTTCAATTTCCGTGATCCTCGGAGTCCCCAGGAGACCAGGTGATGGCAGCAGCCAGACTCCTGCCAGTGCCGGCAGGACCCCAGGTAAGCTGTCCCCAGTGCTTATGCAGTGCCCCCAGCCCGAGCCCTGTGGTTCCTTCCGTGCCCCGTAGAGCTCCTAAGAGCAGCCAGAGCGTCACCACATGCCCTGAACTCCGCGGCCCCTTCCCATCACCCACCTCAGCTCACAGAGCCCCCCACTGCCAACTGCTCATGTCACATGTCACATGCACCCACTCCCCATCACAGACATCAGGATTTGGTTTTACCTGCAGCAGCCCCTGTCGTTCCAGGCCAAGCTGACCTTCGAGGATGTGGCTGTGCTCCTCTCCCAGGATGAATGGGACCGCCTGTGCCCTGCTCAGAGGGGTCTCTACAGAAATGTGATGATGGAAACCTATGGGAATGTAGTCTCATTGGGTAAGCCACCTTAGCAGGCCTCGTCTATGTATCTGCGTATTGGACTGGGGTGGGGGCTTCTCAGGGTACGGGGCCTGGGACAGGCTGGTCCTGGAGGTTTGCTCTCATCACCTCTCTGGGTGCTCAGCTCCAGCAGAAGATCAGTCCTGTCCATTTTCATGTCCCCACAAGTGGCTTGGGCAGGGGGAGGGGGCTCTGTAAATGTTGTGTAAACAAAGACTTCCCTCCCCACGAGCAGGACTTCCAGGATCCAAGCCTGACATAATCTCCCAGCTGGAGCGAGGGGAAGATCCCTGGGTCCTGGACAGGAAGGGGGCTAAGAAGAGCCAGGGCCTGTGGAGTGACTACTCAGGTGAGTGAGGAGAGCTGGCCCCTCCCTCACTGAGGGCTAAACAGGTCCTGAGCAAAGCTGTGGACCTAGTTCATACTGTGCCGCTCACTGGAGTGGCTTCCACCTGGAGTAAAACCTTATCTGGCCTTATCTGGCAAAGGAGTCTATAGACTGGGGGTTGCTGAATCAGGTGGCAGCCCATGGCTGGAAGTGAGCATAGCAGTGAATTTCAACAAGCTGATGTGCAGAGCCATGTAGAGGAAGTTAGGGCATGGCTGCAGTGATTCTGTCCCTGACCAGAGGGACTGGTTAGCCAGATTTGGTCCTAATAGGACATTCAGGTTTTGAGAGTTACCTGATGATTTAGAAAATAACAAAGCATCCTAAATGTGGAAAGGAAGTGTCTCAACCTGACACTTAAGGTGAAGTGCTGAAAGCACACTGTTTCATCTCAGAACAAGACAAAGAAGCCCGCCATCCCCATGTCCATATAATGTTGTACTGGGTATCCCATGTACAAAATAAGGCAAAACCGGCCAGGCGTGGTGGCTCAAGCCTGTAATACCAGCACTTTGGGAGACTGAGGCGGGTGGATCACGAGGTCAGGAGATCAAGACCATCCTGGCTAACACGGTGAAACCCTGTCTCTACTAAAAATACAAAAAATTAGCCGGGCATGGTGGCATGCACCTGTAGTCCCAGCTACTCGGGAGGCTGAGGCCTGTAGTCCCAGCTACTCCCAGATTCATGGCGTGAACCCGGGAGGCAGAGGTTGCAGTGAGCTGAGATCGCTCCACTGCACTCCAGCCTGGGGGACAGAGCATGAGACTCTGTCTCAAAAAAATAAAAATAAAAATAAGGCAAAACCAAAGCTATAAGAATTAGAAAGAAAAAAGCATTGTTTGCAGTTTATGTGATTGTCAACCTGGAAAATGATTGATTAAAATTCACAAGGGAAATTACCAGTTTTGCTGGATACAATTTTTTTTTTTTTTTTTTTTTTTTTGAGACAGTCTTGCTCTGTCGCCCAGGCTGGAATGCAGTGGCATGAGTCTCGGGTCACTGCAAGCTCCGCCGTCTGGGTTCAAGCAATTCTTACGCCTCAGCTTCTCGAATAGCTGGGATTACAGGTCCATGCCCCTATACCCAGCTAATTTTTGTATTTTTAGTAGAGACAGGATTTCACCATGTTGGCCAGGCTAGTCTCGAACTCCTGACCTGAAGTGATCCACCTGCCTCAGCCTCCCAAAGTGCTGGTATTACAGGCATGAGCCACTGCACCTGGCCAGAAATGTTTTATTTATATTTGTCAGCAACCAGCAAAGGTGTAATATTTTAAAAGATAACATTTATAATAGCATCAGGAATATAAAGCATCCAAGAATTAATCTAACAAAAGATGTACAAGACCTTTAGATGGAGAAAATTATAAAAAGAAAGATGGTGCATAGATCCAACCCTGAAGTTCATGTTTGCGGTTGCTTAAGGCAAAGAACCTCTGACTTCAGTAAGGTGACGTCTGAGTCTTAGGAAAACCTCAGTCAGCCTGTCCTGCCATAATGTGCCCCACTTGGGGAGAGTAGGGACAGTTTGGGCAACACCTCCATTGGCTGATCAGCTTCAGCATTTCAGATGTGGTGGTTTTCCCCTTGAAAGCTCCTCCTTATTTCTAAAGTAGCTTTATGTGGATAGGGCACCAGGTATTACAGTCTACCTCTTACTGGCCTGCAAAATCAGATATCCTCAGAGGAACAAGGTACATGCCAGCCTTAGAGGAATTTAATTTTCCAGTGACTATACAAGAAGACACATCATCATGTCTTGGAAATCTTGCATAGAACTTCTGCTTACTGACTGCAGCTGTAGGAGACAAGAAAACACAGGAGGGCATTTTGCTGCCACTGCCAAACCAGTCCTGGGCTCCCTTGTGTCCAGCTATGTACTCGCCTGATGGAGAGCTTAAACTGCCTTTGAGCGCCCTTTGATTTGACACCACAGAGACTGTGAAATTCTCTGGGAGCATGGCTGGTTGGAGATGAGAAGTTTTTTCATGGAAGCACCTGGTCCCCTCACCTCTAACACAGGCCACAGAGGACGATGGGACTGAGTTTTAGATTACTGATGTGCATAGAAACAGAAGCCACCTGCCACAACCTGGATCACTGCCACTAGCATCAGAGCAAGCGAGGAGTAGATATGCCTTTGTCTTGTCCTGGCAGTTCCTCAGGATGGATAAGTGTGTGCACCTGCCCAGCCCTGACCCTGCTGTTTGTAACTCAGTAAATTACATGTTGTAATAGCAACGAAAGGATTTTCCACTCTTTTTTTTTTTTTTTTTTTTTTTTTTTTGAGAGACGGAGTTTCACTCTGTCCCCCAGGCTGGAGTGCAGTAGTGTGATCTCGGCTCACTGCAACTTCTTGTCTCCGGGGTTCAAGCGATTCTCCTGCCTCAGCTTCCCTAGTAGTGGGGACTACAGGCATGCACCACCATGTCCAGCTAATTTTTGTATTTTTTAGTAGAGACGGGGTTTCACTATATGTTGGCCAGGCTGGTCTCAAACTTCTGACCTCAAGTGATCCACTCACCTTGGCCTCCCAAAGTGCTGGGATTACAGACGTGAGCCACCATGCCCGGCCAGGATTTTCCACTCTTGAAGGGAGTATTTTGTTGTCACTTCAACTCGCTGTTTTTTTTCCAGACAACCTCAAATATGACCACACTACAGCCTGTACACAACAAGACAGTTTATCTTGTCCATGGGGTAAGTGTATGCCTGATCTTTTTAATTCAGTACAATCTCTGAAGGTGTTAACACTAATGTTTTACAAGAATGTAGAGGCGACTCGGTGCTATGAAGCGTGTTAAACAACTCACACAATTGCTACAAAACACCAGGGAGGGGCTTTTTGTGTTTTTAATTTTTAAAACATTTTTCCTTTTCTTGTGAGCCATAGTAGGCCTAGAGAGATTACTGGGTTTTTATAATTAAACATTTATTTCGGTGAAATCATTTTGTTTCCTTTTATTTGTTCCGTCATGCTTAAAACATACTTCCCTACTTTATACTTAACAACCAAAACCATTATTCTAAAAGCAAGTGACTCTTGGCTGAAGTCCAGCTTCTGCACAGTATGGATGCAAGGTGCAGGCAAGTTTGGCCTTCACAGCAACTTGATTCTGTCTCACAAGCAGTCATATGATGCTTTCGTGCCATGGATGATTGAGCGAGTAGTCTCTTATGCAGTTAGTTTAGTGTGTGTGTGTGTTTTCTTTTTTTCAGGCTGGAGTGCAGTGTAGAGACAGAGTCTTGCTGTGTTGCCCAAGCTGGTCTCAAACTCCTGGGCTCAAGCAATCCTCCTGCCTCAGCCTCCCAACATGCTGGGATTACCGGCATGAGCCACTGTGCCTGGCCTGTGTTTTTATTATTAAAGACATCTTGTCTATCTTGTTACCCTGGCATCAGGTCAGAAGCCGCCCATTCAGGAAACTTTTTTTTTTTTTTTTTAGACAGGCTCTCACTCTGTTGCCCAGGCTGGAGTGCAGTGGCATAATCACGGCTCACCAGTCTCAACCTCCTGGACTCAAGCAATCCTCCCACAACAGCTTCCCGAGAGTAGCTATAACCACAGGTGTACACCACCATGCCCAGCTAATTTTTGTAGAGACGGGGTTTCACCATGTTGCGCAAGCTGGTCTCAAACTCCTGGCCTCAAGTGATCCTCCCACCTTGCCCTCCCGAAGTGCTGGGATTACAGACATGAGCCACCACACCGGGTGAAACTTCAGACAATAGAAGTAATACTTTTCAGTGTAAATGAGTAACTATTTCTTTAGCCTATAGGCTTTTATTCCATGAAGATGAGGCTTATACATTAAAAAAAGAAAGAACTAAAACTTCTATCAGTTTAAAAAACACATAGCCAGCTTAGGCAAGATACTGAGACCCCACACTACAAAATAAAATTAAAAATTAGCCAGACATGATGGTGCATTCCTGTAATCCCAGCCACATGGAGGCTGAGACAGGAGGATTCCTTGAGCCCAGGAGGTTGAGGTTGCAGTAAGCCATGATCACACCACTGCACTCCAGCCTGGGTGATAGAGTGAGACCCTGTCTCAAAAAAAAACCCACATAGAGTGACTTTCTAAAATGAGATATGTTAAAAATTGTATTAAACTGGGCCGGGGGTGGTGGCTCATGCCTGTAATCTCAGCACTTTGGGAGGCCGAGGCAGATGGACCACCTGAGGTCAGGAGTTTGAAACCAAGCTGGCCAACATGGTGAAACCCCATCTCTACTAAAAATACAAAAAATTATCTGGGCATGGTGGCACATGCCTGTAATCCCAGCTACTTGGGAGGCTGAGGCAGGAGAATCGCTTGAACCTGGGAGGCAGAGGTTGCGGTGAGCTGAGATCGTGCCATTGCACTCCAGCCTGGGCAACAAGAACGAAACTCTGTCTCAAAAAAATTGTATTAAACTGAAGACAGTGAATTTAAATTTTTTTATTAAAAAAACTGTTAAATTCTCACTGTTTCAATTTGTCAATACACTTAATAAATTCCTCTGAATAGAATAAAAAGACGCAGAATTACCCAAAAAGAAAAGTAGGCACAAATTTCTGCATAGATTAGGAAAACCAAAGGGCCAATAAATAAGAAAACTGCTCAGCCTCATTATTCATCAGTAAAGTGGAAATCAAAACCACTGTGACATGATGTTACACCTTCAGAATGGAAAAAATGGAAAGATCTGACAATATAACATGTGGGTGAGGATGCAGGGCAGCTAATAGGGATGTAAATTCACATAGCCACTTTGGAAAAGTTTGGCATTATCCAATGAAATTGAAAACATGATCACATTCTGAGAGAATGGAGGTAAAAAAAATGAAAAAAAAAATCGAAAACATGAATTCCTATGTTCACCACTTCCCACTCTTGCATATGTATACAGCAAGGACATTTGTGTGTAAGCACCAGGAAACATAGGAGAATCTTCACAGAAGCATGCTTCATGATTTAAAAAAACATTTGAAAAGAATTCAGGACCGGGCGCCGTGGCTCCTGCCTGTAATCCCAGCACTTTGGGAGGCCGAGGTGGGTAGATCACGAAGTCAGGAGTTTGAGGCCATCCTGGCCAACATGGTGAAACCCTGTCTCTACTGAAGATACAAAAAAATTAGCCAGCCATGGTGGCATGTGCCTGTAATCCCAGCCACTGGGGAGGCTGAGGCAGGAGAATCACTTCAACCCGGGAGGCAGAGGTTGCAGTGAGCCGAGCTCGTCCCATTGCACTCCAGCCTGGGCGACAGGGTAAGACTCCGTCTCTAAAAAAAGAATTATGTTCATAAACAGAATAGACATAAATAAACTATGGTATTTTAACTTAATGGAATATACTGCAGTGAAAATGATTAACTGCTGTACAACAACATGATGGATCTCAAAAACATAATGCTGACGGGAAAACGAGTTCCAGAAGACTGTGCTCCATGAAACTATAGAAAGCTCAGAAACACGCATAACTAAGTAAAATAAAATATAATAATGTTTAGAGCCAGGCACAATGGCTCATGCCTGTACTCCCAGCACTTTGGGAGGCAAAGGCGGGAGGATCATATGAGCCCCAAGCAGCTTGAGGCTGCAGTGGGCTATGATAGTAGCCACTGTACTCCAGCTTGGGTGACAGAGACTCCATCTAAAAAAAAAATCACTGTTGTCCTCAGCACCTCTTACCTCCCACCCACTCACACACAATCAGCCTGCAGAGCGCTCGACCTGCTCCCAGAAGAGTCTCCACCCCTGCCTTTCCCGCCATCTATGCTTCTGCTCCTGAAGGCCTCATCTGTGGCCTAAACTTGGCAGCAGATTCCCATCATGCCCCTCTGCACCTTCAGTCTTGTCCTTCCCTCCCCTCCTCCTGCCACTGCATTCTCCACATGAAATTATCTTCCACATGGCCAGGTCCGATGGTTCACGCCTGTAATCCCAGCACTTTGGGAGGCCGAGGTGGGTGAATCACTTGAAGTCAAGAGTTCAAGACCAGTCTGGCCGACACGATAAAACCCCATCTCTACTAAAAATACAAAAATTAGCCAGGCATGATGGTGTGCGTCTGTAATCCCAGTTACTCAGGAGGCTGAGACACGAGAATCGCTTGACCCCAGGAGGTGGGGGTTGCAGTGAACCGAGATTGTGCCACTGCACTCCAGCCTGGATAACAGAGCAAGGCTCCTTCTCAAAAAAAAAAAAAAAGAAATTATTTTCCACAAAGAGGTGGCAGCACCACCACCCCTACCTCATGTACAAGTCTGTTGGCCTCCAGATGGCACACCCCGACTTGCTCACAATAGCTCACACCTCTCCCTGCCTGCCCAAGTGCTGCTGTCTGCCCCACAAGGCACCCACATTATGTGGGCCTGTATTTCAGCTCTGTCCACATGAGGACCCCTGGGAGGGCAGGACTCAGGCACCACTGGGCTGTTTCCCTGCTGTTCTGTGGACTCCACACAGGGGTGTGACCTCAAACTGGAGTTTACACCTTTCTCTTAAAGCTTGCCTTGGCACCTTCCTGTCTGGAAACATTATCTTCTGATATCTAGTTGTTTGACACAGTTATGGTGGTTCTGTTCTTCTGTAGCTCACACCAACGTGTGCATTGAGGGATTTTGCACCTTCATCAGCAAGGCCAGTTTCAGGGTTGCACTAGCTCTTCAGTTTTGAGTAGTGTTAACATTTTCATTTTGGATTTGTTCTTTCAGAATGTGAAACCAAGGGAGAGAGTCAAAATACAGACTTGAGTCCGAAGCCATTAATTTCAGAGCAAACAGTGATTCTGGGGAAAACACCCTTGGGGAGGATTGATCAAGAAAATAATGAAACAAAGCAAAGCTTCTGTCTGAGTCCAAACTCTGTTGACCACCGTGAAGTTCAGGTCTTAAGCCAAAGCATGCCACTCACTCCGCACCAGGCAGTGCCTAGTGGAGAGAGGCCCTACATGTGTGTTGAGTGTGGGAAGTGCTTTGGCCGGAGTTCCCACCTCCTTCAGCATCAGCGTATCCACACTGGAGAGAAGCCCTATGTGTGCAGTGTATGTGGGAAGGCCTTCAGCCAGAGCTCAGTCCTTAGTAAACACAGGAGAATTCACACAGGTGAGAAGCCCTATGAGTGTAATGAGTGTGGAAAAGCCTTTAGAGTGAGCTCAGATCTTGCTCAGCATCACAAGATACATACAGGAGAGAAGCCTCACGAATGTCTTGAGTGTCGGAAAGCCTTCACTCAACTCTCACATCTCATTCAGCACCAGCGGATCCACACGGGAGAAAGGCCATATGTGTGTCCGTTGTGTGGGAAAGCCTTCAACCATAGCACTGTTCTGCGGAGCCACCAGAGGGTACACACTGGGGAGAAGCCTCACAGGTGCAATGAGTGTGGGAAAACCTTCAGTGTGAAGAGGACACTGCTGCAGCACCAGAGGATCCACACCGGGGAGAAGCCCTACACGTGCAGCGAGTGTGGGAAGGCCTTCAGCGACCGCTCAGTCCTCATTCAGCACCACAACGTGCACACCGGGGAGAAGCCCTATGAGTGCAGTGAGTGTGGGAAGACCTTCAGCCACCGCTCCACACTGATGAATCACGAGCGGATCCACACCGAGGAAAAGCCCTATGCATGCTACGAATGTGGGAAGGCCTTCGTTCAGCACTCACACCTGATCCAGCACCAGAGAGTCCACACTGGGGAGAAGCCCTATGTGTGTGGTGAATGTGGGCACGCCTTCAGTGCACGCCGGTCTCTGATCCAGCATGAGAGAATCCACACAGGTGAAAAGCCCTTCCAGTGCACAGAATGTGGCAAAGCCTTCAGCCTGAAAGCAACTCTGATTGTGCACCTGAGGACCCACACGGGCGAGAAGCCATATGAGTGCAATAGCTGCGGGAAGGCCTTCAGCCAGTACTCAGTGCTCATCCAGCACCAGCGGATCCACACAGGCGAGAAGCCCTATGAGTGCGGGGAGTGTGGGCGTGCCTTCAACCAGCATGGCCACCTAATCCAGCACCAGAAAGTGCACAGAAAGTTGTGACCCATGGCTGACACAAGAATCCATTCTCACAGAAACTGCATGTGGAACCACAAGCAGCCTTCAGCCCAAGAGAAGTCTCTGTTAACTCTATAGGAAGCTTTTCTTTGGCGATTCAGTGTCACAAAATAACTCCAGAAAGAAGCACTTAGCGTGCTGTTCCTGTGGAAAAACTTCAGAGACTACCTGTTTTATTTTCCTCAACATCTTGAAGTTATGTTGGAGAGTAATCATACAATTGTAGAGAATTTTGGTAAAAAACAGCCATAATTCTTTAACATTAGTTTATTTGAACTAAGGGAATTTAAGGCATAAGAACCATTATCCCAATAAAATCTTACATTCCAAATAAAGTTCTTTTTCTAAGAACATTACATGCCCTTCCTAAATATCAATTAACCATACTAATTATTGCACTTAAAATTTGAAAGTCGGACTATTTTCAGTATTCTCTTAAAAGACTAAAGTATTGTATGGATAAAGTGATATAAAAAGATATTTTCATCAAGCATCATGTAAAATGGTTGGAAATCCTAAGTGTGTGGATTTCCATCCTAAGTGTGTGGAGTCCTGTTTTGTATGAAACAAGGAAAAAGCTTATATATTAGTGAGAAATTACATAAATTTAAAAAACTTTTTGTATGTGTGTGTGGAGATAGTCTTGCTCTGTTGCCCAAGCTGCAGTGCAGTGGCATGATCTTGGCTCACTGCAGTCTCCGCCCCCACCCCAGGTTCAAGCTTTTCTTGTGCCTCAGTCTCCCAAGTAACTAGGATTATAGATATGCGCCACCACACCTGGCTAATTTTTGTATTTTTAGTAGAGACGGAGTTTCACCGTGTTGGCCAGGCTGGTCTCGAACTCCTGGCCTCAAGTGATCCTCCCACCTTTGCTTCCGAAAGTGTTGGGATTACAGGCGTGAGGCACCATGCCTGGCCTAGAAAACCCTTTATCTGGAGCTTTTAACTTTATTCAAGATCAGAAAGGTTATGCTAACTTTTTAGTAAAAATTCAACTCAAAAATGGGTATTTTCCTCAAAACTTGCCCTTATGACCTGCAGATCCTGTGCCCCAGAAACCGTGAGATGTCTCAATTCCCATGCAGGCAAAGGAGGGGAGCTTCACACTCAGCAGACCTCATAGCTGTTACACCAAGTGGGTACCTCTTTACATCTTATGGTATTTCCCCCAAAACAATGCTGAAAATACTGTTCTTTGGTAGATATATTTAAAACATACATTTCTCAAATTCAGATAGCTCTTTTTTACTATCTCTAGTATTTCTATTCCTATATTTGAAGGGGTTTTTTTTTTCATTTTTTTACTCCTGGTTCAAGAGTCCAGTATCCATTGCCATATTACTATGATGAAGATGAATCTAGTTTATTCATAATTAAAAATTTGTATTCAGAATTATTTGTTCTGTTTTAAGCATACTTTTTTTTTTTTTTTTGAGACAAAGTCTTGCTCTTGTTCCCCAGGCTGAAGTGCAATGGCACAATCTCAGCTCACTGCAATCTCCACCTCCCAGGTTCAAGCAATTCTCCTGCCTCTGCCTCCCAAGTAGCTGGAATTACAGGCACCTGCTACCACGCCCGACTAATTTTCGTATTTTTAGTAGAGATGAGGTTTCACCATGTTGGCCAGGCTGGTCTCAAACTCCTGACCTCAGGTGATCCGCCCGCCTCGGCCTCCCAAAGTGCTGGGATTACAGGCGTGTGCCACCGCACCCGGCCAAGGATACAGTTCTTGAAACCGAATCAGAACCATTTCTAGTAGCAGCCAGCTGCAAACGAAACAAATGTATGAGGTTCAAGCCACTTGAAATTCTCAACATGTTAAGTGCCTGAGATAGAGAAGGGCTGTCTTCACCCCAGGCCCCCGCCCCCAACATCTGTCAGTTTGGTGGGGAGGAAATAGTCACCAGGATATTGATCCTTTTTGTTTGTTTTAAAGACGGTCTTGCTCTGTCACCAGGTTGGAGTGCAGTGGTGCCATCATGGCTCACCGCTGCCTCAAACTCCTGGGCTGAAGCAGTCCTCCCACCTCACCTTCCCAAAAGGTTAGGATTACAGGCATGAGCTGCTGTGCCCATCCAGGCATTGATCCTTAAGTCCACAGCAAAACACCACGATGTAGACAAAAGCTTGTTCCCCCTTCTATGTACAGACACTGACAACAGTGAATTATTAACTCCAGAGAGGAACTGGTAACTGATTGGTTAACTTGAGAAAGGAGCTGACATCACTGGTGTTTTACTTCAGAGCAACTGAAACCACTGAAGTGAAATTCCAGAGGAACTAATATTACTGAGGTGTTACTTCAGAGGGACTGAGATCACTGAAGTGAAACCTCAGATAGCTCAGATAACCAAGGTGTTAACCTTAGAGGTGTTGCCATTCTGTGAGGTGTTGTTTCAGATAGATAAAATAACTAAGGTGTTAGTTCAGAGAAGACAAGAGCTTAACTGTTTCTTTGGAGAAGAGCTGAGATCACTGAGGCGTCACTTCAGAAAGAAAGTGAGACAATTTTTGTTACTTCAGAGGATCTGAGTACACTGAGGTGTTTCATCAGAGAGGAGGTGAGATCACTGGGTGTTACTTCTGAAAGGAATTGACATCACTAGTGGGTACTGCAGAGTAGCTCTGACCACTGAGGTTTACTTCAGAGGAGCTGAAATAACGGAAATGGGATCACTAAGGTATTACTTTAGAGATTAGATCATTGAGGTAATTCTTCAGAGAAGCTGAGATCACAGAGGTGTTTCTTCAGAGAAGTTGAAATCACTAATGTGAAACTCTAGAAGAATGGAGGTCACTGAGTGCTATTTCATAAAGGAAGTGAAATCACTATATTGTACCATCGGAAAGATGAGAATGCTGAGATGTTACTTAGGAGCTGAGATCACTGAGGTTCTGCTTCAGAGAAAAGCTGATACCAATGAGATGTTACTTAAGGGAGGAGCTGAGGTTACTGAGGTATTATTCAGGACCAAGATGGTGTCCCTCAGGTGTTAGAAGCTGAGATCACAGAGATGTTACTTAAGAGAGGCTGAGACTGCTGATGTGATTCTTCAGAAAGGAAATGAGATCACTAAGCTGTTAACTTTAGAAAGGAGATGAAATAACTGAGTTGTTCACTGGAGTTGAGATCACACAGGTGTTAACTTCAGAGGTGGCTGAAATCACTAAGGTGATTCTTCAGAGAAAGGTTGAGATCACTAGGGGTGATGCTTTAGAAAGAGGTTACTTTAGGGAAAAGCTATGATCACTGAGAAGTTACTTCAGAATGGAGCTGAGATCACTGAGGTAACAGTCCAAAGAGGAACTGAGATTACTGAGGTGTTACTTCAGAGCCAAGAGATCACCCAGGTACCTAGATGAGATCACTGAGATGAAAGTCCAGAAACCTGAGGTCACCTCAATATTAATTGAGAGAAAATGAGAACACTGTGGTGCTATCTTAAATCTTCTATGAAAGGAAGCTGCCAACCTGTGTTAGCTGAGTCCACAGCTGGCATGTGACTCAGTGGCAGCTGCTCAGTGCCCACTACTATTCAGGCCCCAATTTCTAATCATTAAAGACAAAGTCATATTCCAATTAAGATGAGAATAATTAAATTCAATATACAGGAACATTTGTTTAGAAAGACTGTGTATCACAGGACAACGTAAGTTACACAGTACAAGTTATTCTGGATTCCAATAACCTAGGGTTTTCAGGGAAATCCTTCCAAAAAGTATAGTTTTTTTCCTGCATTCTTAAAATGAGCTTAATATCATTCTGCCTGTTCTTGCTATGTCAGGCTGCCATTGATCCACTGGTGAGAATGCAGGCTCAGGTGTCCACGGAGCCAGGAAGTGGGCTTCAATGCCCTTCTTTCTGAGGAGGATTCCCAGGCTACATTTTCTTGCCACTCACCTCCTCCTCTCCAAGGAGAAAGAGGTGGCACATGACCTACTGGAACATGTGGGCTATCTACCTTTTTGGGATATAACATCAAAGGCCAGGGCCCTGAATTTTCATGCTGATAACAGTCTTCTCAACCATTATCTTCTGCCTGATTTGTCAGCAGCATTCCACCTTTATTTTGGATTTGTTTTATTCAGAAGTCTGTATATTTTAGGTATTTAAATACTTCTCTTTGGCTGGGTGCAATGGCTCACACCTGTAATCCCAGCACTTTGGGAGGCTGAAGTGGGTGGATCGCTTGAGCCCAGGACTTTGAGACCAGCATGGCGAAAACCCGTCTCTACAAAAAAAAAATTAGCTGGGTGTTGTGGCTTGCGCCTGTAGTCCCAGATACGTGGGAGGCTAAGGTGGGAGGATTGATTGGGAGTTCAAGACTAGTGTGCTGTGATCATACTATCTAGCCTGGACAACAGAGAGAGACCTTGTCACAAAAAATACGTATATATTTCTTTTAAAATTGTTTCTTCTAACAGCTATTAAGAATTTGAAACTTGGTTCTCTTCAAATTTTCTATTATTTTGGAAAACATTTTAGTCTGCCTGGAATTTCTGTGTATAATCTGACGCTTTCCAATAAAAAAGTAATGACTGGAACAAGTATTTGCAGTGAAGAAAGATCAGTAACTTTGGCATAAAGATCTCCTACAAATCAGTGACCATAGGACATGAACAGACCACTCCAAATAAGAGAATATACAACCATGGAAGCTTGGAAAAGGCTCAAGTGTACCAATCCCAAAACAAATAACAACATGCTACCCACTAATCAGTTAGTAAAGATTATCCTGTAATGACCAGGTATGAGGAGATGTGTGCTTTCATGCATTGCTGATGATGTTATCAATTAATACAATCCTTTTTCCCTGGAATTTCTCTGGGCCATAAAGTGGCTTCTGCTGTGGCTATCCCATGTCCGGTGTGAGGAGACAGTGGTATGACTCATCCCTTTGTGTCCGGAATTGGTGGGTTCTTGGTCTCACTGACGTCAAGAATGAAGCTGCGGACCCTCGTGGTGAGTGTTACAGTTCTTAAAGGCAGTGTGTCTGGAGTTTGTTCGTTCTGATGTTCGGACGTGTTCAGAGTTTCTTCCTTCTGGTGGGTTCGTGGTCTCACTGGCTCAGGAGTGAAGCTGCAGACCTTCGCGGTCAGTGTTACAGCTCTTAAGGTGGTGCGTCTGGAGTTGTTCATTCCTCCCGGTGGGTTCATGGTCTCGATGGCTTCAGGAGTGAAGCTGCAGACCTTCGCGGTGAGTGTTACAGCTCGTAAAAGCAGTGTGGACCCAAAGAGTGAGCAGTAGCTAGATTTATTGCAAAGAGCAAAAGAACAAAGCTTCCACAGTGTGGAAGGTGACCCGAGCGGGTTGCCACTGCTGGCTCGGGCAGCCTGCTTTTATTCTCTTATCTGGCCCCACCCACATCCTGCTTGATTGGTCCATTTTACAGAGAGCCAATTGGTCTGTTTTACAGAGAGCTGATTGGTCCATTTTGACAGGGTGCTGATTGGTGCATTTACAATCCCTGAGCTAGACACAAAAGTTCTCCATGTCCCCACTGGATTAGCTAGATACAGAGTGCTGATTGGTGCATTTACAAACCTTGAGCTAGATACAGAGTGCTGATTTGTGTATTTACAATCCTTTAGCTAGACATAAAGGTTCTCCAAGTCCCCAACAGAGTAACTAGATACAGAGTGCCGATTGGCGCATTCACAAACCCTGAGCTAGACACAGGGTGCTGACAGGTGTGTTTACAAACCTTGAGCTAGATACAGAGTGCTGATTGGTGTATTTACAATCCCTTAGCTAGACATAAAGATTCTCCAAGTCCCCACCAGATTAACTAGATACAGAGTGACGAATGGTGCATTCACAAACCCTGAGCTAGACACAGAGTGCTGATTGGTGTGTTTACAATCCCTTAGCTAGACATAAAGGTTCTCCAAGTCCCCACTAGACTTAGGAGCCCAGCTGGCTTCACCCAGTGGATCCCACACCAGGGCCACAGGTGGAGCTGCCTGCCAGTCCTGTGCTGTGCGCCCGCACTCCTCAGCCCTTGGGTGGTCAATGGGACTGGGCGCTGTGGAGCAGGGAACGGTGCTTGTCAGGGAGGCTCAGGCCACGCAGGAGCCCACGGCGGGCAGGGGGAGCCTCAGGAATGGCAGGCTGCAGGTCCCGAGCCCTGCCCCATGGGGAGGCAGCTAAGGCCCAGTGAGAAGTCGAGCACAGCAGCTGCTGGCCCAGGTGCTAAGCCCCTCACTGCCCAGGGCTTGCAGGCCGGCCAGCAGCTCCGAGCGCGGGGCCTGCTGAGCCCATGCCCACCCGGAACTCACGCTGGCCCACAAGCACCGTGCGCAGCCCTGGTTCCCACCCACGCCTCTCCCTCCACACCTCCCTGCAAGCTGAGGGAGCCGGCTCCAGCCTTGGCCAGCTCAGAAAGGGGCTTCCACAGTGCAGCGGCAGGCTGAAGGGCTCCTCAAGCACAGCCAGAGTGGACGCCAAGGCCAAGGAGGCACCGAGAGCAAGCAAGGGCTGCCAGCATGCTGTCACCTCTCACCTTCTCTGGAGAAAGATGACAGCACACTGGGCTTGGCATGTGCCAGGCAGCCCTGAGGCATCCCTGAGAGAGAGGGGGCATTCCCAGAAAACAGGCTGGGAAATCTCTGGCCACCAACGGCCACTCAGTGTACAGAGGACCTGGTGATAGAAGCTGGGAATTTCTTGTCTAGGAGTTGGACTTGCCCTGGAGTGGGGGAAACTTTTGGGTGGTAGTAGTGTGTATTAAGCTTCTCTAGAGGCACAGAACTAATAGAAATATATATATATATATATATATATATATGGAAGAACTTGGAAGTCCGATGTTCTAGGGCAGGAAGCGTCCAGCATGGAAGAAAGATGTAGGCTGGGAGGCCAGGCCAGTCTCCTTTTCACGTTTTTCTGCCTGCTTTGTATTCACTGGCAGCTGATTAGATGGTGCCCACCAGATTAAGGGTGGGTCTGCCTTCCCCAGCCCACTGACTCGGATGTTGATATCCTTTGGCAACACCCTCGCATACACACCCAGGATTAATACTTTGCATTTGTTAATCCAATCAAGTTGACACTCAGTATTAACCATCACAAGTCCACCCCTTGTCAACTTGAACCCATACACATCTCCTGAGATCATACATAATCTTCAAATAAAGACACTAATAAGGTCATAATTATACCTAACATAATACAACTATCTTTTGTACAACTGGAAACAAACCAATCCCCAACCCAAATGCTATTACATAAAGTTAACAATACTTAAATGCTGATATGAAGTCAATAAATCTTATGTCACGTGATAAAGGAAAATGAAATAAAATGAAGATATTCTTAGTACAAGTGTTTACATGCACAAACTTTTTTTTTTTTCCCGAGACATAGTCACGCTCAGTTGCCCAGGCTGGAGTGCAGTGGCGCAATCTCAGATCACTGCAAGCTCCGCCTCCCGGGTTGATGCCTTTCTCCTGCCTCAGCCTCCTGAGTAGCTGGGACTACAGGTGCCCGCCACCATGCCCAGCTAATTTTTTGTATTTTTAGTAGAGATGAGATTTCACCGTGTTAGCCAGGATGGTCTCGATCTCCTGACCTCGTGATCCGTCCGTCTCGGCCTCCCAAAGTGCTGGGATTACAGGCATGAGCCACCGCGCCTGGCCAACACAAACATGTTTTTAACAAAAGAAGGAAAAATACTCATGACAATTACATCCCCTATTTTATGCATCATATGTTGACTTTGAGGGCTATATAATTGTTCTGGAATTAGAACTTGTGCTCCCCATTGTTGTAATAAATCTCTCCCCCATAAATTTATAGGTACAGAAGTTATAACTGGTTGGATAGTACCAGGTTGTCCATCAGGCCCTACACAATGCAAAATATAACTACTTTGATATACTTCAGGGGCTTTACCAATTCCAACTATGTTAAATTGGGTGGGTTGAATTGGCCACGTGGACGGCCACTGCTGTACAGAAATGATTGAAATGTCCACTCCTGTATCTACCAAACCTTTAAATTTCTTTCCCTGAATAGTTATTTCACAGGTAGGACGTTTATCAGTAACTTGCTTTACCCGATAAGCTGCTTTGCCTTGTTTATTTGTGCTTCCAAATCCTCCTGTTCATGTAACTTCACTTTTTCCCATTCCCACATATGGCACAATCAGGAGCTGTGCTATGCACTCTCCTGGCTCTGCTTTCCAGGGAACAGAAGTAGATATAACAATTTGAATTTCCCCATTGTAATCTGAATCAATGACTCCTGTATGTATTTGTACCCCTTTTAAATTTAAGCTAGACCTGCCTAGAAGTAATCCTATCATCCCTGCTGGCAAGGGTCCACAGACTCCTGTTGGGACCTTTTGTGGGGGTTCCCCAGGCAGAAGGCTCACAGCTTTTGTGCAGCATAAATCAACTGTGGCACTACTGGCTGTGGCAGAGGACAGACATTGTACAGGGGTGAGGGAATGGCCTGAGCTGGAAATGCCCCGGTTTAGAATGGGGCCTGGGATGGGCCCCTCATGGCGTTTCCCGAAATCGGGTTACCATCTTTATCAAACTTAGAGTGACACTTACTAGCCCAGTGTTTTCCTTTTTTACATTTTGGACATATTTCAGGCTCAACAGTTTTCTCTTTTCCCCTATCTGGCAGCATAACTCGCTGATTTTTTCTACATTCTTTTTTAGTATGACCATGCTTCCCACAGTTAAAACAAGCTCCAGGAAATAGAATATTTCCTTTATCCACTCTTAGTCCTGCCATTGCCTGTGCTAGCAGAGTAGCCTTATGCAGATTAATTCCAATACCATCACAGGCCTTGGTATAATCAACTAAATGTGCTTTCCCTCTGATAGGTCGCAGAGCTGCCAGGCAGTCGGGATTAGCATTGTTGAAAGCTAATAAGTGCAACACTATATCCTGAGCAGTCGAATCTGCAGTTACCTTTTTAAGAGACTCCTGTAACCGAGCTATAAAATCCATGTATGGTTTTTTTGGTCCCTGTTTTACTGCACTAAAGGAAGGGTATTGTTCTCCACATGAAGTGATTTTTTTCCCAAGCTCTAATGCACACTCCTCTAAGTTGTTCTATGGCATCATCCTGCATGACCACTTGTGCATCTAAACCAGCCCAGCCGCCAACCCCCAAAAGTTAGTCTTCAGTTATATTAATTTGGGCCTGGGCATTGCGAGCAGCCTGAATGGAAGCTTCATCTGCCCACCAAGTTTTAAATTGTAAGAACTGAGCAGGAGTTAGACAAGCTCGAGTAAGAGCATCCCAGTCAGTAGGAATCATCCAACTGGAAACAGCAACATTCTTTAACAGTCCCATTACAAAAGGAGAACCTGGTCCATACTGATTAACAGCTTGTTTAAATTCTTTAAATAATTTAAAAGGAAAAGGCTCAAATGTAACTATAATATTTCCCTGTTGATCTGGGGGGTGTATTCTAACAGGGAATTGCCAAGCCTCTAAATCGCCCTCTCATCTAGCTTGCTGAATTCCTGCCTGAATAGAACTAAGAGCAGTTGCTCAAGGCATTGCTCAGTCACTGGGGCAACTACTTTTCACCCAATGTCCTCTGGAAAAGAAAGATCTGGAGGGTCTTTTTCTTCAAAATAATAAGGAGGGGGTGCAGAAGGGTAGGGATGAACCTCTCCCTCCTTTGCCGCTTGAGCTTTAGCTGGCAAATTGGCAAATAAACCTGCTCTGTAACCTCTTCTGTTACTTCGTTTTACTCTCCTTCCTCCTCATCATCAGTGTGAAAAAGTTCCAAGGGAGAACGCACCAGACCCCACATTTGTCCCACTGTTACCCTGATGCTTCTGAGCTCCCCTTACTCACCACAGGGATGGCTTTAAGAGTACTTGGGTGTCCTCCAGCTTAGTTCCACATTCTCCGTTGCTCCAGTGACCCTTCAACCTGGATTCGAGCCCCCACAATGGACGTCACTTGCCGAGACCAGTTCAGTCAGGGAGACCCTAACCCAGCAGCACTAGAGGAATTAAAGACATACACACAGAAATATAGAGGTGTGAGGTGGAAAATCAGGGGTCTCACAGCCTTCAGAGCTGAGAGCCCCAACCGGAGATTTACCCATGTATTTATTAACAGCAAGCCAGTCATTAGCATTGTTTCTATAGTTATTAAATTAACTAAAAGTATCCCTTATGAGAAATGAAGGGATGGGCCAAGTTAAAGGAATAGGTTGGGCTAGTTAACTGCAGCAGGAGCATGTCCTTAAGGCACAGATCGCTCATGCTATTGTTTGTGGTTTAAGAATGCCTTTAAGCGGTTTTCCGCCCTGGGTGGGCCAGGTATTCCTTGCCCTCATTCCTGTAAACCTGCAACCTTCCAGCGTGGGCGTTATGGCCATCATGAAAATGTCACAGTGCTACAGAGATTTTGTTTATGGCCAGTTTTGGGGCCAGTTTATGGCCAGATTTTGGGGGGCCTGTTCCCAACACCAGGAGATGTGTTGATTTGCTCCAGCAATGAAACCACATCTGGTACGGCAGCTGCAATTGGAGTCACTACTTAGTTAAGCTCATCATAATCCACTGTCATCCTCCAAGATCCATCTGTCTTCTGCACAGGCCAAATGGGAGAGTTGAACAGGGAGATGGTGGGAATCACCACCCCTGTGTCCTTCAAGTCCTTGATAGTAGCACTAATCTCCATGTTCCCTCCAGGGATTCAATATTGTTTTTGATTTACTACTTTTCTAGGTACAGCCAGCTCTAATGGCTTCCATTTGGCGTTTCCAACCATAATAGCCTTTACCAGTCAAGGAGCCAATGTGGGGGTTCTGCCAGCTGCTAAGTATGTCTATGCCAATTATGCATCCTGGCACTTGGAAAATGACCACAGGATGAGTCTGGGGACCCACTGGACCCGCTGTAAGTTGGACCTGAGCTAAAACTCCATTAATTACCTGACCTCAGGTGATCCACCCACCTTGGCCTACCTGTAGGGACCAGCCCCACAGGGTCGGTGGGTTTTTCTCCCCGTGTGCGGAGATGAGAGAGCATAGAAATAAAGACACAAGACAAAGAGAAAAGAAAAGACACCTGGGCCCAGGGGACCACTACCACCAAGACGCAGAGACCGGTAGTGGTCCCAAATGCCAGGCTGCACTGATATTTATTAGATACAAGACAAAGGGGCAGGGTAAGGAGTGTGAGCCATCTCCAATGATAGGTAAGGCCACGTGGGTCATGTGTCCACTGAACAGGGGGCCCTTCCCTGCCTGGCAGCCGAGGCAGAGAGAGAGGGAGAGAGAGAGACAGCTTACACCATTATTTCTGCATATCAGAGACTTTTAGTACTTTCACTAATTTTCTACTGCTATCTAAAAGGCAGAGCCAGGTGTACAGGATGGAACACGAAAGCAGACTAGGAGCGTGACCACTGAAGCACAGCATCACAGGGAGACGGTTAGGCCCCTGGATAACTGCGGGCAGGCCTGACTGATGTCAGGCCCTCCACAAGAGGTGGAGGACTAGAGTCTTCTCTAAACTCCCCCAGGGAAAGGGACACTCCCTTTCCCGGTCTGCTAAGTAGCAGGTATTTTTCCTTGGCACTGACGCTACTGCTAGACCACGGTCTACTTGGCAACAGGCGTTTTCCCAGATGCTGGCGTTACCACTAGACCAAGGAGCCCTCTGGTGGCCCTGTCTGGGCATAACAGAAGGCTCACACTCATGTCTTCTGGTCACTTCTCACTATGTCCCCTCAGCTCCTATATCTGTATGGCCTGGTTTTTCCTAGGTTATGATTATAGAGTGAGGATTATTATAATATTGGAATAAAGAGTAATTGCTACAAACTAATGATTAATGATATTCATATATAATCATGTCTGTGATCTGATCTAGTATAACTTGTTGTTTTATATATTTTATTATACTGGAACAGCTCGTGCCCTCGGTCTCTTGCCTCAGCACCTGGGTGGCTTGCCGCCCACACTACCAAAGTGCTGGAATTACAGGCATGAGCCATCATGCCCAGCCATCGTTTTCTTTCTTTTTTTTTTTGTTTTTTTTTTTTTTTGAGGCGGAGTCTCGCTCTGTCACCCAGGCTGGAGTGCAGTGGTGCGAACTCAGCTCACTGCAAGCTCCACCTCCTGGGTTCATGCCATTCTCCTGCCTCAGCCTTCCGAGTAGCTGGGACTACAGGCGCCTGCCACCACGCCTGGCTAATTTTTTGTATTTTTAGTAGAGATGGGGTTTCACTGTGTTAGCCAGGATGGTCTTGATCTCCTGACCTCATGATCCTCCCACCTCAGCCTCCCAAAGTGCTGGGATTACAGACGTGAGCCACTGTGCCCAGCCCAGCCATCATTTTCTTTCATCACTTTGTCCACTGAACTTAGGAGCAACCAACCAGCTTCATCATGTTCCTTGGTTCTCCACATATAGTCAAAGATATTATGTATAGGGTCACTAAACTCCTTGCCTCTCATGAATGGTGAATCAGGAGTGTCAAATGCATTTATTTTGCATAACTCTCTAAACAGTTTATGCCAAGGACTATCAGTGTTCTCCATACTATTAGAAGTAGAGTCCTTAACATTTTGGGGTCTAATCATATTAACCAGCCAAATCCAGAAACCCCAAAACCAATGACAGAACTCCATCCTTAATATCCTCTTCCTCCAGAACCACTCCTGGTACAAAAATCTGTATTAGTCAGAGTTCTCTAGAGGGATAGAACTAATGGAATATATATAAAAAGGGAAGTATTAAATTACACAATCACGAGGTCCCACTATAGGCTGTCTGCAAGCTTCAGGAGCAAGGAGAGCCAGTCCAAGTCTCAAAACTGAAGAACTTGGAGTCAGATGTTGGAGGGCAGGAAGCATCCGGCATGGGAGAAAGATGTAGGCTGGGAGGGTAGGCCAGTCTGGCCTTTTCACATTTCTCCAGTATTAACCATCACACCTATAAATTTCCCCAGCCTATAAGCAGCTATGGGCTCTGGAGTTAAGCTCGTCCCCCATCTCCACAGGTTTTTGCAATATACCTGTGTTGTTGCTGTTGAGCAACAATCTCTCTCTCTCTCTCTGTCTGTCTCCCCCCTCTCTCTCCTCTCTCTCTCTCTGTGTGTGTGTGTGTGTGTGTGTGTGTTTCTTTAGCCCTTGCCCTCCCTTCAAAACCTAACATTTTAGTGCCAAAACCCAGGATAGGAATTGGGTTCTAAATGGGTAAATGTTTTCTAGCAACCTGGAAAGCAGCAAGCAGCAAAAACCAGACCCAGGCCTGCTTCCAGATCCTGAATGGACTCCCTATTCCCAGCTCCGTTCCTTTATTCTCTCTTCTTCTCTGGTCCTGGGCTGACTTCCAGATCCTGATCAAACTCTCCATCCTCTTTTTCCTTCCTTCCCCTTTCCAGGCAGCTCCAGCAAGTATCAATCCCATTGCTGGACATCACATCCAACACCCGTCTCCAATTAGTGGGTGAGTCTCTCTTTTTTTCCTCTCCAGATTCCTCTCATATTTCTGGGGGTTCACCAGAAAATTCCAGTACCAGGTGAGAGGTCTCCCTGGTCACCAGGTGACCGTGGCCTACCCTCTCAGGGGACGCCGTCAGAATGCTCACCACTTTGGCCACTGCAGCCTCTGGGGGTCTGCAAAGAGCTGTAGGGACGCCCTGGCTCTCCTAGGTCCCTTCTCCCAGGAGGAATCGGGGTACTCACTCCCCTCCGGGGTATTCACTTCCCTCTGGGGTACTTCCATCCTCTAAATTTCTCACCCTCTGGCCAGCAGTATGGGGCAACACTCCTCAAAACCTCAAGACACCACTCTTGGATGTTTCCATCCAGAACCTCCAAGCCCAGGGCTTGGCAGACTCCATTAAAACTGAACGCCTTGCTGGCCAAGTGTGATAGTTCATGCCTGTAATCTCAGCACTTTGGGAGGCCAAGGTGGGCAGATCACAAGATCAGGAGTTCGAGACCAGCCTGGCCAATATGGTGAAACCCTGTCTCTACTAAAAATACAAAAATTAGCCGGGTGTGGTGGCAGGTGCCTGTAATCCCAGCTACCCAGGAGGCTGAGGCAGGAGAATTGCTTGAACCGGGGAGGCAGAGGTTGCAGTGAGCCAAGATCGTTCCACTGCATTCCAGTCTGGGTGACAGAGTGAGACTCTGTCTCAAACAAAAACAAAAACAAAAACAAAAAACTGAACACCTTACTTTCCTCTGTAATGTTGCCCAGCCCCAATGTAAACTAGACAATAATAGTCAATAGCCAAAAACCAAAACATTCAATTTCCACATCTGACATAATCTAAAAGACTTCCTCCAGTGCAATCGTAAATGATCTGAGGTGCTTTGCTTATCTGTGCTCCTGGCTCACTCTCTCTCTGCCAATCCCGTTCACCTTTTCAAATCTTCCTCCTCAACAAAAAACCCACAAAAACGCCTCCTCCTCCAGACAAACCTTTCTCCTCTAATTTCAACCTAGCCAACAAACTAGGCACGTGCCCAGCCCCCTTCCACCAAAAACCAGGCACACAGCCAAAGGTCCTCCTAAGTTCTCCCTTTCCAGGAGGTCACAGGGACTAAAGGCATAATCTGAGTTCATGTTCCCTTTTCCCTAGTCGACCTCTCTCAGCTTAAAAAGAGACTCAGCGGCCGGGCGTGGTGGCTCACACCTGTAATCCCAGCAATTTGGGAGGCTGAGGCAGGCTGATAACGAGGTCATGATATTGAGACCATCCTGGCTAACATAGTGAAACCCTGTCTCTACTAAAAATACAAAAAATTAGCTGGGCGTGGTGGCAGACGCCTGTAGTCCCAGCTACTTGGGAGGCTGAGGCAGGAGAATGGTGTGAACCCAGGAGGTGGAGCTTGCAGTGAGCCAAGATCACGCCACTGTACTCCAGCCTGGGCGACAGAGCGAGACTCTGTCTCAAAAAAAAAAAGAGATTCAGCTCGTTTTGCACAGATCCCACCTCCTTCCTCAAGGAATTTCTGTATGTCACTCAATTTTATGACCTTACCTGGCATGTCATATATGTCATCCTCTCCTGCACCCTCACCCCTGAGGACAGGGAATGCATCTGGATAGCTGCCCAGGCCCATGTAGACACCCTCCCATAGACAAGATGCTGCCCATAACCCAATATGGACCCTAACTGTCCCCAGAACTGACCCCAGTTGGGATTATCAGGCAACTTCTGCAGACAGATAGAAATAAGGCCATATGATATGCCTCCTAGCTGGCATAAATAAAGCCATTCCTGGCCAGGCATGGTGGCTCACATCTGTAATCCCAGCACTTCGGGAGGCCAAGGCAGGCAGATCACCTGAGGTCAGGAGTTCGAGACCAGCCTGACCAACATGGAGAAACTCCGTCTGTACTAAAAAAAAAAAAAAAAAAAAAATTAGGCGTGGTGGTGCATGCCTGTATAAAGGGGAATAAGTATTAACTTACACAATCATAAGGTCCCACAATAGGCTGTCTGCAAGCTTGTGGAGCAAGGAGAGCCAGTCCGAGTCTCAGCTACCCGGGAGGCTAAGGCAGGAGAATCACTTGAACTCAGGAGGCAGAGGTTGTGGTGAGTCGAGATCACGCCATTGCACTCCAGCCTGGGCAACAAGAGTGAAACTCCATCTCAAAAATAAATAAATAAAGCTGTTCCTGCTCTTTTCTTCTCCTGCCTTTCAAAGGCCATAACTAAATATGCCACGTTGAACCCTAATGCCAATAAGGGAAGAATCTACCTCCATTTACACTTCATTTTCCAGTCAGCCCCAGACATTCTAATGAAACTTAAAAAACTGGAGAATAGCCCTCAAACCTCCCAAAAAGACTTAATCAAAGTGGCCTTTAAGGTCTTTAACAATAGAGAGGAAAAACTAAAAGTCCAAAAGCTAAAAAGAGACCAGGCTAAATGCCAGATGCTGGCAGCTGCCATTCAACAGGGTTCCCAACATGTACAGAAATCCTCAACCTTGCAGCAAACTCTACCAGAAGCCTGTTTTAAGTGCAGCCAACAGAGTCACTGGGCAAAGGCCTACTCTCAAAACTTTGCCCCATCTGTGGCATCAAGGAACATTGGAAGTGGGACTGTGCTCAGCAAAACTCTTCATCCCGCTTCACCACCTCTAACTGAAGACTGATGGGGCCAGGGGCCTACCACCCCAACTGCCATCACCACCTCGGAACCCAGGGTCAGTCTCTGGTAAGCCCATGTCTTTCCTATTGGATACAGGGACTAGTTACTCAGTTTTATTAGAATATTCTGGACCCCTCCTCAGTTCTTCTATCTGTATTGTGGGAGTTGATGGAATCCCCTCTAGGCACAAACAGACTGGTCCTCTATTATGCAACCTATTCAACACCCCATTCACCCACTCCTTCCTGGTTATCCCTCGGTGCCCTGCCCCTATCTTGGGGCAGGACATACTAAGTAAATCCCAGGCCTCCATACAATCTGCCTCCTGCAATTCCGCTCCTTTTATTTTATTCTGCCACCAGATGCTTCCCTCTCCCCCTCATCCTCGTTATCCACCCTGTTACCTTCTGTTAATTCTGAAATTTGGAACATTTTTAAACCCACAATAGCCACACATCACATCCCAGTTAAAATAACCCTCCAAAACCACTCCATTTTCCATCATCAGTCTCAATATCCCCTAACCCAGGCAGCCTCAGGGGCCTCAAACCTATTATCTGTAAACTTTTACAAGCTAATATTCTCAAGATCCTACCACTTGGTCCAGGATCTCTGAGTTGTTAACCAGGTGGTAATACCAATTCATCCAACACTCCACTCTCATCCCACATACTCCACTCTCCCATAGTCCCTCTTCTACCACACACTTCCCTGTACTGGATTTAAAGGACACCTTTTTCACTATTTCCTTAAATTCGGCTTCCCAAAGTATTTTTGCTTTCTCTTGGTCAGATCCTAATACCCACATGTCCACCCAACTAACATGGACCATACTCCCACAGGGGTTCTGGGACAGCCCCCACCTATTCGGACAGGCCGTCACCAAGGACCTAGCTGAACTTCCCATTGCTCCTAGCACCCTCCCTCAATAAGTCAATGACCTACTTTTCTGTAGCCCCTCCCTTAACCTGTCCATCCAACGCACCACTCAGCTTTTAAACTTCCTCCATAGGTAAAGATATTGGGTCTCACCAACAAAGACTCATGTAGCCCAAACCCAGGTCACTCACCTGAGTTCTAACCCCTAATTCTCAGGCCATCCTAACCCAACAAAAGGAGCTAATTCAAGACATTGCCCCTTCCCCACACAAAGAAGGACCTCCTGTCCTTCTTGGGCCTCATGGGATACTTCCGGCTGTGGATTCCCAACTTCTGTTTGCTGGCCAAGCTGCTCTACATGTCCTCACTTGGGCCCAGCCTAGAGCCTCTGAACCCGGCTCGTCCCATCAATTCACACTTTAAAAAAAACTAAAAAATACCCTTTTAATGGCCCCAGAACTGGGACTGCCCAACCCCACCAAGCCCTTTACTCTGCATGTACATTCTGACAAGGCCTTGCTCTTGAACTGCTCTGCCAAACACAAGCCATTGCATACCCCTCAAAACAACCAGACTGTCGTCCAAGGCTGGCCACCCTGCCTAAAAATCTTGGGTGCGGCCACATTGCTGGCCTCGGAGGCACAGAAACTCACTCTCTACCAACACATTACTATTTCATCTTCCCATAACCTACAGGACCTCATGAGCCATCAATCTCTTCTATCCCTCCCATCATCCTGCTTACACCAGGTACACACCTTATTCATAGGAAACCTTCTAATCACCTTCCAGAAAGGTAAAGCTCTCAACCCTCCCACTCTCCTCCCTGTAAACACCTCTGACTCTGAGCTGTCTCACTCCTGCCTGGACCTCTTAGACTCCCTTTCCTCCCCCTTCCAACACATTTCAGAAGCCCCTTTGCAGGGAACAACTACATGGTTCATTAACGGAAGCTCTTTAAAGGAGCCATGTCCACCATGTGGTTACAACATCATTGCCAAAATAAACTCTCAGAATCTAATGCTCTCCCACCCCATACTACCTCGCAACAGGCAGAACTACCTCTCAACAGATAGAGTTGGTTGCCCTAACCAGGGCCCTCACCCTAACAAAGGGAAAGAGGGTTAACTTTTACACTGATTCCTGGCCCGGCGTGGTGGCTCACGCCTGTAATCCCAGCACTTTGGGAGGCCGAGGCGGGCGGATCACGAGGTCGGGAGATCGAGACCATCCTGGCCAACACGGTGAAACCCCATCTCTACTAAAAATACAAAAATTAGCTGGGCATGGTGGCGGGCACCTGTAGTCACAGCTACTCTGGAGGCTGAGGCAGGAGAATTGCTTGAACCCAGGAGGCGGGGGTTGCAGTGAGCCAAGATTGTGCCACTTACTCCAGCCTGGGTGACAGAGTGAGACTCCATTACAGGAAAAAAAAACATTTACACCAATACCAAATATGCATACCACATCCTACATTCTCACACCTTAATCTGGCAGGAAAGGGGATTTCTAGCTAAAAAGAACCCCCATAGTAAATGGCAAACTCATACACAAGCTGGTGGAGGCAGCTAAACTACCACTACAGGCCACCATTATCCATTGTAAGGGACACCAAAAGGCTACAAATGCCATAACCAAGGGAAATCTTTTAGCAAATTAGGCAGCCCGGCAGGCAGCCCTTAAACCCCATCATTATTGCCCAGTTTTCCCAGCATATACCCTGTATGTACCCAGGAGGAACAAACCTCACTTGCCCTGGCTGGTGCCATTCAGGAAAAAATGGTTCTACCTCAGTGCTAAAATTGTCTTGGCCAAATTTTAAAAACCTTCTGGGCCGGGCATGGTGGCTCACGCCTGTAATCCCAGCATTTTGGGAGGCTGAGGCGGGAGGATCACCTGAGGTCAGGAGTTCAAAACCAGCCTGGCCAACATGGTGAAACCCCATGTCTACTAAAAATACAAAAATTAGCCGGACATGGTGGCAGGCGCCTGTAATCCCAGCTACTCAGGAGGCTGAGGCAGAGAACTGCTTGAACCCAGGATGGAGAGGATGCATTGAGCCGAGATCGTGCCACTGCACTCCAGCCTGGGTGACAGAGCAAGACTCTGTCTCAAAAAAAAAAACCTTCTGTACTTTTATATGTGCACAACCATTTCCATGCTGGTTGCCTCCCCCTACTTCAGCTCTTAAAAACATATACATTCTCCCACCATGGCTGCCAATCTCAAAGATATTACTAAGGCATGTTCCCTTTGCACTCAGACTTCCCCTCAGAAAGCTATCAAATCACCCCCTTTCCCCACACACCAGGCCTGAGGACACCTGCCAGGGCAGGACTGGGAAATCGCCTTCACCTGCATGCCCCCTGTAAAATGAGTCCAGAACCTTCTGACAATAGTAGATACACTGGATGGATAGAGGGGTTTCCTACCACCACTACTACTACTACTGAAAAGCCACACTGTTGCTTCTATTCTCCTCACACATATTATCCCCCGGTTTGGACTCCCCTCTTTCATCCAGTCAGACAACGGGCCAACATATGTTTCACAGGTTAGCCAACAGCTGGCAAAGGCTCTAAACATTAAATGGGCCTTCCATATTCCTTATTGACCCTCATCTTCAGGTAAGATTGAATGGTCCAATGCCCTTCTAAAACAACAATTATCCAAACTCTCCCTAGAGGTTAAAATGGCCTAAACTTTACTACTCCCCATGGCCCTCATGCATTTATAAGCCATTCCTCACAAGCCCCTCAGCATAAGCCCATTTGAACATATGTATGGATGCCCCTTTATCCTCCAAAATCTCCCTGTATCTCCCCGCCCTTCTGCATGGGGTACTTGGCCAGCATTACACCTCACTCACCATCTAATAGACAGTACACTAACGCTTACTTGCCGCCGCCTGAAAGTCCATCCTCAAAACACTCCTCCCTGTCCCTACAACCAGGGGGGACTGGGTCTGGATCACAGACCCCTCCTCCTCCCCTCTCCTACCAAAGTGGACGGGTCCTCACCAGGTTATTCTAGCTACTCCCACGGCAGCAAAGCTAACACCCTTCCCACACTGGATACACAATTCCAAACTAAAAAAACCTCCAGATTCACATCCAGAAAATTTCTCCCCCCACAAAAACTATTCTTCCTCCCTCACAGGACCAACCTCACTGCGCTTAACAAGGGTGCAGAAGTTGCCTATCCAGAAGGCCCTGGTCCGTAACACTCTCTGCCTCCAATTTCAAATATTTTATCTCATACCTTGTTTCAGATCTTTCCCTCCCCACGTCCCTGGATACTCCACTCGAATTCCTCACATCAATCCAGGAGCTATGGCTACAGGGTACCTTTCAGAATTTCACTCCTACTCAAATTGCCTTTTTTCATTTTGTCCTTTGTGGGATATGCTAAGTCCTCACCCCCAACCTCTGGCAGTCGGGCCCCTTCATCAGCCTCACACATTTCTCTTAAATCAGTCACACTCCCCTCTTTCTTCCAACTGTAAATTTGTTTGTCCACACAAATCCAGCAGTTCACAGCCCTTCCTGTTAATCTAACTGCAGAAACTTGGCCCAAAATAAACCTGCATCTCACCTACTTGGCCAATTCATTCCCAAAACCTGTTTATAATCTTGTTCGGCTAAACACCTTTCCCCGCAATCCATCATATCCACCCACACCGTCACACACAGGGCTGTCACTCTCCTTTGCCTCTTAACATCTAAACATGTTACAAGTTGGATTCCATAGAACACCTCTTATCAACCCCTCCCCTCTCTGCCAGCACTGCTCTCCGTGTAACCAACTCAAGGGCGCTCCCTGGAAAAAATGCACACACAATTCCCTCAGCTGCAACCTATATCCTTCTGCCCTACCCGTACTGCAGTAGCTACTTGTTAACGAAAACCTATTTCTGTCTCTCTCCAAAACCAAACAGCCTTCACCTCCTCCCCCACCAACATCCCCTATCCGGCCCTCACAGGGGTTACCCTTGTTAACAGCTATTCAACCTGGAAAAACAAAAAGTTGGAACAAAACCTTTGTCCAGGATTCACCCCTGATCTTCTCATAGCTCGCTACCTTCACTTACAACTTTTGCCTGCCAACCCCCCCAACCCCCCTTTTCTTTCTGTATGAAACAAACTTATCTTTGTCTGCCGGCAGGTGGGTTACAAACATACACCCTGGTGTTTCAATCTCCAAACGTTGACATTTTGCCTAACAACCAAACCATTGAGGCTCTCCCTATTTCCTCCTCCTCCGAGCACGCTAAGCCAGCTCTACATCTCCTTCTTCTGGTAACAGGATTAAGCCTCTCTGTCGCACTTGGCACCACAATGGCGGGTCGGGTGTATCAGCCTCAGCTGCCTTATATAGATATATAAATCTCTGCAGTCCTCTTGACATGCCTACTTCCATCACAAGCCTCCAAAGGCAGGTAGGTTCCCCTGTGGGAGTTGTTCTCCAGAACCGAAGGGCCGTAGACCTGTCAGCCACTGAGAAGGGGCGCACATGTGTGTATCTCTAAGAAGGAGGCTGTTTAAATGTTCACGAATACGGCACTGTTTGAGACACAGCCCGCAGGCTCCGAGACGGGTCTGCAGAAATCCAACATCAAGCCACTAACTCTTAGAGGCAGGGGTCATCCCTCCTAAAGTGGATGCCTTGGGTAACCTCTTCTTAGGGCCCCTAATTTTCTTCTTCCTAACAGTTGGCCTGTGTGTACTCACCTTCATATCCCACTTCACCTCCCAAAGGCTGAACTCCCTTGTCCAGGCAGCCACCCAGAAAGACACTGATACCATCCCACTCCGCCAAGTCCAGTATCAGCGCCGCCAGGAAAGCAACTCAGAAGTCAGACACCCACTGCTTCAAAACCCAAACCCTGATTACAGCACCACTATTCAGCAGGAAGCAGCCAGATAATCAACAACCACGCTCTTCCCTTTATATTAAAGTAGAAGGTGGCCAGGCGCGGTGGCTCACGCCTGTAATCCCAGCAGTTTGGGAGGCTGAGGCAGGCAGATCACTTGAGGTCAGGAGTTTGAGACCAGCCTGGCCAACATGGTGAAACCCCATCTCTACTGAAAATACAAAAATTAGCCGGGTGTGGTGGCGGCCACCTGTAGTCCCAGCTACTCAGGAGGCTGAGGCAAGAGAATCGCTTGAACCCGGGAGGCAGAGGCTGCAATGAGCCAAGATTGCACCACTGCATTCCAGCCTGGGCGACAGAGTGAGACTCTGTCTCGAAAAAATAAAAAAAGTATAAAGCAAGAATGTTAGTCCAACCTGCACAATTTTGTAAGTCCCCCACCATTTCGCAGACCTTGGTCAAAATGAAACATTCCACGGGGGTTTGGGTGGTGAGAAACAGCCTGCCTCTTATATTCTGCTGGGAGAAAGTGCAAAGAACACCACATTCTGCCGGAACAAGGGCCAGAACCACCTCATCCTAAGAACACATTATCAACATTTTCCCAGGAAGCAGGCCATGACCCCCTGCCCCGACCCCTCCCACTCAGGCCTATAAATTGCCCCAGCCTGTAAGCGGCAATGGGCTCTGGGACTAAGCTGGTCGCCCATCTCCACAGGTTTTTGCAATATACCTGTGTTGCTGTTAAGCCACCCTCTGTCTCTGTGTGTGTGTCATTCTTTAACCCTCATCTTCCCTTCAAAACCCAACATCACCCAGGCTGGAGTGCAGTGGTGCAATCTCAGGTCACTGCAACCTCCACCTCCTAGGCTCAAGCAATCCTCCCACCTCAGCCTCCCAAGTAGCTGGGACTAGAGGCACGTGCCACCATGCCCGGCTAATTTTTTTGTATTTTTTGTAGACACAGGGTTTTGCCATGTTGCCCAGGCTGGTGTCAAACTCCTGGACTCAAGCCATCCTCCTGCCTCAGCCTCCCAAAGTGCTGGGATTTCAGGTGTGAGCCACCACACCCAGCCAGTTCTAATTCTTACCAGTTCAGAGAACCCTGGTTCCCATGGGTCTTTCTTCCTGAAAAGAAACTCAGAAGGAAGTGGTTAGTTGGATTAGCTACAGTCTTCATCACTGGAACTGGTCTCAGGGCTGAAATGTTCTCTTCTTTTCTGTTCATTACTCATCCTGAAATTACCTCAACTGTCAACACAGTGGACCTCGGTGGGTCCCTGGGTTTGAGAAGCTCAAATGTCCTTGTAGCAACTGTAGCTTATTCAGTGGGATCCTTGCTGTGTGCTCCTGGGGAACTGGACCTCCAACCCTACAAAGTCTAGAACCATGTAGAGAGGAAACACAAAATCTCCCAGTAGGTTATGGGAGAGTCTGGGTGAATTGGGCCACTCCTGCTTCAAATCTTAGTTTCCCAGACTCATGTGTTCTTTCTGTTGGGAACACAGCACCATAAAAAGTATCCAAATTAATGCATGGCATCCCAAAGGATGGTGCCATCCTTTCAGAGCAGAGCATCCAAGCTGCTGCTTCAGCTGAGCCTCTAGAAGGCCAGTGCAGAGTTGCATGAGGCTGGCTGCTACAATACAGGTGGGTCCCATTAGGATGCCGCTGTGTGAGGATTCATGCCTCTGAATGAAGCAACCTAAGCCCCAGACAATGGTGTGGGCTGAGGCTCTGTAGGAAAGGCCAGCTGGTACCTGAAATAGGCATCCATCTGTGTGAGAAAAAACTGCCAGCCTTTCCAGGATAGAAAGGGCATGGCATCAACTCTGT
The DNA here is from genome assembly GCF_000001405.40 of Homo sapiens. Classification (NCBI taxonomy): domain Eukaryota; kingdom Metazoa; phylum Chordata; class Mammalia; order Primates; family Hominidae; genus Homo; species Homo sapiens. The sequence goes on along the minus strand of NC_000008.11, from coordinate 144,857,805 downwards.
TATGGACAATTTGGACATCCAGAGGTGGCAGCTGCCAGACAGGCCCTGGTAAGGGAGTTCATGCTCCTCCTGCCTCGGCCTCCCAATGTGCTGGGATTACAGACACGAGTCACTGCGCCTGGCAGCGTGAGACCCAGGGTGAAGGAGGTCTTCCATATGGAGTCTTTATTTTTGTCACCAGGGTCACCCCTTTCATGTTCCAGAGTGGCTGACAGTGAGGACTGGTGTCCACTGGTGAGTTATTTTGTCTGCTTGGTTGTTCCGTGCCTCATGTGTGCTGGATGCCTTGGTGGGCACTGATATGTGCGAACACCTCCCCACTCTGTGCCCCTCCTTTGTGTTCACCACTGCCTCAGCCCAGACCTGGTCTGCAGGCTCCTTTTCCTTCTGGCCCCCCCAGAAGGTGGGGACACAAGGCCACTGCCCAGAAGTCTGGGCATTCTCACCTCAGGCCACTTCTGCTTGCAGATGGTGGGGTGACCGGGCATGCCGCCTGCAGTTCTGCCCACTGGGAAGGTTTTCCTTCCCACCCTTGAAAGTGGCAGTAACACAGCTGCTGTGTGCCATGCAGTGAGCCCATCCATCTGCAAATCACACTCCTTCAGCCACACAGGAACCCTCTGCAGCTGTAGGCTTGAGCTGCATTTTATGTGTGCCATGCACTGAACCCATCCATCTACAAATCAAACTCCTTCAGCCACGCAGGAACCCTCTGCAGCCATAGGCTTGAGCTGAGGGAGGCATGTGGGCTAGACTGCCTGCTCCCTCAGCTCACTCTGGCACTCTGGCCCTGCATGGACGCCGTCCTGGCCATGCCATTGCCACCTTCTGATGGATGCTGCTGGGCTGCCTGACTTCATGCCTGGGGAGGCCTGACAGAGCTCAGCTCACACTGGGAAGTGTGGATGCAGGGCCATTTGGGGGTCCCATGGACAAGTGTTCTATTCTCTGCTGCAGGTGGTGCAGACTTGCTCTGGGATCCTGGGGCCTGCGTGGCCATCCTTGCACCTTTCAAATGCTTGCATCATTGTCCCTTGCACAGACTCCCTTCTGCTGAGACATTTTGTCAGGTCATGAGGGAAAGCTTAGCAGTGAAGCCACCACCTTGTGCCAGGGACCGTCAGTGCCCCACCTCCTAACCAGAACAGCACCCTCTTCACCTGCAGACAGTGGGTGGGCCAATCCCAAATGTCCATCTGATCACCAGTTTTCTCAAGCTGCTTCTGGCCCATTTGTGTTGGTCTGGGTCCTCCAAGAAGAAGACACCAAGATTAAGGATACAAACGTCGTGTTCAGAGAAATGTCTGGGGTAGAAAATAGTGAGGTAACCAGGAAGATGGAGGGGCCATCAGATGGCTTCAAGCTTGACACCAAGTGGAGAGAAGTTTGGGTGGAAGTGTCTCAGGCAGCTCTGCGGTGATGCCTTCCCACCGCAGCTGACAGTTGGAGAATGACATTGGTTTGTGCCATTACTTGTGGTTTTGTCTTAGATCATTTGACCAGGGTGCTGTTTGCCTGGTTTGTCTCCTGTGAAGTTACCTTATTCCCCTTTGTAATTAATAATAATTACATTGCATGGTGATGTTTTGACACTGTGTAAACATCCTGAGCCTCATGCCCTGGAGACACCTGGCTTTCACAGGTATTGGTGCTTCTTGCCTGAGTTACCACCATGGTGGCTGCTGTGGCTGACTGAGGATGCCACAGGTTCTTTGGCCTCCCTCCCTTTGAGAGCAGGAGCAATATCTTCAATGTCTTCTTGAATCTGGGCAGGCTCAGTCACTGCCTTGACCAAGAGAATGATGATAATTTGAGAAAAAATTTCCAAAAGGACTGCATATAAACATTAAACTTCAGGGTCCTGAAAGTCCAGGAGATGGAGAGGCTGTTCTAGACTGAAGGAGACAAGAAACAGGACAAGTGGGTGCAACTTGTGACCCTCGGCCGATTCCTGATGCTCTGAGGGATTGCTCCGCAGTAAGCAGGTCACACAAACCTACCCCCAAAGGCCAAGGGAGCTGAGAGGCTGAAAAAAGAGGCTGACAAATGGAGTTTCTCCAAAAGAAACATTTACTAGAAACTTATGAACAAAGTAGTATCTCGGGCAGCCACAAGACAGTGGATCCCTGCACCTGCCCCCCAGAAAGCATCCTTTATATAGCAAGCTTTTTGGTAAAAACATGTGCAGCTGGTGATGTCTTAGACTTTCTTGCAAAATTCATGACTGCTGGGGAAGTTAGGTAGCATCTTTCTGAGGGGTTATCAATGCTACAGGCCTTGTGTGAAGACCTTGGTATGCAGGAGTCTAACATCGGCCACCACAGTGATTTTGCTTCGAGATGACACCACTCTTGCCAGGCAACAGGCTCCTTTCCTTCAGAGACATTGCAGGGACACCTGGTGACCCTTGAATGGGGGTCTCTGGGAAGGTGCACTATTCATGCAACCTTTTATCTAAGCTTGAAATTGTTTCAAGCTAAATTAACTTACAAATGTTGATCATAGTAAGGAAGGAGACCACCACTTCTCCTACTGCCCTCCTCTCCCCCTGTCTTGCCTAGTTTATAAGACAGGAGAAATGGGAGAAAACAAAAAGTGAGAAAGAAACAGAAGATAAATAGCCAGATGACCTTGGTGCCATCACCTGGCCCTGGTGTTAATAATATCAACCCCTAACCTAAACTACTTGTGTTATCTGTAAATTCCAGACATTGTATAAGAAAGCATTGTAAAACTTTCTGTTCTGTTAGCTGATGCTTGTAGCCTCCAGTCATGTTCTCCATGCTTTCCCAGTCTATCATAATAACCCTTTCACGTGGACCCTTTAGGGTTGTAAGCCCTTAAAAGGGCCAGTAATTTCTTTTTCGAGGAGCTCAGCTCTTAAGACACAAGTCTGCCAAAGCTCCCAGCCAAATAAAACCCCTTCCTTCTTTAACCCAGTGTCTGAGAAGTTTTGTCTGTGGCTCATCCTGCTACAATAAGATGAGAGTTCTCCAGGCACTCCAGGCACTCTGGCCTTTGGGTGGGAACTGTCTCCAAAACTCACCCCCAGGTTCCTGGCTCTCCTCACTTCAGGAGGGGGTGGGTCTGCCACGTAACCACCGCCCAGACCTCACAAGTGATAGCACTTCACCTTTTTGCTTCAGATATTTTAAAGAGAAATAACACCTTACAGATGCAGTCTCTTTCTAAACTTCCCAGATCCATTCCCTTTAAACAATCCTCCCTCAGCATGGTTTTTAGACTTGATTTGTTTTGTCTTAGAAATGGAGTCTTGCCATGTTCCCCAGGCTGGTCTCAAATTCCTGAACTGAAGTGGTCCTCACTCTGCCTCTCAAATAGCTGGGACTATAGGTTGCCCTCACCTCCTGCTGTGAGGTCAGTTCCTAACAGGCCACTGACCTGTAGCGGTCCACAGCCTGAGGGTTGGGGACCCCTGCTATAGGTGCACACCACCACACCTGTTTTTTTTTTTAATTTTGTAAAAATGAAGCCTTGATATGTCGCCCAGGCTGGTCTTGAACTCCTAGCCTCAAGTGGTCCTCCCACCTAGTCCTCATAAAGTACTGGGATTGTAGGCATGAGCCACTGCACCCAGTCTCCACTCCTATTTATTATTGAACACTATTCCATTGTATGGCTGATGTGGTTTGCATCTGTGTCCCCGCCCAAACCTCATGCTGAAAGGTAATACCCAATGCTGGAGGTGGAGACTGGTGGGAAGTGATTGGATCGTGGGGGTGGCTTTTCATGAATGGTTTAGTACCATGCCCTTAAGTTATGGTCTCATGATAGAGTTCTCCTGAGATCTGGTTGTCCACCTCCGCCTCCCAAAGTGCTGGGATTACAGGCGTGAGCCACCGCACCCAACCTGTCATTTTTATTATAACCCTTCTAATGGTATGAAATGGCACCTCCCCGTGGCTTCCATTCGCATTTCTCTAATAGCCAACAATGCCGAAGGCTTCATGTACCCATTACCCACTTTGTATCTTCCTTGATGTCTACTCACATCTTCTGCCCATTTAATTAGGTTGTTTCCCTTTTCAGAGTTTTTTTTTTTTTTTTAAGTTTTATTGGGCTATAATTCACATACCATATAATTCACCCATTTTGTACAATTCAATGATTTTGGCATATTATTTTTTAACTATGGTAAAGTACATGTTAAATAAAATGGCTCGGCCATTGTTTCGGACCGAGCTCCTGCGCTAGGGCCCAACAGAGCAGCCCAAAGCGGAACCGAGTCACGCGCGCCGGACGCCACCCGACAGGAGGGGAAACGGGGCAGCTCTCAAAACCCTGGAGGCGCAGACCGTCCACACGGGACAGGGACGCCCGCTCGGCTCCGCTCCGCGCTGATCCTCAAGGTCTCGCGGTTTCCCCGCCGCCCACCCGGACGCCGACGAAAGCCAGCGAGCTCCTCAGCCTCAGGTGACTGGAATTCTGACCCCAGACCACGGGACGCGTTCTCCCGCTTTACCCTCACTCTGCGCGGGCGGGGAGGGAGACGCGGGCGCAGGCCGCAGTTTCTACCTCAGAAACGGAAACACAACACCGCCTTCTTTTTCTTTGGGGAAAGAAAAAAAAAAAACTGTCTAAGACGAGGTCTGGGACCCCGCCGGCGACCCCCGATTCCCCCGGGCGGGGAGGGGGCGGGACCTGGCGCGGCCTCGGCTCCGCCCCTCGGGCCAGCGGACCACAGTGGGGCGGTCATTGCTGCCTTCCTAGAGCGGCCCGGAAGTGGCTCTCAGGGCGCTTCCGGGGACCAGGCCCGCTTTTGGCTGCATCAGCCGGGGATTGCCGGCGCCAGGTGCTGGGGGCGACTCGGACAGCGGGAGCGTGGGGTGGAGTAGGATGGAGTCTCCCTCCCGAGCTGGGGGTGTGGGCCTAGGAAAGGCTGCTTCGCCGCTGTGTTCGGAGAGCTCTGGATACTGCGGGGCTTTTCCGCGGAGGAGCGCCCGCCGGTAGGTTGGCCCCGAACCGTGGGGGCGGCGACGGCCGAGTGCCAATTTGACTCTGTGCACCAAGGTCCCCGCGCCCCGGAACGGGCGACGCCGCGCCCCCATCAGAGCCGCGGGTACGGAGTCAGGGTGCGAACCCGGCCTTCCAAGCCGCGCGACCGGAAGCGGGCAGCTCGGAGGCCTTCCCGGATGGCTCTTTGGAGTGGGAAGGAGCTCCTGGTGCTGGCGGGACGGTGAAGGAGTTGGCAGTGGGTGGTCGTTGACTCCCAGGGAGAATGGGGCGCCGTGAAGCCCGTGGGGAGCTCCTGGGCTCCCCCAGCGCTGTGCAGAGTGGCCTGACAAGTGCCTCGAGGACAGGAGCTGTGCCCCGCTGAGCTCTGCTCCAGTACCTGGTGTGCTGAGGTGGGCACGTGCGTTTCCTCTGGCATAGCAGGTGCTTGTGCTGCTGCACTGCTCCTTCAGGTGCGTCGGAACCCTCTTTAGTTGCCGCACTTGCCTCTGTTGCCAGCCGTTGCTCAGCTCTTCCAGCCCGGGGGTTGGGGCTGTGGTGGAAACAGCTGGGACTTCTGAATAGACAGGTCTAGGCTTCAGTCCTTGACTTTGGCAGCTGTGTTTAGAGCTTTGATTTCTTTTTACTTTTCTTTTCTTCTTCCCTGCCTCCCCTCCCTCCCCCCTCCCTCCATTCGTTCGTTCCTTCCTTCCTTCCTCACAGCATCTCTGTTGTCCAGGCTGGAGTGCAGCGGCTCGATTTCGTCTCACTGCAGCCACGACTTCCTGGGCTCAAGGGATCCTCTGTCCTCTCAGCCTTCTGAGTAGCTGGGACTACAGACGTGCACCACCACGCCTGGCTAGTTTTTTAAATTTTTTGTAGAAACGGGGTCTTGCTATGATGCCCAGGTTGGTCTCCAACTCCTGGGCTCAAGCGATCCGCTGGCCTCACCTTCACAAAGTGCTGAGATTTCAGGCTTGAGCCACTGCACCTGGCCTAGAGCCTTATCTCCCTCTCTGTCAGGTGAGAATGGTAATTCTTCTTGCCCACTGTTGTGAAGGATTCAAGATTGAATAGTTAAATGGTCTCAGTGTGGTCTGTGGCGCCAGCTGCAGTGTCCCTGTGTTCCCCGGACCGTTCCCCTAGTTCATTCTTTCATCTATTAATTTACTTGGAGAACTTGTGCTGTTTCCTGGTCCTCCTCCCTGCCCCCTACTTCTCTGCCAATTCCTGCTTGTCCTTCATGCCTTAGATGTCACTTCCTCTGGGAGGCCTCCGCTCCTCCTGGGACTGACATGGACCCCTCTGCCACCTGCTTCCAGGGCCATCTCCGCAGCACTGACTGTCATTGGTAGTTCACACTGTCAGCATGCTGATGATGGGGACCATATCAACCCTCACTCGCTGGCCCAAAGGATGTGAGAGTCACTGGTCTTCTCTCCTCCACCCCACTCTAGGCATCTGCATCTGGGACCGACCTCCTGGGCTGGCTGATCAAAGAGGAAGCAGCAGCAATGTCTGCTGTGGGGGCTGCAACTCCATACCTGCATCATCCTGGTGATAGTCACAGTGGCCGAGTGAGTTTCTTGGGGGCCCAGCTTCCTCCAGAGGTGGCAGCAATGGCCCGGCTACTAGGGGACCTAGACAGGAGCACGTTCAGAAAGTTGCTGAAGTTTGTGGTCAGCAGCCTGCAGGGGGAGGACTGCCGAGAGGCTGTGCAGCGTCTTGGGGTCAGCGCCAACCTGCCGGAGGAGCAGCTGGGTGCCCTGCTGGCAGGCATGCACACACTGCTCCAGCAGGCCCTCCGTCTGCCCCCCACCAGCCTGAAGCCTGACACCTTCAGGGACCAGCTCCAGGAGCTCTGCATCCCCCAAGACCTGGTCGGGGACTTGGCCAGCGTGGTATTTGGGAGCCAGCGGCCCCTCCTTGATTCTGTGGCCCAGCAGCAGGGGGCCTGGCTGCCGCATGTTGCTGACTTTCGGTGGCGGGTGGATGTAGCAATCTCCACCAGTGCCCTGGCTCGCTCCCTGCAGCCGAGCGTCCTGATGCAGCTGAAGCTTTCAGATGGGTCAGCATACCGCTTTGAGGTCCCCACAGCCAAGTTCCAGGAGCTGCGGTACAGCGTGGCCCTGGTCCTAAAGGAGATGGCAGATCTGGAGAAGAGGTGTGAGCGCAGACTGCAGGACTGACCCCTCACTTGACCAGTCCCATTCAGATCCGGCTTGGACAGGCACCTGAGATGGTGCCAAAGTGCAGCTGACTCTTCCCACGACAGCCCTGCCCTTCCCATGAGGCAGGCTCTTCAGTGAGTGTTTGAACGTAATTATGTAGTTTTCTGTTTAATTGAAAAAGAGAGCTATGCCTTTTTTTCTTTTTGGAAGTAAAGCAGCTAAAAACATGTTTCTATAGGTGAGTGTTGGACCTCACACCCTCCCCTTCCCTGTACATTTGTCTTTGGTGCTGGACGTGGCCATGTGAGGCCAGGTTGAGGCCCTTTGTAGACAACATACAGTTGCTCAGCCTGGCCCCATGTAGCCAGGTGCTTTTGTAGATCTTGTGTTTTAGGTTGGGCATTTTCACTCTTCTGCCTTAAATCCCTGACCCCATGGAGCTGACATTCTAGTGCGGCTGAGGGGAGGGGAAACATTGTAAAATAAATCATAAAAATTAACTGGAATAGCTCATCAGAGGATGGCGTGTGATGCAGCAAGTAGGGTGGGGTCTGCGTGCTGATGGGGCGACCTTCCTTGAGGGTGTGACATCTGAGCGAGGACTTGAAGGAGCCGGGGGCACAGCGCTCTGAGGGGAGCAGCACAAGGTGGGGAGGACGGGGCTCAGGCGGCCAGTGTGGGGAGGCCTGACGTGCTTAAGGCCCGCCTGGCTGCAGCCAAGCAGGTGGAGATCATTGTGGGGAGGCGACGTTGGGGAGGGTACAGAGGTCAAGGCCTGAGAGCCTTTTAAGGACTTTGGCTCAATTCTGAGTGACAGAGGAGCCCTTCTGAGGGTTTTCAGCAGAGGAGAGACGTGATCTGGTGATTGGCTGCTGTGTGGAGGGGTGCAAGGGAGGAGGCTAGAGCCCAGCAGAGAGGCTGTCACCAGGGTGGAGTTGGTGGCAGGGACCTCTCCCGGGTGCCTCTAGGGCAGGTGTGTGCAGGGGTTGTAGCCAGCTTTGCAGCTTCCAGCATAACTGTGTTCCAGGAGGGGCCTTGGTGCTCGGTCTCTGCAGAGCCATTTTCGGTCAGCTGGCTTCCAGCTGACTGTTCCTGCCTCCGTGGAGCACTTCTGGACCATGTCTAGTCTGTTCTCTGCTGAGAAACCTCCCCTTGTCTTTGAGTGCCTGGGGTTGCTTGGCTGTTTGTCTTGTCTGCAGTTTTTGGGTTGTCTCCTCCACTAGCCTGGATTTCTTCCTCATCCCTCCATGGGCAGTTCTGACATGTCAGGGTACAGAGGAGTACCTGGGGGTGGGGTCAGTAGACTCTGGGAGGAGCCCAGGTGCCCTCTAAGGTGCATGCTTGTGGGTCCTGCCATCTGGTCGATCACTCAGCTTTGTCCCACCCTCACTGAGTTCCAGGTAAAGCCCTTCTCTCTCCCCGAAGGCACTGTCCCCCCACTGTCATCGGATCAGGAATATGACCAGCCACTTCCTGCATTCTCTGTCCCCAGATGTGGATGGGGCTGGGGCAGCTGGGACCATGTTGCCTTTCTCACTCACTGGCCCTGGCCCTGCAGGAACAGCAGCTTTAGGGACAGCCCCATCCTTCTGCTTCTCCCAGCTGCTTAGCAAAGCCTGTGTGGAGCCCAGAGCATGGACCTGCCCTCGGTCCTCAGGCTGACCTCTCGCCGTCTCTCATTGGGAATCTGTGTTTGCCTCAATTCATCTGTGAACCCTTGGGCTTGTCTCAAGCGGGGACCCAGGCAAATCAAGACACAGCCATGAAAAGACAGCTTATGAGACACAGGCAGGGGAGTGGGCCATTCCTGGGACTGGGGCTGGCACTGCCCGAGTATAGGGGATTGAGGGATGGGGGATCAAGTGCAGGGACAGCGGCTGGCCTCAAGGCCACACACAGGATTTTGGTCATTCCACTGGGGCAAGGGGGAGCAGTGGGGTTTTAATCAGGGCAGACATGATCCAGTTGGACTTGAGATCCCTACAGCGTGGAGCAGACTTAGAGGCCACTTCCTCTGACTCAGCAGTGAGCAAACTCTTCCCACAAAGGGCCAGAGAGTAAACATTTTAGATTTTGTGGGCCATGAAGTTTCTGTCCACCCTGCCATGGTGGCTTGAAAGCAGTCACACAATACGTAAACAAATGTATATGGCTGTGTTCCAATACCATCTTTTTTTTTTTTTGAGACGGGAGTTTCACTCCTGTTGCCCAGGCTGGTGTGCAGTGGCACGATCTCGACTCATTGCAACCTCTGCCTCCCAGGTTCAAGCAATTCTCATGTCTCAGCCTCCCAGGCAGCTGGGATTACAGGCATGAGCCACCGAGCCTGGCCTCCAATGATATTTTTTTAATGGATATTGAAATTTTCCTTTTTTTTTGAGACAAGGTCTCCCCATCATCCAGTCTGGAATGCAATGGCACGATCATGGCTCACTGTAGCCTCAACCTCCTGGGCTCACAGGCACACCACACCACACCCGGCTAATTTTCAGATTTTTTGTAGAGATGGGGTTTTGCCACGTTGCCCAGGCTGGTCTTGAATTCCTGGGCTCTGGTGATCTGCCCACCTCGGCCTCCCAAAGTGCTGGTTTTACAGCAATGAGCCACCACACCCAGCCATGAAATTTTAATTTCATGTGTCACAAAGTATTTTTTTCCATTGAAAAACCATTCTTAGTCCAGGCATGGTTGGCGCCAACCCCATGAGCCCACTGGACCCCTCCAGTACAGAGCACCTGTCCATCCTTGTCAGTGGCCAGTCTCCATTAGACCTGGACTCCAGGGCAGAGGCCAGCCCTGTCCATCTTTGTCCCCGTGGCTTGCACAAGGCCTTGCACAGAGAACGGATGTCTGCATCTGGGAAATTACTCCCTTGGTTTTCTTGGCCTTAGTTCTCTGTGGAAACTTGCTGGTGATTTCCCTCTCCTGTGGCACTGTCCTGAGCTCAAAGCCTGGATGCCTCCCCACCTGCATCACTCACTCATTCAGCAAACATTTCTGGGGCTCTGAGTCAAGCTGCATGCACTGGGGACTTGAGGATTTATAAAATGGCCTGGACCCGGCCCTTGCTCTGCTTCACTTTGTGAAGCTTCCAGAAAGGTCCAGATAGTTTCAATTCAGTGTCATAAATGAAAGATTATTCTGATAGTTGAGATAAAAAGCAATTCCAGGCCTAGGTTATAGATTTAATTTATTGTCTCCAAAACAGAAACCCAAAATGTTTTTATTTATATATTGTGGAGACAGGGCCTCACTCTGTCACCCAGGCTAGAGTGCAGTGGTGCGATCACAGCTCACTGTGGTCTCCGAACTCCTGGGGTCACGTGATCCTTCCTTGGCCTCTCAAAGTGCTGGAATTACAGGCGTGAGCCACCGTGCCTGGCCTGGAAACTCTTTAGATGAGCTTACCGAAGCCCGAATTGCAGTGCAGTGTGAACAGGTTAACAGGATATTCTAGCACCTGCACTACCCCATGAGCAGCCCCTCTTCCTCTCCCTCTCCACAAAAGAACCACCAGCCTGTGTGCCAGGGGCCACCTGGATGCTTCCATGTGATACTCAGATCTCAAAGCTGTGCAGTAGCTTGAATTTAAGTCATGTGCTCACACCCTTGGCTCTCAGCAAGCTGCCCCATGGACATGATGTGTCATTTCCACATCGTGCAGCTAGAAGAGGACTCCTCCTCAGCTCGGCATGGTGGCTCACGCCTGTCATCCCAGCACTTAGGGAGGCCGAGGCGGGCGGATCACGAGGTCAGAAGATCGAGACCAGCTGGCTAACACAGTGAAACCCCGTCTCTATTAAAAATACAAAAAAATTAGCCGGGCGTGGTAGCAGGCACCTGTAGTCCCAGCTACTCGGGAGGCTGAGGCAGGAGAATGGCGTGAACCCAGGTGGCGGAGCTTGCAGTGAGCCGAGACCGCACCACTGCACTTCAGCCTGAGGGACAGAGCGAGATTCCGTCTCAAAAAAAAAGAAGACTCCTCCTCCCATCCCTCCGTGGCTAATATCTAACCTGGATTGTTGGACTTTAGGTTTACTTCTATTGAACTGACCCAGCTGCCTTATTCTCAGTTGTACCGTGACATTTAGGTAAAGAAACCACTAAGGGCTGAGAGGAAAAATAATCCTTCAGTGGCTGGAGGGCATGAAGTCATTTTCCAAGTTCAAGGTGACTTGGCTGGTGTGGTAAACACTGCTGCAGCAAGAAAGCCGCCAGAGGCTCCATGAAGACGCTTGGGCATCACCAAGCCCAGGGACACTGTGCACAGTCAAATTCGATTTTAACATAGTTTTCAAATGTCACAAGTCTCTTATTTTCTCCCCAACCATTCAGAAATGTAAAAAGCTACGAATGGTTTGCCAGCCCCTGACTTAGGACCATGTCAATCCAGAGAGAATCCAGGTGCTGAAGCAGAATGAAGCTTGCACCCCAGCCCCTTTTTGGCTGGTTGCTGTTAGTGAAAAGAACACAGCATTATGGTTAGCACAGAATCTGGAATTTTCAGACCATCCATATGGCTGACGTTCCCCTCCTTCTGTCCTGATCATGAACCAGGAAGTGGCCAAGAGGAGATGACGAGAGCCCAGGAGGAGGCAGGGTCAGTCTTTGTGAGCAGTGTTTTGGAAGGCCAGGAACAGGAGTTGCAGGCGGTGCATGTGGGTGCCTTGGCTCTTGTCCCATGGTTGGGCGGCCCAGAAAGCCTGAAGTAGAGAAAAAGCAACAGCAACCCCTGTGCTAGACCTGAAGGTGACCACCTGGCTAAGCACATTACCTGCCAAGACCCTTCTCAGCAGCCACGTGACGCAAGGCAGGGACACTGCACACATACTCCACGTGCACAGAAGTTCCGGTGTGAGTAGGGCATGGCTGGAGAAGAGGCAGTTACAGTGGATGCACTGACTCCATGGCTGTGGAGAGCACCATCACCCTTGTACACCGGGAGGAGCCCCTGAAGAGGCAGGTGGGAGGTCACCAGTCAGGAGTTCCAGGTTCCCCCTGAATGACAAGGACTGTGGAGACAGGGTTGAGGTCTTACAGTTGGCCTCATGCCTGTGAATATCAGCCTTAATTAGATGCTGTGTGAGAAAATCAAATGGACAAGGTCCCAGCCTGTTAGATTAGGGTTGAGCAGCAGATTCACGTGAAAATTCAATTTCAGCAAAAAAGCATCAGGCCTTGAGCAAGCCACCTGCCATCAGCCACGCCTCCCTCCATGTTCCTGCATGTGCCAAGAACCCCACCGTGCTCCACCTGGGCCACTTCTCAAGGTTGTGTCAGCAGCAAAAAAAAAACTGAGGGGTGAGGTAATGGCCCCCCAGCTCCCAACAGAGCAGGCTCACTCCTCACCTCCGAGTTTCTCAGCTGTGCCTGCACCTGCTGGGCCTCTGCGTCATGGGAATGGTGGGCAAAAGGAACTGATAGGGCCCTGACAACCACAGTGAGTATTCTGCCTGCCGTCCCCTCCTAGGTGGAATGGCCACAGGATTTCTCGTGAGCTTCTACAAAGAATGAAATCTCAGACCCTCAGTTCTTGGCAGTCTTTCAGGCTGAGTTTTAAGGAAAGCTGTCCCGCACCATAAATTACATCCAGACCTGTGTGGCCTCCCCTGTAAAGTAAGGCAATTGGGGTTCTCCTCCCTGACCCTGCCCCTGTTTCTCCTCCCATCTGTCCTTTCACCCTGTGGTCTGCTGGTCTACCCCCACTGCAGCTCAAGTTCTTTTCCCTACCATCGTTTTTCCCCACTTCCTCTCCCTAAGTTCTCCCCAGAGTCCTCTTTCCCCACTCCCTCTCCACCTTCTTCCTAACCCACTCTCACCCCAAGTTCTTCACTCAACCATCTTTTCTTCCCAGTATCTTCTTTCCCCACTCCCTCTCATCACCCCTTCTCAGGTTCTTCTCCCCATATTTGTTTCCCAACCACCTTCTTTCCATCCCATTTTCGTTTTTTTTTTTTTTTTTTTTTTTTTTTGATACAGAGTCACACTCTTGTCACCCAGGCTGGAGTGCAGTGGCGTGATCTTGGCTCACTGCAAGCTCTGCCTCCCAGGTTCACACCATTTTCCTGCCTAGCCTCCCAAGTAGCTGAGACTACAGGTGCCCGCCACCACGCCCGGCTAATTTTTTGTATTTTTAGTAGACACGGGGTTTCACTGTGTTAGCCAGGATGGTCTTCATCTCCTGACCTCATGATCCACCCACCTCGACCTCCCAAAGTGCTGGGATTACAGGCGTGAGCCACCACGCCCGGCCCATTTTCGTCTTTTTCTCCACTGTCTTTATTTCCTCCTCACCGCGTTCCCCCCTACCAAAAAAAAGTGGGGCAACTAGGCCAGTACAAGACAGTCATCAGCCTCAGGGCCTGTGCGCACACGGGTGTGCTGGAGATGCTGGCATGGATGGGGGGGTTGGTACTTGCATTTGCTTGAGTGCTCGTTCTCTGACAGGCCCAGTAAGGCATGTTTCTCTACATTGTTTCCTCTCAGTACCCTCTCACAGTGCATGTTTTCAGATACACAAATAAGGCTCTGAGTTTCAGGGAGGGCAATGATGTCCTAGGTCACACAGCAAGCCCCTGGGACACAAGTGTGACCTCAGAACCTTGCTGTGACACCTTGCTTCTGTGCCTGGCACTGGTATGTGCTCCATAAATGCCAACCACACCAGTAATGATGGCGTGTACCTGCTAGCCCAGCCTGCCTCTCTGAGGAAGGGGATAGGGCTGGGCCCTCTGGTCCTGGGTGGCTGGGTTAAGTTCTAAGACAAGGACCTAATTTGAAGTTGGAATTCTAGGCACTCCTGGACCTCCTCCAACATGAGCTAATGCATTTCCGTATTGTTGAAGCCAGTGTGAGCCACTGATACTTAAGGGAAAAGAGTTTAGGTAAATTATTTTAACCTACTCAGTCTAGCAGCGCTCGTAGAGCCCTCCTTGTGCTGCTTCCTCATTCACAGGGACCTGTCAACTCAAAACTGCAGACTGCACCCTGATTTTGAGGGACACAGGCTTTATTGAACAGGTTAAGGTCAAACATTTCAGGAAATAAACATACATTTTGTATGAAGTTGGATTTTTTTTTTTTTTTTTTTTTTTGAGAGGGAGTCTCACTCTGTCACCCAGGCTGGAGTGCAGTGGCGCGATCTCAGCTCACTGCAAGCTCCGCCTCCTGGGCTGATGCCATTCTCCTGCCTCAGCCTCCCGAGCAGCTGGGACCACAGGTGCCTGCCACCACGCCCAGCTAAATTTTTGTATTTTTAGTAGAGATGGGGTTTCACCTGTTACCCAGGATGGTCTCAACCTCCTGACCTCGTGATGTGCCCGCCTTGGCCTCCCAAAGTGCTGGGATGACAGGCATAAGCCACCACACTCGGCCTGAAGTTGGATATTCTTGAGAGCAATTCTGAACCTTTACCAACATTCTACATGTTTGTCAGTATAAACGATTCCATATAAAATAAGTAAGTTAAGGCTATAGGTTTATTCACATATATACACATTTATATGTAAGTGGTCTATCCCATGTGAATTTTTTGATGCTGGGTAAGCCTTGAGCTACGATTAAAAGCTTTGCCACAGTCATTGCATTTATAAGGCTTCTCCCCGGTGTGAATTCTCTGGTGTATAATTAGGTGTGAACGCCACCTAAATATCTTCTCACAGTCTTCACACTGATGCAGTTTCTTTATAGTATTAACCTTTTTACGGCTCACAAAGGTGGACCCTTCCAGGGCATTCCCATATTCGTAAAACCACTGGGCCCTAGTGTGTATTCTCTGGTGTTCAATAAGATATGAGCTCCGGCTGAAGGCTTTTCCACACTCACTGCACTCATAGGGCTTCACCCCTGCATGAATTATCTGGTGTTGGAAAAGGGTTGAGTTTTGACTGAAGGCTTTCCCACATTCATTACATTTATAGGGCCTCTCTCCAGTGTGAACCCTTTGATGTATTGTAAGCTGTGTGCTCATACTGAAGGCTTTTCCGCATTGGAGGCATTCGTAGGGCTTCTCTCCTTTATGGATTCTCTGATGGTAAATAAGGCTGGAACTCTGACTGAAGGCTTTTCCACAGTCATTACACACATAGGGTTTCTCTCCAGTGTGGATTCGCTGATGCTGAATAAGGTGTGAGCCCTGAACAAAGCCTTTGCCACACTCATCACATTTAAATGGTTTTTCTCCAGTGTGAGTTCTCTGATGGCGAATAAGCCGTGAACTACAACCAAAGGCTTTTGTACACTTGTTGCATTTATAAGGCTTCTCTCCAGTGTGAATCAGCTGATGCTGACTCAGGCGAGAGATCCACCTAAAAGCTTTCCCACACTCATCACACTTAAATGGTTTCTCTACAGCGTGAATTCTCTGATGTGCAACAAGGCTTGGACTGTCTGAGGCTTTTAGAATTTGAGCTTTCTCCCCAGTATGCATCCTTTGATGCTGGGCTAGGGTGGAGCTCTGGCTGAAGGCCTTCCCACACTCCTTGCAAGGGTAGGGCCTCTCCCCAGTGTGAGTTCTCTGGTGTCTAACCAGCTGCGACTGCTGGCTGAAGGCTTTCCCACACTCACGACAACCATAGGGCCTCTCTCCTGTGTGGATTCTCTGATGGTGGATGAGGCTTGAGCTCTGACCAAAAGCTTTTCCACATTCCTCACATCTGTAGGGCTTCTCCCCAGTGTGGATTCTTTGATGCTGAATAAGTTTTGAGCTCAGGCGGAAGGCTTTTCCACACTCAGTGCATTTAAAGGGTTTCTCTCCCGTGTGGATTCTCTGATGCTGATTAAGCTGCGAGCAGAGCCTGAAGACTTTCCCACACTCTGCACATTCGTACGGCTTCTCTCCATGGCAGTTATTTGTATGTTTCCCCTGCAAGCAGTCAGATAACTTTTTTTGGCATTCTTGACATCTGCTAATTTTCTGTGTATTAATTTCCCAATGCAGAGCGATATCTGAAGTGGCTCTGATGCCTTTGCCACACTCCTCGCATCTCTGGGACATCCCTTCCGCACTCTCTCCCTGACTTTCAAGAGGCTGACAATCCAGGCCGCTGCTTCCCAGCTCCTTACATCCCTGGGGTGCGTCCTTGGTGAAGGTCTTGGGAACCACAGTCTCCTCATTCAAACAGTTATTTTGGAAGGTAAAGCCTGTCACTTTCAGCCCGGGACTGCCCAGATGACTGTCTAACCAGACCTCAGAATCAGAAACGTCTCCAAAGCCAGGATTCTGAGGAAAGTCCTGTGGGGAGATTCTGACCACTGTCCCATAGGATTCTGATTTTAGGATGTCCATGTCCTCACAGGCCTGCTCATTTTCAGTCCTAATCGTAGAATCTGAAATAAACAGGAACAAAGACGTTCCTTAGGCCCTGTGCTCAGAGAAATGATAAGACTACAAATGCGGGGGCCAGGGCTCAAGGCTCCCAGGATAGTTGCACTGAGCACTGTGAGGCCCCAGGTGGAAACGTGCAAGAGAAGGCAGAGCCTTTGACAGTTCTCAAAAGTGGTTTCATACTTTTTACCTTGTTCACTCATTCGATAGCAATGAATGTTCATTGCTGGGGCAGGGCTGGGTTCTGTGAGCAGAGAGGTCCATCCTACAGGCACTGGTGTGGGGCACAGTCCATGCAGAGGCAAAGGAGACAAAGCAAGACCAGAAGGGTGGGAAGCTACCACGGATTGGGCTGCGGGGTCAGGGGCTCCAGCATCCGAGCTGGCGAGGAAACAGTACAGGGTCTGAGTTCTGAATGGAGAGCATGGATTGTGATGAGGAAACAAGGCTGGAAGAGCTGCCAAGGGACTTACTACGTGAGCTCAGAAGAGCACTGGGCACCTAGGCCGTTCATGGCTACTCCCTGGGGTGGGCTTCTCTGAGCAGGACCCAGCCCCCTCAGCTGCCTCCTGGCTGCTGCTGCCAACTTGCACCTGGCCACCTCCCCTGCTTCTCCCTGGGCTGTGCGTGGCCACCTCTAAGACCACACTGACTTCTTCCCTGGGGCTGCAAGTTTCTGGAGGCCCCCAGGAGGCCTTCCAGACATCTGCGTTCCTTCTGGACTCTCCAAGTAAGCACAGGCTTCTGTCCTACTCTGTAACCCTAGAGGGCACCTCTGCTGAGGTCAGACATCTCCTTGATGTCTGTGATCAAACCATGACAGGATGCAACCACAACACACGGCTATGATCATGACAACCACGGTCCCCACCACGACACAATCACGTTCACAACCACAACCACGCAGCCACAGCTATAACCAGCCCGAGTCTACCCCACATGAATGCACAGCCCAGTTACAGGGCTTCAAGCTTCGGTTCCTGCCCACTCCTAACCATTGGTGGTGAGTCTCCGGCTTCCAGGGATCTCCAAAGGTCTTCCTATCAGTCCTGGAGAATCAGAGCAGGAAGCCCTTTCAACCTCATTGTGTAGCAGGGATGCTCAAGGCCTGTGAGGACAGGAGGCATCTCCAGGCCTGGTCCTCATGTGCTGCTTTCCCTGCACAACCACACCACCTCAGCATGCCTGCTCTTTCAACAGGGCTTGCTTGACACTCCTCCCAAGCCTTCCCCTGCTGTGAAGATAAGAGAGCAGGGTGGCCAGGTGCAGTGGCTCACGCCTGTAATCCCGGCTACTTGGGAGGCTGAGGCACAAGAATCACTTGAACCTGGCAGGCAGAGGTTGCAGTGAGCCAAGATCATGCCACTGCACTCCAGCCTGGGCAACAAAGACTCCATCTCAAAAAATAAAAAAATAAAGAGCAGCGGCAGAGAGAGCAGGGCCAAGCTGACAGCAAGGCTTTGTTGGGGGATGCCAGGAACCACCCAGCAGGGGGCACGGTGGTGGTCAAAAGCGTGGGGGTGCACAGCTGGGACCTGGCCGCTCCTCCACTGCTCTGGGCCAATATCTTTCAGTATCTGATGCTGACTGTACCAGCTGGGGACAAGTAACATATCTGGGCATTTCTGCCTTGCTTCATGTATTCTGGTTTTGTGCTGCTGCATGTTTTATCTAAGAGGCTACATCCCTGCCCCGGACTCTCAGGTCTGCGAGCAAGTGCTGGGTCCATCAACAGCAGCTCTCACCTACTGTGGGATTCTATTTTTTTGTTGTTGCTTTATCACAGTGAGGACCACCTGCTACATATAAACCCACTGAACTATTTCTGCCAACTGTAGCTGGCTTTTCTGCCATGGCACCCTCTTTAAACGCTCCTGTCCATGTTGGAGACATTTTAATGGGCGGCTGGGTTTTAACTGGGCCACCTTATAGCTGAACCTCCTTCTCAGGGAGACTGAGCAGAAAGGATCACATGGGAGTAGCCAGCAGAGCCAGTGAGGCCAGGGTTCCTGACCACTCTTCCCACACATCACATGCAGACTTCCTGGGCGGCTGCAAGGCCCACAGGGCGTGAAGAGGCTCAGAAACCCTCCTTGTCCTTTGAAGCTGCCTAGGGGCATATGAATGGAAGTAAGGTCACAGCCCCTAGGCGCATATGAATGGAAGTAAGGTCACAGCCCCTAGGCGCATATGAATGGAAGTAAGGTCACAGCCCCTAGGCGCATATGAATGGAAGTAAGGTCACAGCCCCTAGGCGCATATGAATGGAAGTAAGGTCACAGCCCCTAGGCGCATATGAATGGAAGTAAGGTCACAGCCCCTAGGCGCATATGAATGGAAGTAAGGTCACAGCCCCTAGGCGCATATGAATGGAAGTAAGATCACAGCCCCTGCTTTTTTTTTTTTTTTTTTTTTGAGACGTCATCTCGCTCTGTCGCCCAGGCTGGAGTGCAGTAGCGCAATCTCGGCTCACTGCAAGCTCTGCCTCCTGGGCTCACACCATTCTCCTGCCTCGGCCTCCCGAGTAGCTGGGACTACAGGCGCCTGCCACCACGCCTGGTTAATTTTTTGTATTTTTAGTAGACACAGGGTTTCACCGTGTTGGCCAGGATGGTCTCGATCTCCTGACCTCGTGATCCGCCCACCTCGGCCTCCCAAATCGCTAGAATGGCCGGCGTGAGCCACCATGCCCGGCTCCACGGCCCCTACTTTTCACAACTTTGGACTGTCCAACTTGCTTCCCGAGGCCCCTACAAGCCGGTGGCCTCTGTAGGACCTGGTCCTGCCCTGCTGCAGGAGTGACGGTGATGACCCAGCAGCAACTGAAAGGGAGGTGAGGGGCTTCCTTTCTGCAGCTGAGATGCACGCAGACCCATCTCCCTTGTCATGCTGGGCAGCACACCGGCTAAGCAGGGGAGCAGAGCACCAGGCCGGGCGCCTGCCCAGCAGGAGCTGATGCCGGAGGCAGTGGGTGCCCTGGTTAGGGCTGAGGACCCCAAGATAGGCTGAAGTCCTAACTTGAAGCACCTCAGAATGTGACCTTGTTTGGAAACACAGTCGTTGCAGATTAATTAGTCACCATGAGGTCACTGGGGTGGCCCCTAACCCACCATGACTGGTGTCCTTCTAAGGAGATGGCCACATGAACACAGACACGCAGGGAGAAGGCAGCCGTGTGAAGGAGTCGGAGATCAGAGTGAGGGACGCATCCACAAGCCAAGGAACCCAAGGACTGCCAGAAAACCACCAGCTGCCCGGAGAGGCAGGACAGGATCCTTCCCTAAAGCCTTCACAGGGGGGCACGGCCCTGCTTGCTGACCCCCCGGTTTCAGATTTCCGGCCTCCACAGCTGTGAGACAATAAATTTCTGTTGTTTTAAGCTTCCTAGTCTGTGGTTCATTGTTATGGCAGCCACAGGAAAGTAATGCACTCCTGGAGCCTGAGAGGGTCTGAAGGGAGCTGCCTCAGGGAATATGCTTACCCGAGGAGAGGTTACTGAATGCCAAACCTAACCCTTCACTTGGATCCATAGGTTTGTATCTTTGCTTAACGAAAGTATGAGTAAAATTAAAAATAGAACAAAATGTGACATGATTCAAAAACAAGCTCCGTTTTTGTGGAAATGCATGGGTTTTTGTGTCTTGGCTCTTCTGCAGTTTGGCCTCTCCCAAGGCAGCCCCACAACGGGTCTATGCTCCCTTCTAGGTGCTGGATGCTGCTTCCCCAGTAGCATTCCCAGGCATCCCAGTGTAGCCCCCGCGACTCACCCACAGCTACCCACAGTTGTGAGGCCCCTCCTGCAGTTTCTCCTCACCCCAGGGCTTCTCTGCGATGGGATCTAAGCCTCACCTGTCTTGGAGGTCCTTGGTGCCTCTGTCCCCTCTGCTCCCTGCAGGTCGAGGACCCATGGCTCTTCTCCCTGCTCCAGCCGAGAGATCAGCTCAGGCTTGAAAACCAGGAATCCTGCTGTGTGTGCGGCAGAGAAGACAACAGTGTCAGCATGACGGGAAGTGTGCAGCACAGGGCTAAGTCTTCCCCAGTTTCCAAATGGAAAGGGGCAGGGGGGCTACAAGGCACAGGCCAAGCTCCTGCAGGGAGAGTGGGTGGAGGGTGGGGAGAATCTGGGGACACAGCAGCCCTTTCTGTCCAGATCTGTCCACCTCCTGTGGCTGGACAGCAAGGGATACCTGACTCCCACAATCTCCAGGCGACCCTGTCACCAAACAGTCTGCAAAGGACAGTCCGCCTCTACCCCTGGAACTCGGGAAAGAGAAGGAGAAGCCCAAGCTTCACTTAGCAGAACCGGGCCTGTCCCTCAGTTCAGAGAGCAGAGATGCTCCAAGAGGCAGGGGTGGTTACAAAATAAGGTAACAAACAACGATGAATAGACACAAACGAAGCACATTTTGCATCAGAAAGCTCCAAGGTCCAGTCCTCAGCCAGTGTCCTTCCAGCCTCAAGTCCCTGCACAAAGGATGCCTCAGGGCCTGCCTCCCTCGCTGCAGACTGGGTGGCAGAGACCTGTGGGGGCCCACCTGGCACCCTGCCTTCTTGGGGCCACCTGCCCCCATACCCTCTTTGTGCCGGTCAGTACAGAGATGAGCAGTTGATCCATGGGCCAGCCAAGGCCTCTGTTTAGAAGCTTCCTTCAGGGTTCCCCCAACTGGAAGGAAAGAGGCAGGCAGAGATTCCAAAGGCCTATAGCCAATAAGCTGAAACCCCCAGATGCAGGCAGGACTCCACATTCAACAGAAAATGCATATCCTCTCCAAGTACATGTGGAACAAAGAAACAGCCTTGGGTCAAGCCACAAACTGAGTCACAGACATGCCAAAGAACATACCACAGAACACGCGCCCAGGCAAATGCAACTCAGTGTGAAACTCACCACAAAATGGTGCTTAGATGCCATTAGCTACTTGGAAACTACATAATAAATGACTAAGTGGCAACTGTATTTATTATGAGTCAGAATTTATAGGATGCAGCCCAAGCAGTATGTAAAGATAAAATGTTATTTATTTAGAGATACGGTCTTGCTCTAGCACTCAGGCCGGAGTGCAGTGGCACCATCACAGCTCACTATAGCCTAGGCCAATCCTCCCGCCTCAACCTACTGAGTAGCTAGGACTACAGGTGCGTGACACCACACCCAGCTAATTTTTAAATTCTTTGCAGACATGTGGTCTCGCTATGTTGCCCAGGCTGGCCTCAAACTCCTGGGCTCAAACAATCCTCCTGCCTCAGCCTCCTAAGTAACTGAGATTATAGGCATATGCCACTATACCCAGAAAAATTTTATACTTTTAGATACATTTACTAGAAATGATCATTTTAAAACACAAATGAGGTAAATAGTAAGTTCAAGAAGTTGAGAATGGCCAGGCGTGGTGGCTCACACCTGTAATTCCAGCACTTTGGGAGGCCAAGGCGGGTGGATCACCTGAAGGTCAGGAGTTCGAGACCAGCCTGGCCAACACGGTGGGAGGATCGCTGGAACCCAGGCAGTCCAGGCTGCAGTAAGCCACTGCACTCCACCCTGGGAAACAGAGTGAAACTTTGTCTCAAAAAATTAAAAAAGCAAAACAAACAAACACCACACACATCAAACTCACATAAATAAAAAGGAAGAAAATAATAAATCCGGGGCAGGATTCAGAGAGCTAGAGAACAAAGACAAATAAAAACATCCTCCAACCCAACCCCCCAAAAAAGGCAAAACCAAAAGCCAGTTATTTGAAAACATGAATATGACTGATGACAAAACCAATCAAGGTCCACTTAGTGAGAAGATGCTGCCAAAAAACAGAGAATAAGAGACACAATTACAAATATAACAGATTAAAACCAAAGGAAATGCCAGGCAAGGTGTCTCCTGCCTATAATCCCAGCATTTTGGAAGGCCAAGGCAGGACTGCTTGAGGCCAGAAGTTTAAGACTAGCCTGCGGCAACATGACAGACCCCAACTCTACAAAGAAAGAAAAAACAGCTGAGCATGGTGGCGCACACCTATAGTCCCAGCTACTAGGGAAACTCAAGTGGAAGAATCACTTGAGCCCAGGAGTTCAAGGCTGCAGTGAGCTATAATCGCACCACTGTACTCTAGGCTGGACAACAGAGCAAAACCCCAACTCTTTAAAAAAAAAAAAAAAGAAAATATAAATGCATAAATGCTAATCCAAGACTTTCCTTCCCCAAAAGCTCAAGGTCCCGATGGTTTTACAGATTAGCTCCACCAAGTTCTACTTGTATGCCAAATGCCATTTATCAAACATGTCAAAATTACATAAGGACAATACACAAAAAGAAACATAGGCCAGTCGTGGTGGCTCATGCCTGTAATCCCAGCACTTTGGGAGCCCAAGGCAGGTGGATCACGAGGTCAGGAGATCAAGACCATCCTGGCTAACATAGTGAAACCCCATCTCTACTAAAAATACAAAAAAATTTAGCCAAGCATGGTGGCAGGCACCTGTAGTGCCAGCTACTCGGGAGGCTGAGGCAGGAGAATGGCGTGAACCTGGGAGGCGGAGCTTGCAGTGAGCCGAGATCACGCCACTGCACTCCAGCCTGCGCAACAGAGCGAGACTCCGTCTCAAAAAAAAAAAAAAAAGGAAATATATATACATATATATATATATCCATTTCACTTATGAACAGAAACACAAAAATACAATATTGGCTAGTTGAATCCAAAGGCATATCAAAATTTATATATAAATATCGTGATTTAAGTAAGGCTTATTCCAGGAATACAAGAAAATATAACAATGTAATTTCCTGCATTAATAAAGAAAATAAATCACGTGTCTCAAATGATGCAGAAAAAGAATTTGAAATTCAGTATTTATGATTAAAAACAAAAAAAACTCCTTAGCCAAATTCTGTGGTTATGTAGATGCATTCCCTTTAAAATCAGGAACACAACATGCCCACACGGTCCTGTTTAACACTGTGCTGGCCACTGCAAAGGCAGAGATGGGAGGAGTGAGGGCTGGGAGGGAAAATACCAAACTCTCATTTGCAGGAATCCTCCTGCTGGAAAACAGCAGAATCACCGAGCAACACTGATTTACCCAGGGAGTTCCACAAAGTTGCCAGATGTAAGATCATCCTCCAGAACCAACAGCATTTTTGTACTACAGCAATAATCAGCTAAAAATACATTCACAAAGCAAAAAAATCAAAACTTTTACATTGACAGAAAACAGTTTCAAAGCACTCCCAATAAAAATTCCAGTGGCTTTTAGGAACTCAACTTATTCTAAAATTAGTATGCAGCCGGGCATGGTGGCTCAAGCCTGTAATCCCAGCACTTTGGGAGGTCGAGGCAGACGGATCACCTGAGGTTAGTTCGAGACCAGCCTGGCCAACATGGTGAAACCTCATCTCTACTTAAAATATAAAAATTAGCCGGGTGTAGTGGCACATGCCTGTAATCCCAGCTACTCAGGAGGCTGAGGCGGCGAATCACTTGAACCCAACAGCCGGAGGTTGCAGTGAACTGAGATCGCGCCATTGCACTCGAGCCTGGGCAACAAGAGCGAAACTCCGTCCCAGAAAAAAAAGAATTAAACGGGTGAGTTTAATTCTTTTAGTATTCTTGTAGTATTAAGAAACACTACAAAATTAAAGCAAAAAACAAAAACCACCCCAAAATAAAAAACAAAGCCAAACTGGCCAGGTACGGTGGCTCACACCTGTAATCCCAGCACTTTGGGAGACCAAGGTGGGTGGATAACCTGAGGTCAGGAGTTCCAGACCAGCCTGGCCAACATGGCGAAACCCCATCTCTAGTAAAAATACAAAAAATTGGCCGGGTGTGGTGGCACATGCCTGAGTAGCTGTAATCCCAGCTACTCAGGAGGCTGAGGCACAAGAATTGCTTGAACCTGGGAGGCAGAGGTTGCAGTGAGCCGAGATCGCACCACTGTACTCCAGCCCAGGTGACAGGGTGAGACTTTATTTCAAAAAAAAGCCAAAAACACAAATGAACAAACAAACAAAAAAAAACCAAAACAAACCAAAAGCAGGAAGCTGGCCCACAAGAGAGATTCAGGGAAGAGAACAGGGTTCAGAAACATCCCATTTCATAGATGAAAATGGTGGCTCCACATGTCAACAGGAAAAGGAGATAGTCTTTTTTTTTTTTTTTTTTTGAGACAAAGTCTCGCTTATTGCCCAGACTGAAGTGCAGTGGCACGATCTCAGCTCACTGCAACCTCAACCTCCCAGGTTCAAGCGATTCTCCTGTCTCAGCCTTCTGAGTAGCTGGGATTACAGGCGTGAGCCACCACACCCAGCTAATTTTTGTATTTTTAGTAGAGATGAGGTTTCACCATGTTGGCCTGGCTGGTCTCGAACTCCTGACCTCAGGTGATCCGCCCACCTCGGCCTACTTCAAAGTGCTGGGATTACAGGTGTGAGCCACCGAGCCTGGCCAAGGAGACTGTTTAATAGATGATGTTGGGGAAAACAGCTATGTGTGGACAAAATAAAACAGGGATTTTTACGTAACCCCAATACAAATGTGGAGCTGGGATACAGATGAGAAATACAAACTATAAAATCCACAGGAGAAAATGAAGCCCATCTCAGTGACCTTGGAGGAGGGAAGAACTTTTTTTTGAGACGGAGTCTCACTCTGTCACCCAGGCTGGAGTGCACTGGTGTGATCTCGGCTCAGTGCAACCTCTGCCTCCTGGGTTCAAGGAATTCTCCTGCCTCAGCCTCCTGAGAAGCCAAGATTACAACCACCCGCCACCACGCCTGGCTAATGTCTGTATTTTTAGTAGAGGCGGGGTGTCACCATGTTGGTCAGGCTGGTCTCAAACTCTGACCTCAGGTGATCTGCCCGCCTCGGCCTCCCAAAGTGCTGGGATTACAGGTGTGAGCCACCACACCCAGCCAGGGAAGAACTTTTTTTTTTTTTGGAGATAGAGTCTCGCTCTGTCACCCAGGCTGGAGTGCAGTGGCACAATCCCGGCTCACTGCAACCTCTGCCTCCCAGGTTCAAGCAATTCTCCTGCCTCAGCCTCCCAATTAGCTGGGACTACAGGTGTACACTGCCATGCCCAGCTAATTTTTTTTTTTTTTTGCATTTTAATAAAGACAGGGTTTCACTGTGTTGCCCAGGCTGGTCTTGAACTCCTGATTTGAGGCAATCCGCCCGCCTTGGCCTCCCAAAGCGCTGGGATTACAGGTGTGAGCCACTGTGCCCGGACAGAACTTTTAAATAAAACTTCAAAGAGACAATCCATAAGGCAAAAACACAGTAATTACATTAAAATCTGACCTAACAAAGTTAACAAACACAAAAGAAGCAGAGAAGATTTTTTTTTTAGACAGGGTCTCACTCTGTTGCCTAGGCTGGACTGCAGTGGCACAATCATAGCTGACTCCAACCTTGACCTTCCAGGCTCAGGCAATCCTCCCTCCTCGCTCTCCCCAGTAGCTGGGACTACAGGCATGCAACACCATGTCCGGCTGAAAAAGTGATTTATAATAAACAAAACTAACCTGGTACTTACCATATTTTATAAATTCTAAGATAGTCTTTTTTTTTTTTTTTTTTAGATGGAGTCTCGCTCTGTTGCCCAGGCCGGATTGCAGTGGTGCGATCTCAGCTCGCTGCAAGCTCCGCCTCCAGGGTTCAAGCGATTCTCGTGCCTCAGCCTCCCGAGTAGCTGGGATTACAGGCATGCGCCACCACACCCAGCTAATTTTTGTATTTTTAGTAGAGACGGGGGTTTCACCCTGTTGGCCAGGATGGTCTCGATCTCCTGACCTCATGATCCACCCGCCTCAGCCTCCCAAAGTGCTGGGATTACAGATATGAGCCACCGCGCCCGGCCCTAAGATAGTGTTTTTATAAAACCCTTTCCCATCTCTTGGACGCATCTAGGAATTGATGTCATCCGCCAGGTGGCAGCTGTGACACACCATCACTGCCTGTGCACACACGAGCTTGCCCCAGCTGCTCAGTCACTGCTGCAGGTAAGTCACCAGCACCATCATACAATACATGCTGAATTCAGCTGCTCTCTACACTGTCTTCAAAAGCTTTACCCTGTGACTTGGCACAGCAGCAGGACGTTATAAATAGACAGAAGCCATGGAAAAAGAACAGCAGCTGTACCTTTGAGCCTGGAGAAGCAAACTGCTGCTGGGGGAATGACTGCAATTCCAGTTACTGGTACATCAGCAACTGTGTACACACAGGGCCTGAGAGAGGAGGACAGGCACAGCAGATGGAGCTGCTACATGCCAAGCAAGAAAGCTCAAGCACCAAGCTCACTGGATGAAGAAAACCCCAACACCACTTACGAAAAGCTGCAGCACCTCTAGATGGCCAGGCCCACAGGTTGCCATCACGTGGAAAGCATGGACACAGATAACCAAACCAGAGAGTGGGGTCACTAAAAGCTGTGAAGAAACATTAGAAGTACCCTTACTCCGGCTGGGCACGGTGGCTCACACCTGTAATCCCAGCTACTCGGGAGGCTGAGGCAGGAGAATCGCTTGAACCCAGGAGGCGGAGGTGGCGGTGAGCCAAGATCGCGCCATTGCACTCCGGCATGGGTGACAGGGCAAGACTCCATCTCAAAATCTCAAAAAAAAAAAAAAAGGACCCTCACTGCATGTGTCTTTTCCTATTTCAGTGAGACAGGGTAAACCACATCTAAATGAGTCTAAGAGGGCTCTTTAAAAAGTATAAAGTAAAATTAAATGATTAAAAAATGCGTGTAATCAGTAGCATTCCAACTTTCTTAAAATAATGATGTGTACATAACTACATGTTTTACAAAGTAAGGCATCTTAGACAGAATGAAGAAACAACACCTTCAAAGCAATAAGACACAGCGGACCTAGAATATGGGCAAATGCCCTGAACAGATATTTCACAGAAGAACCTGGCAAGCTAATGAGGGTGTGAAAATAGGCTCAAGCTCAGCAGAAATCAGAGAAATGCAAACTCAAACTACAACAGCCTCCCACTGTACACTTATCTGACTGGCAAAACAGAAAGCTGGACTTTGCCAGACTAGCCGGGACAGAGGGGGACAGGCCTGGTCCAACACCCCAAGAAGCTCCTGGCCAACCAACGATGCCCGCGTCAGTTCCACTCCTGATCCCCCAGCCCAGGCACTCTCTCGGGCGTGTGATGCAGCAGAGGGCTTAGTCACAGGCAAGAGGCCCAGCAAGGCCCAAGTTAAGACGCACCCCCCCTCACCAAGTTGCAATCCAACGACAGTATACAGCTTGTGAGGACACAGGCATGGACATAAAGAGCACCGCAGTGGCTGCCTGTGGCGGTGGTGGAGTTCAGAGAGGAGACTAACGGCAGGACAGGAGGGGCAAGGGGATGACGGCATCTGCAAAGCAGCCGTGTGGGCGTCGCTGCCACCTCTTGCTCGTTGCACAACCTTTTCCTTGGATTTCTCCACCCAATAATTTCTCTTTTCTTGTCTAAGCTATTTCAAGTTTGGATTCTATTTCTCACAATTTAACAGCTTAGGAAAAAAAGAGGCTTTACTAACTCCCAGAATCCCACCCACTCCCTGGGGGCTGAACCCCATGACATGGGCAAAGCTAGGAACCAGCCTGGCACACCACTCATGAGTCCAAGCCCCCTGTGGAGCCCACAAGGGTCTGAGCGTTTGGCCTGCATACCCCAGCCTCTGATGGAGGCCTGGCTGGGTGGGTGCTGACTGATGATGCAGGGGAAGGGGCCCCAAGGTGCAGCCTCACCTAGTCCAGCCACACTGCTGTGGTTCTCCAGCATCACTTCCCTGTAGAGGGCCCTCTGGCCAGGGTCCAGACACTGCCACTCCTCCCGAGAGAAGTGCACAGCCACATCGCCAAATGTTACCACCTCCTGAAAGGACACACACCAGCACCCCAGGAATCCCTGGGTGCCAGCCCCCTTCTGGCGCTGCCTCATGACATGTCTCAGGCAGCTGCCCCATGGGGTTGGGCGAGACGCTCACCAGGACTCCTCTGCCTCTAATATTCTGGGGAGGGGCAGTCTCGGGGAGGAGGAAGGAACCCAGTCCATGGTGGTCATACAACCCTCCCCCCTCAAGAGCCTCAATTAGGCCCTGGTTTGGGCAGGGGTTTGCTCACTACCTTGGGGTTGGGGGCAAGGGGGCCTTCCTAAGCCCAGCAAGGGCCAAGGTAGGGTCTGGGCCCAGGGCCAGTGGGCAGAGCAGGAGGTGGGCCTTCACAGGACATGCGAGGGGAAGGAGGCAGTCAAGCTTCCTACCATGAGGCTCAGTGGTGGGTGGGCATCCACGTGTTCTGGCCGAGAGACCTGTTGGCAATTATGAAAGGATTAGAGGTCAAGGTGCCAGAAGCCCAACTTCCAGGCTAATCAAGGGGGTACTGTGCTCTCTGCTCCTTTACCTCCAGCCCCAGATTTCTCTAGCAGGGACATGGGGCTGGGCTGAAGCAGCCATGGCACTTGAGTGAAGGAGGCCCACTGAACTCTTGTTCCTCTTTAGAGTGTATGTGTGTGTGGCATGTGTGACTCACTCCACAAAGCCGTAAGAAGTGGATGCCACGTGCCAGGCACTGAGTAATGGGGATACAGTAGTGGACACGAGGACCCTGCCTTCACGAAGCAGTCTGGCGGAGGAAAGAGTTAAATAACCACACAAATAAGCACACTGCAACCACGACAGCGCTCAAGTACAGGGAACTATGAAAGCCACTTAGACTAGAACGTTCAGTGTAATGGGTCACTTCCCCAGGGACCTCGGCCAAGGTAATGGAGGTGGAGAGAGCACTCCAGGCAGCAGGAATAGCATGTGAAAGGGCCTGAAGCAAGAAGAAATGGGGTTGGATGAACCAGTGTGGGTAAATTCCCGGCAGCAAGGGAAGGCAGTGAGCGACTGGAGGTTGGGGAAGGCAGTGAGCGACTGGAGGTTGGAGAAGGCAGGAGCAAAAATGACAAACTGTAGGGAAGACAAGAGTGGACATGGAAACCCCTGCCCTCAAGTACATAAATTCCAGTCTCCAGCTCACCTGTCGCCAGGATGGAACCAGGCACAGGGATGTAATCTGATATAAATCGTTCACCTCAATTAAGCCAATGACCCCAGACCCTCTACCTGCCCAGGCATTCCCCCGGGAGGTCGGAATGGGAAAAAGAGTCTTCGTATGGCAGCTTCTGGCCCAGAAAGTGGTTTGTGGGTGGAAGCCCCAGGTCACCGGCACAGGTAGGCTGATCCCCCCACCTGGCTCCTGACAGTAGGAATGCCCGGAATAGCAACCAGAATTTAGAGAAGACAAACAGCCTACCCCACCCAAGGCACCGTTCCTTCCTCCACTGTCACTTATCCTAGGCCTTCCGGGGCAATAAATAGAAAGAGAAAAGGCTCTAGAAGGAGGTGATTTCGCAGGAGGAGTCAGGGCCCCGGGAGTAGACCCAGGCCTGAAGAAAAGGCCGCAGCTGGAGCTCGCCTTACTCAGGCCCCGGACACCGTGGCCGCCACGAGCGGGGTCTGCGGGGAGCTGCGAGACTCGGCCAAACGAAGCCCACCTCGCGCCGCCGCGGGGGAGGGTGGCTGGGCTCGACCACCTCCCACACCAGGCGCTCAAGGCCCCGCAAAGCCCCCGCGCTTTCCCGCCTGGAGGCCCGGGGGACGCGGGGACCCCAATGCCGAAGGCGGGAGGGCTAAGGAAGCGACCAGGGATCACTCGGACCGAGGGCAACCCGAGTCCGCGCCCGCCGCGCCGACTCACCCTCCCTGAGGACCACCCGAGGCTCGCAAACGCGCGACGCCGCCGGAAACGGGCCTTGGCCACCCGCGTCCGCCCCGCCCCGCAAACTTCCGGCCGCCCTGGGCCGCTCGGAGGCCCGGCCATCTCTGTGGTTCTCAGCCCCGCCTCCCAGGCTCCGGAGAAGGGGTGGAGTCAGAGCCGAGGAGGGGCGAGGCTGGGGCCCGAGGGACAAGAACCTGGGCGGGACCAGAAGCCCAGATAGGCGGGGCTGGCGCCTGGGGGCGGGGTACAGTCAGAGGCGGGCAGGGGGCGGAGCCGCGAGGGAGAGGAGGGCCCAGAGCCCGGAGTGGGCGGTGCCTGAGCAGGGGCGGGGCGGGGCCGGGGCCTGGAGCTGGGGACGCGGGCCGGGGCCGGGAGTTGCGGACTCGCTGGCGGGTGGGAGGAGCGGAGTCGGGGCGAGGCTGGCGGAGATCCAGGGGATCGCCCGGTTGGGCCCTGCGCACCCCGGATCACCAGCTTCGGGCGCTGGTTCCCACCGAGGCTGTTCAGGCGCCGCTCCCCCGCGTCCCTGCGACAGGAGGCGCCTGCTGGGCGCGCTATGGACCCCGCCTCGCGGAGACGCCTGGCTCGGGCCTTGTCCCCAGTGAGCGGCTGGAGCGGCCGCGGGGTCGCAGAGCCTCCGGGACCCCGAGGAAGGGCGCCCCTCGGAGTTGCCCGAGGCCGGGCCCGGCGTCCACTCGCCACTCGCCTCGCCCCTCCCCGGCCCCGCACCGCCCTCCACCCCGCCTCCTTCGGGTTCCTTCTGCGTCCGGCAGAGCCTGCGCGCCTCCCCCGGACGGCCACGGACTCGCAGCCTCGGCGAGGACGCTGCCTGCGTCCCGACTGCCTGGACCTCCCCGCGTGGCTCCCGGCGAAGCCCAGCAGCCGGAGGGTGCCAGGTCCGCCTGACGCGCCCCTCCCCACGGGAAGAACGGGGCGGGGGTCCAGGAGGGACGTAAGCCGGGCTCCCCCGGCGTGTTGATCCGAACCCGCGCGGGAAAACTTGCGCAAACCAAAGGAGGGAAGAGTCAGGCAGCCCCCAGCCCCCCAGGGAGGCCCAGGTGAAAAACAGACGCCGGCCTCGCCTCTCCCGGTGCGGATGATCCCGGCACTCCCACCCCCGCCCCTGCTGCCCCGAGTTCGGCTCCCTCAGCCCCACATCCTCTCTGGTCATCTAAGTGGACTGCAGCTGCTCAGGGAGCATGTCGCGAAGGATAGGGAAGGACAGGGGGTCTGCTTCCCCAGCCGCCCTCCAGACCCCCAGGGCTGGTAGGGGCCGGCAACCCTATGCCCCAACCTGGCCTGCTGCAGGTGAGGGGGGCACACCAGGGTAACACAGGAGCAGGAGGGGGAGAAAGCCTGGCTAGAGCATCCACCTCATAGGCACCTTCCTTGTG
This sequence comes from Homo sapiens, assembly GCF_000001405.40. Taxonomy (NCBI): domain Eukaryota; kingdom Metazoa; phylum Chordata; class Mammalia; order Primates; family Hominidae; genus Homo; species Homo sapiens. Next base: position 144,826,194 of record NC_000008.11, on the reverse strand, counting down.
TCCAGGGTGCAGATGCCAGGGCTCTGAGGCCCTGAGGTCCTGTCTGGGGCGAGGGGGCTTCCTCCATCCACTGCATCCACTGCCCGGCTGAGTCTAGAGGCCACTGAGCAAGCAGACCCTCCAAAGCCAGGCACACTCAGGCCCTCACATGGTCACGGTGCTTATGCTCTGGGCCAGCCTGGATTGCTCATCCCTAGCTGAGATTGGGATTCACAGGGTCTTCCAGTTCCCCCTTTTCTTTCTCTACTGATTGAGAAACACAGAGTCCTTTGATTGCTCTGGGACCTGGCCATTGCGTGTTCCCTGCAGCCTTGAACCCAGTTCAATGGGGCCGGGCACATTCCCTGATAAAGCTGTTTAGGTTGCTTGAAAACACAATCAACCCTATTGCTAAACACGTAGAAACTGGCCCTGCCCTGAGTCCAATCCCTTAAACTCTCATCTAAGCTCCATAGCCAGAGTCCCTTGCTGCAAATGTACCTGGGTGGAGCATCCCTTGCCTCATCATCGATCCCAAGAAAGCTGAAGCTCCATGTGAAAATTTCCGGAAGAAATGCTCTGGACTGATCACCCTGGCGTTTAGAGCTTCTTTCCTTGGAATCCCAACCAATTCCATCGCGGGACTGTTTGGGGAAGTCTTTTGAGGCAACTCCCTTGCTGCCACTTTTGGGGCAACTCTAGCCTCCTCATATTTGGCCAGATAGAACAGTTCCAAGCTGTAAATGTTTCCAGGAAAAAATCTCAACTACAAAGACACTTTCAAGGTGCTGCATTTCCAACAGCACTCTCCGTATCCGAGTGGACAGCCCAGAGCAATGGTGCTTCCAATCCACAGAGCCCCTCCACAGGTCCCTTGCCATCTGCAGACACCCACATCTCAAGGTGAGTGCAGACACCCACATCTCAAGGTGAGTTCAAATGTATCCTGGATTTGTTTTTTGTTTGTTTGTTTGTTTTTTAAGGCAGAGTTTCACTTTTGTTGCCCAGGCTGGAGTGCAATGACAGTCTCAGCTCACTGCAACCTCTGCTCCCGGGTTCAAGCGATTCTCCTGCCTCGGCCTCCCGAGTAGCTGAGATTACAGGCACCTGCCACCACGCCTGGCTAATTTTTTGTATTTTTAGTAGAAACGGGGTTTCACCATGTTAGCCAGGCTGGTCTCGAACTCCTGACCTCAGGAGATCTGCCCACCTCGGTCGCCCAAATTGCTGGGATTACAAGCGTGAGCCACCGCGCCCGGACCCGTGGATTTGTTTTAACAGGTGTGGTAAGGCATGCACACGTGAGAATGACTGTTGTGAAGGAAGAAGTTATAGTCGTGGGTCCCTGGAAACTGGGCAGGGCACACAGGGCGACATGAGAAGGACCAGGGATGGCCAGGAGGCAGAAAGGGGGAGAGGACTGAGTTTGGCCGGAGCCTTTATTTTCTCTGGAAGGAGAGGGCAGGCAGGGTAGGTATGCAGAGTGAGCTCACGATTGGACTATTTGAACAATTGTGGCAGGCTCAGGGCTGTAGGGGTGGCCCCTTCTTGTCCGGTACCTGGCCCTCGGGTTACTTAGGGCAGGGGAAATATTGGCTTGGTGAGTGACCGTGTGATAAGGGAGGGAGATAGTTGTGGACTCTGGATTGGTTGGTTTGTGTCTCAAAGGTGCACTGGGGCTGGGCACAGTGGCTCACGCTTGTAATCCCAGCACTTTGGAGGCCGAGGAGGGCAGATCACCTGAGGTGAGACCAGCCTGGCCAACATGGTGAAACCTCGTCTCTATTAAAATACAAAAAAATTAGCAGGGTGTGGTGGTGCACGCATGTAGTCCCAGGTATTCAGGAGGCTGAGGTGGGAGAATCGCCTGCACGCAGGAGGCAGAGGCTACAGTGAGCCCAGATCACGCCACTGCACTCCAGCCTGGGTGACAGAGCGAGACTCCGTCTCAAAAAAAAAAAAAAAAGGTGCACTGGAAGGGGAGTGTTTGCCGTCTCTGGGAATTAGCTAGCCCTGGAGGGAGCAGCCTCTCCAGGATCAAGGCCCCAAATGCTTGGGTGACCCTGGAGAGCAGGGACGGAGCCCTGCAAACAAAAGGTTCTTCATTCTATGCACACACTCTCTGGTGCATGGTTTCAAAATGTCTTCGTGAAGTCGGGTCCAAGCCTCTATGCAGTGGAGAGAACACCTAGGGAGGAACAGTGCCTGACGGGTGAGCTGGGGAGGAGTGGGCACTGCCAGGAGGGCACTGGGCTGCTGTGGGATGGGGTGAGGTGAGCATCAGGTCGCGGTGCTGTAGGTGTTCCTGGAAGGCACCCTGGGCCCTCTGGACAGTCAGTCCTCACCCATGCCGCACCCATCAGAGTACAGAGATCGTGCCTCCCTGTAGTGATGATCTGTTTGGGATGGCATGATGACAACCACAAGCAGAATCTGCTTTTCTCTAACAGCCAAATCAAGAGAGACTGGAGGCTTGTGCCAGCTGGGCATCTTTGGGGGTGAGATCTTGGCAGCCGCTTCCTACCCTTCAAGTGTCCTGTGGGCAGCCCGCCTGGCTAGCTGGGTATGAGGGTCCGCCGGTTCAGGCCCTGCCTGCTGCACCTCCCCAGGCTCACTCCAGGCCTCTGGACTGTTTTCCTCAAGCAGGATTTCCAGCCTGCAAACCTGAGCTAATCTCCCTGCTGGAATGAGGGGAGGCGCCCTGGATCCTCACCCGGCCAGAAACGGGGGAGAGTGCTCCCAAGGGACCCTAGCAGAGGTGAGTGAGCGTGAACAGGGTGGACACAGCTCCACTGCCATAGGCCAGGCCACAACTTGGAGTGGGCCTGGGAGCTCAGAAGTTTCGGAGGACAGAGAACTAGGAGCCAGGAGCCTCCAAGAGCCACAGCGCCCACCTCACGGAGGGCTGGGGCAGACAGCTGGCCCCACCTGGGCACCATGCCATACAGAGACCCACGAGTGCCAGAGCAGCCACAGGACTGGGGTTTTGGGAACAGCAGTAGAGGCTGCTGCGCACACACAGAGGAGGATGGCACAGAGGCCCTGGAGATGGAGGCTCTGCTGTGCGTTGGGGATGGCCGTGCTGCCATCACACCAGGGATGTCCAGGGGGAGGCAGCCTCAGGAAGCAGTGCCACACGGGCTGGTTATGAGTCGACAGTGAGGCTTCCAGCTTGAGGACCCGGTGACATGGGCTGGGAGAGGGTATCTACTGCCGTGACCTTGGAGGGTCTTCTCTGTGCCTGCTGTTCAGGGCACCAGGGGTCCTGAGGGGAGATGGTCGGTCAGGGAGGAGCAGCCTGAATGACAGCGATTGGCTTTGCCCTGGTGCAGGGACTGTGGTCATTCCAGGTGAGGGTGAGGAGAAGTGAGGTCAGGTGAGGCTGGGTTTCCAGGCCCTTCAGCAGCACATGGCCGTTTGAAGTGCATCTCAGGAGGCAAGGGATCCTTCCCTGGGTTCAAGCAGGAGAAACCTGGGGTTCGATTAGCAGCTGTTAGGACCTCCATGTTGTCATATTGGTCATTCGGGGCCTGTTGTTGAACAGGAACAGCTGCATTGCTGGTGGGGGCTGTACCATGGAGGAGAGGGGGAGCTGTCAATCAACCACCATTGCAGACTCTGCAGCACCCGAGTGGCGACAGAGATGGTGTGGTGAGAGGTTGGTGGGACTGCTGAGGTGCCCAGGACCAGAGGGGCTCAGCACAGAGGGGTCCAGGCCGGGTCTGTCCCCCCAGGACAGAGACGCAGTTTGGGTCTAGGTGGGGGTCTGTCCATCAGCCTTGGGCTTGTGGCTGGGGATGGCTGAGATTTGACTGTTGTTTCTTTGCAGTCTTGGGGTTTGGGAGTAGATTTTGAATTTGAGCAGGTGTAGAGACAAGAAGTTTTCAAGAGTTTCAGAAAAAGGAGTCAGCCGGGCACGGTGGCTCGTGCGTATAATCCCAGCACTTTGGGAGGCCAAAGAGGGCAAATGGCTTGAGCTCACGAGTTCTAGATCAGACGGGGCAACATGGCAAGACCCTGTCTCTACAAAAAATACAAAAATTAGCCTGGCGTGGTGGCGGGTGCCTGTAGTCCCAGCTACTCAGGAGGCTGAGGCAGGAGAATCACTTGAACCTGGGAGGCGGAGGTTGCAGTGAGCCAAGATCACGACACTGCACTCCAGCCTGGGTGATGGAACCAGACCTTGTCTCAAAAAAAAAAAAGAAAAGAAAGAAAACAAAGGAGCCAGGAGGCCACGGCTAGAGCCCAGGGCAGAAACCCTCAGCCGGTAGCTCAGACCTCAAGCCAGGTTGTGAGGACTGTAGCCCTGGCTAGGGGCGTGGAGCCCGTGGACGGCCGGCCATTCTCAGTGGAAGTTAGAGGGAGGAGAAGGGGACGTCCTGGTGTGATGGACAAGAGGAGGGTGTCCTAGAGGAGGGAGGGTGGCCGGCCACCAGGACTGGACCTGAGTCTTGACTCATCATTGAGGCCCAGATTGTTTCACAGAAGGGGGGCCTGCTCACCAGCTCTCCCCAGCTCACAAAGACCCACGAACGCGGAGGGGCCTCTCTCCAGCTCTCCCCAGCTCACAAAGACCCACGAACGCGGAGGGGCCTCTCTCCAGCTCTCCCCAGCTCACAAAGACCCACGAACACCGAGGGGCCCTGGAGCTGCCGGATGAGCCGGCTTGGATTGCTGGGCCATGTCGATGCAGGCGACAGCCGGGGCACAGGGCTTGTGAGGCCCAACAGTGTCTTGCCTCCTTGGGGTGGACTCTGAGAACAGACAGCTCCAGAGCTTAGAGCCTGGCAGGTGAGAGGCACTGGGGGTGCCTGGTGGGGCCTCTCTGGCAGCTGCTGACAGGCTGGTCCTGAACTCCTGGCCGCAGCTCTGGCTGCCTCCACATCAGCGGCAGGTGCAGCCGTCAGGTGTGTCTCACGGCAGGTGAAGGTTGTTCTCAGGCCTCAGGGCCCCGGAGTCCTCATCTGGCCCCCACTGGTGCCCTCCCCATCTTCCTCGCCAGTGCCCTTTCAGACCTGTGACCCCTTGGTCACTCTTATGTGGCCTGCGGCGTGAATGACAGTTTTCCCTCACAGGCCTGTCTCCAGCTGAGCACCTCTGAGCTCCCCTAGACTCCTTGGGGGCAGGGTCAGAGTCTCCCATGACCTCGAGTCCTCCAGGGACCAGTGCCCCACAGGTCCAGCCTGCATGGGGATAGGCAGAGCCAGAGAGTGGCCACAGGCCTGCTGCGGCAAGAAGGCAGGTGGCACGTGAGCCACCGCACCCGTCCTTCCCGGGCTGGTGGTATCTGCCTGTGTCCCTGTGCTTATGGCTGCTGGCGTAAACGTAGTTACTGGCCCCTCGTAGCAGGCCTCAAGGACTCCGTGGGCCCTACCTGTGCTCCTGTGTTTCTTGTGGCTGGGGCAGCAGCAGGCTGTGAGAAGCTCCTCCTTCATACGAGGGTTTCAGACCATGCTGGGTGTGCCAGGATGCCTTCGTGGGCAGTGGGTGGCAAGGCCGCTCCGTCCTGGCAAGCCTGCCCCTGCGCACTCGCGCGGTGGATGCATACAGGTGGCCGGTGCTCCCTTCCTTGAGAATGGAGGCCGCTTGGCGGGAGACACCCAAGGGAACGGCAGCACCTTGACAGGTTTGCTTCACTGCCCTTGGCTCCTGCCTTGCCGGAGTCTGTGTGTCCCTCAAGAGGGGCCGGTCTGCAGGGTACAGAGGGACCAAGGGATGTCCCCCCAGGGTACAGATGGTCCAGGAGGATGCTTTGCAGCTTCTCAGTGGGCATTGCCCCAGGGAGGCTGGTCTGCCCGATGCCAGGTGCTCAGGGATGGAGGATCCAAGCCTAAGCCACTTCCAGGCCTGTCAGGGCAACCTCCTCGGCTCCTGCAGCACAATCTTTCTGGTTCACTGCAGTAACCCTGGGTCCAGAACAGCCCTGACATGTCACAGCCCCTCCCCGTTCAAAAGCTGGTCTCTCAGCTCGTCCTCACAAGCACCTGTGAGGCAGGAGATGCCCTCCTTTGCAGGTGAGACACGGAGGCACAGAGGTCAGGCTGCTAAGGGTGCCACCAGGGTCTCCCCCACGCCCACAGAACCACCTCCTGCCTTCCACAGCAGCTGTGTGTGGGAGGAGGACAGTTGTGGGTGATTGCAGGCCAGGTGTGATGCTGAGCAGGAGAGGAGGAGCACAGGTGAAAGGAGCTTGTGTCCCATAGGCTGGGGGTTTCTTTTTCCAATGCAATGTGATCTCCCCCTACCCCCTGTCAGACCCCCTTGGGCTGCTGGTGAAGAAGTGTGAGTAACTAGACTCCTCAGTTAGTGACAGGCTTTTTTCCCCAAGCCAGACAATGGGGAGTTCACAAAGGAGTTTGGATCTTAGATCATAAAGTGAGTCCCTTGCTTAGTGTTCTGCAGGATGTGGTTTAGTTTCAGGATCTGAGTTCTAACTGCCAATCTCAGGCCACTGGCGGTAGTGGGAGGCTGCTGTGGGTCCAGCCTGGGGGCCTGGCCACCCATACAGTGTCAGATTAGAGCCAAAGGCCACAGAGCTGGGTGGAGGGCGCTGCTTCCTTGTGGGAGCCTATGACATTTTGCCCGTTACGTAGAAATCCAAGCTAACTGGCCCCAGAGTTGCTGCCAGGTTGAAGTGTCCACTCCGAGACGTTTTGGGCAGAAGCTTGCAGATTTGCCCCTCCATTTAACTTAGGGGACAAGGGCTATGCTGACCTCCCCAACAGTGGCCTGGGGCAGGGAGCGGGAGAAGTGGCAGGCCCTGTGGGAAGGGCTGCAGGAAAGGAGGGGCCAGAAGTGGGGCCAGGCAGCAGTTCACCCACCCCAGCGCCCCTTTAGTCAGGACCTGCAGTGTCCAGCATGGTGGGCTCAAGCCCCACGTGGCCATCAGACACCTGGAAAGTGCCCCGTCCAAATCGACATGTGCCACAAATGAAAACACTTGATTTCAAAGACTCAGTATGAAAAATCAAATCAAATCTCTCACCGATGATTTTTTTATATTGATTGCATTTGGAATTATATTTTGGATTTAAGGTAAATAAAGTGTATTACTGTATTTAATGTTACCTGTTTCTTTTTACATTTTATTTTATTTTATTTTTATTTATTTATTTTTAGGCAGAGTCTCACTCTGTCAGCCAGGCTGGTGTGATCTCAGCTCACTGCAACCTCCACCTCCCGGGTTCAATCGGTTCTTGTGCCTCAGCCTCCCGAGTAGCTGGGACTACAGGCGCGCACCACCACACCCGGCTAATTTTTGTATTTTTAGTAAAGACAGGGTTTTGCCATGTTGGCCAGGCTGGTCTTGAACTCCTGGCCTCAAGCTATCCACCTACCTCAGCCTCCCAAAGTGCTGGGATTACAGGCATGAGTCACCACGCCCAGCCTCCTTTTATTTTATTTTATTTTTTATTTTTTATTTTTTCCTTTTATTTTAAAGTTAAAAAGTAGCTCAGAGATAGTGATTTTAGGTGAAGGATTTGGGCTGTGGCCTCTGTGCCCAAAACTTCTGTCTTCAATTAGATCCTTTCATTTCTACAAAGCGGGCACCACAGCCTCACATCATTTGATCATTTGATCTTTCTTTTTTTTTTTTTTCCGGAGACAGAGTCTCGCTCTTTCGCCCAGGCTGGAGTGCAGTGGCGCGATCTCGGCTCACTGCAAGCTCTGCCTCCCGGGTTCACGCCATTCTCCTGCCTCAGCCTCCTGAGTAGCTGGGACTACAGGTGCCCGCCACCACGCCCAGCTAATTTTTTGTATTTTTAGTGGAGACGGGGTTTCACCGTGTTAGCCAGGATGGTCTCGATCTCCTGACCTCGTGATCCGCCTGCCTCAGCCTCCCAAAGTGCTGGGATTACAGGGGTGAGCCACTGCGCCCGGCCGATTTTTTTTTTTTAAGAGACAGTCTCAATATGTTGCCTGTAGTGATACATAACAATTGTACGTATTTATGGGGCACATGTGATATTTTGACATTTACACATGCATGTGGCCAGGCTGGTCTCAAACTCCTTGCCTTAAGGGATTCTCCCGTCTCAGCCTCCCAAAATGTTGGAATTACAGGTGTGAGCCACAGTGTCTGGCCATTAATGTTTTTTAGAGGCTTAATGTGTTTCCTGGGTACTTGAGATACAGTGGCAAATGAGAGTGTTGGGAGATGATGAGTTTGATTTAAAAGGCATTTCGAGACATACAAATAAAGATGTCCTGTAGAGAGTTGGATATATAGATAGGAAATTCAGGAGATGTGGACTAGAGGTTAGATGCCACCAACATCTACAGAAGATAATTTAGCCATGGAAGTGTATGAAATTGTCCAGTGGGTATGTCAAATGAAGAGACAGATGGCTTTAGGACAGAAAGAAATATTAACCTTTTTTTTTTTTTTGAGACAGAGTCTCACTCTGTCACCCACGCTGGAGTGCAATGGCGCAGTCTTGGCTCACTGCAACCTCCGCTTCCTGGGTTCAAGTGATTCTCCTGCCTCAGCTTCCCAAGTAGCTGGACTACAGGTGTGTGCCACCACGCCCGGCTAATTTTTGTCTTTTTAGTAGAGATGGGGTTTTACTATGTTGGCCAGGATGGTCTCTATCTCCTGACCTCAAGTGATCCACCCACCTCGGCCTCCCAAAGTGCTGGGATTACAGGCATGAGCCACCGCGCCCGGCCAGCAATATGAATCTTTAAGGAATGGGCAAAGGAAAAGATGGAGTAGTGGAGAGGTAGAAGGAAAACCCAGAGTGCAGTGTCATGAAAATACAGGGAAGGGACGATTGAGAGGAAGGCACGGTCGAGTGCTCAGAGGGCAAGAATGACAAGAGTCCGCTGTTTTCAGCATAAGGAGGTCAGCTGGTGACTTGGTGAGGATGATTTTAATGGAGTAATGGGGTTCAAAATCCAACTGCAGTATTTCAAAGAGTGAACGAGAGGCAAGGGAAGTGGAGACAATGACAGCCCTTTCAGAAAGTTTGGCAGTGGTAGGGAGTACATAATCACTGGGGGAAAAACAGAAGGAAAGACACATTTTTAAAAGAAGTCAGAATAGGTATTAGAATAAGAAAATAAACTGCAGAGACAAGTATAAGGTTCTGGGAAGCGGCCAATAGTTAGGAGAAGTGCGTGAGGTGAGAATGCCCCCCTAGTTGATCGATGGATATGTAATAATTGTACCTATATATGGGGTACATGTCGTATTTTGATATTTACACACGAATACAATGTGCAATGATCAAATCACATTGATTATGATACCCATCACCTCAAACGTTTATCATTTATTTGTGTTGGAAACATTTCAAATCTTCTAGCTATTTTTAAATATGCAATAAATTATTACAACTATCATCACCCTAGTGTGCTATCAAACACTGGAATATATTTCTTCTATCTAACTTTATGTTTGTACCCATTAATCAACATATATTCATCTCCCACCCCATCCTTCCTAGCCTCCAGTAACCATCATTCTACTCTCTACCTACATTAGACCAACTTTTTTTTTTTTTTTTTGAGATGGAGTCTTGCTCTGTCGCCCAGGCTGGAGTGCCGTGGCGTGATCTTGGCTCATTGCAACCTCTGCCTCCTAGGTTCAAGTGATTCTCCTGCCTCAGCCTCCGGAGTAACTGGGATTACAGGCACGCGTCACCATGCCCGGCTAATTTTTTATATTTTTGGTACAGACGGAGTTTCGCCATGTTGGCCAGGCTGGTCTCAAACTCCTGACCTCAGGTGATCTGCCTGCCTCAGCCTCCCAAAGTGCTGGGATTACAGGCGTGAGCCACTGTGCCTGGCCAAGATAAACTTTATTAACTCCCACGTATGAGTGAGAATGTACAGTATTTGTCTTCTGTACCTGGCTTATTTCACTTAACATAATGACCTCCAGTTCTATCCATGTTGCTACAAACGACAGGAATTTTTTTTTTTTTTTTTTTTTTGAGACGGAGTTTTCCTCTTGTTGCCCAGGCTGGAGTGCAATGGCGCGATCTCGGCTCACTGCAACCTCCGCCTCCCAGTTTCAAGCAATTCTCCTGCCTCAGCCTCCTGAGTAGCTGGAATTACAGGCATGCACCACCACACCTGGCTAATTTTGTATTTTTACTACAGACGGGGTTTCTCCATGTTGAGGCTGGTCTCGAACTCCTGACCTCAGGTGATCTGCCTGCCTCAGCCTCCCAAAGTGCTGGGATTACAGGCGTGAACCACCGCGCCCGGCCTAGGATTTCCTCCTTTGACGATGAATAGTTCTCCACTGTGTAAGTGTACCTCATTTTCTTTATCCATTCACATGCTGATGGACACTTAGGTTGATTCCTATCTTGGCTATTGTGAATAGTGCCGCAGTAAACATGAGTAAAGACAACTCTTTGATATACTGATTTCCTTTCTTTTGGAAATATACCCAGCAGTGGGATTGCTGGATCATATGGTAGGTCTATTTTTCAGCTTTTTGAGAAAACTCCAGTGTTTTCCACAGTGGCTGTATAGTTTACATTCCCACCAGCAGAGTACCTGCTTTCTCCACATCCTCACCAGCATCTGTTGTCTTTTTGTTAATAATCATTTTAACTGGATGAGATGATATCTCATTGTGGTTTTGATTTGCATTTCTCTGATGATTAGTGATGTTGACCCTTTTTTTTTTGGCTTTTTTTTTTTTTTTTTTTTTGAGACAGAGTCTCTGTCACCCAGGCTGGAATGCAGTGTGCAATCTCAGCTCACTGCAACCTCTGCCACCCGGGTTCAAGCAATTCTTGGGCTTCAGCCTCCCAAGCAGCTGGGACTACAAGCACAAGCTACCATGCCCAGCTAATTTTTGTATTTTTAGTAGAGACAGGGTTTTACCATGTTGGCCAGACTAGTCTCAAATTCCTGGCCACAGTAATCCACCTGCCTCAGCCTCCCAAACTGCTGGGATTAACAGGCGTGAGCCACTGCACCTGGCCCCTGTTGGCCGTTTGTACATCTTTTGTAAAATGTCTATTCAGATCACTTGCCTTTTAAAATCAGATTATTACTATTATTATTTTTTTTTTTTGCTATTGAGTTGTGCGAGTTCCTTATATATTCTCGTTATTCTTTTTTTTTTTTTTCTTTTTTTGAGACGGAGTCTCACTCTGTCGCCCAGGCTGGAGTGCAGTGGCACGATCTCGGCTCACTGCAACCTCCACCTCCCGGGTTCACGCCATTCTCCTGCCTCAGCCTCCCGAGTAGCTGGGACTACAGGTGCTCACCACCGCGCCCGGCTAATTTTTTTGTATTTTCAGTAGAGACGGGGGTTTCACCGTGTTAGCCAGGATGGCCTCGATCTCCTGACCTCGTGATCCGCCCATCTTGGCCTCCCAAAGTGCTGGGATTACAGGTGTGAGCCACTGCGCCTGGCCTATTTTTTTTTTTTTTTTTTTTTTTTTGGCAAACCCATTTCTGTAGGATATTCTGGTCATTCATCCCTTGTCAGATGGATAGTTAGTAAAAAATTTCTCCCATTCTGTAGGTTGTCTCTGTTGTTTCCTTGGCTGTGCAGGTTTTTAGAGTGATATAATCCCACTTATCTATTTTAGCTTTTGTTGCCTTTGCTTTTGAGATCTTACCCAAAAAATCTTTGCCCAGACCAGTGTCCTGAAGCATATCCCCAATGTTTTCTTCTAGTAGTTTCATACTTTCAGGTTTTACATTTATGTCTTTCATCTTTAATCTATTTTGATTTGATTTTTATATATGGTGAGAGATAGGTTTTTGTTTTGTTTTGTTTTTGTTTGTTTGTTTTACAGAGTCTCACTCTTTCTCCCAGGCTGGAGTGAAGTGGCGTGCTCTCAGCTCACTGCAACCTCCACTCGCCGCTCCACTCCCTGGTTCAAGCAATTCTCCTGCCTCAGCCTCCCAAGTAGCTGGGATTACAGGTGTGTGCCACCACACCTGGCTAATTTTTGTATTTTTAGTAGACAGGTTTCGCCATGTTGGCCAGGCTGGTCTCAAACTCCTGACCTCAAATGATCTGCCCACCTCGGCCTCCCAAAGTGCTGAGATTACAGGCATGAGCCACTGCACCCGGACAAGATAGGGTTCTAGTTTCATTTTTCTGCGTATCCTCAAAATGTATTTCCAGTTTTCCCAGCACCATTCACTGCTCTTTCCCCAGTTAATGTTCTTGGCACCTTTGTTGAAAATCAGTTCACTGAATATATGGACTTATTTCTGGGTTCTCTATTTTGTTCTATTGGTCTATGTGTCTGTTTTTATATCAGTAACATGCTGGGTTTTGTTTTTTGAGACAGGGTCTCACTCTGTTCCCCAGGCTGGAGTGCAGTGGCACGACTTTGGCTCACTGCAAATTCTGCCCCCGGGTTCAAGACATCCTCCCAAGTAGCTGGGATTACATGTGTGCACCACTACGCCAGGCTGATTTTTGCATTTTTAGTAGAAATGGAGTTTTGCTATGTTAGCCAGGCTGGTCATGAACTCCTGGCCTCATGTGAGCTGCCCACCTTGGCCTCCCAAAATTCCGGGATTATAGGTATGAGCCACTGTGCCTGGCCCATGCTGTTTTGATTATTATAGCTTTGTACTATATTTTAAAGTAGTGTGATGCCTTCAGCTTTGTTCTTTTTGCTCAGGATTGATTTAGGCTGTTCAGCGTCTTCTGTCATTGTATATGAATTTCGGGATTTTTTTTCCCTATTGCTGTGAAGAATGTCATTGGTATTTTGATGGGGATTGCATTTAATCTGTAAATTGCTTTTGGTAGTATTGTCATTTTCACCAAATTAATTATTCCAATCCATGAACATGAGATGACTTTCCGTTTTGTGTGTGTGTGACCTATTCATCAGTGTTTTATAATTGTCCTTGTAGAGCTCTTTAACCTCATTGGTTAATTTTCTTTTTTTTTTTTTTTTTTTTGAGACAGAGTCCGGCTCTGTCATCCAGGCTGGAGTGCGATGGTGCCATCTCGGCTCACTGCAACCTCCGACGCCCAGGTTCAAGCGATTCTCCTGCCTCAGCCTCCCGAGTAGCTGGAACTGCAGGTGTGTGCCACCAGGCCCGGCTAATTTTTTGTATTTTTAGTAGAGATGGGGTTTCACTGTATTAGCCAGGATGGTCTCAATCTCCTGACCTCGTGATCCACCATCTCGGCCTCCCAAAGTGTTAGTATTACAGGTATGAGCCACTGCGCCCAGCCTCATTGGTTAAATTTATTCCTAGGTTTGTTTTTTGGTTTTGGTAGCTATTGTAAATGGAATTGCTTTCCTGGTTTTTTTTGGTAGTTTGGTATGTAGAAATGTTACTGGGTTTTGTATGTTAATTTTGTATCCTGCAACTTTACTGAATTTGTTTGTTCTAAGAATGTTTTGATAAAGCTTTTAGGGTTTTCTATATATAAGATCACGTTGAATGCAAACAAGGACCATTTGGCTTCCTCATTTGGAAGGAAGTATTTGGATGCTCTTTACGTCTTTCTCTTACCAGGCTGCTCTGGCTAGAACTTCTGCAGTGCAGCTTTGAGAAGGCTGAGGTGTTGGGTCTGGGGCATGGTAGAGAGATCCATGTAACAGGAAGAAAGTGGCAACCCAGGTCCATGCCTGAGTCTCCTGGTGAGACACGGAATCCCCCCAGCAGACTGAAGTGACCAGAAATGCCCCGAAAGAGGATGGCACTGCCCTTGCTTCCAGGCTGCAGTCTGCACCTGGCTGAGCTTTACTGTCCGTCTCTCTCCCACCCTGTCTCAGCCTTTGCTTCCATTCTGCAGTCTGCACCTGGCTGAGCTTTACTGTCCGTGTCTCTCCCACCCTGTCTCAGCCTTTGCTTCCATTCTGCAGTCTGCACCTGGCTGAGCTTTATTGTCCCTGTCTCTCCCACCCTGTCTCAGCCTTTGCTTCCAGGCTGCAGTCTGCACCTGGCTGAGCTTTACTGTCCGTGTCTCTCCCACCCTGTCTCAGCCTTTGCTTCCATTCTGCAGTCTGCACCTGGCTGAGCTTTATTGTCCCTGTCTCTCCCACCCTGTCTCAGCCTTTGCTTCCATTCTGCAGTCTGCACCTGGCTGAGCTTTACTGTCAGTGTCTCTCCCACCCTGTCTCAGCCTTTGCTTCCAGGCTGCAGTCTGCACCTGGCTGAGCTTTACTGTCGGTGTCTCTCCCACCCTGTCTCAGCCTTTGCTTCCATTCTGCAGTCTGCACCTGGCTGAGCTTTACTGTCGGTGTCTCTCCCACTCTGTCTCAGCCTTTGCTTCCATTCTGCAGTCTGCACCTGGCTGAGCTTTACTGTCCGTGTCTCTCCCACCCTGTCTCAGCCTTTGCTTCCAGGCTGCAGTCTGCACCTGGCTGAGCTTTACTGTCCGTGTCTCTCCCACCCTGTCTCAGCCTTTGCTTCCATTCTGCAGTCTGCACCTGGCTGAGCTTTACTGTCCGTGTCTCTCCCACCCTGTCTCAGCCTTTGCTTCCAGGCTGCAGTCTGCACCTGGCTGAGCGTACTGTCCGTGTCTCTCCCACCCTGTCTCAGCCTTTGCTTCCACGCTGCAGTCTGCACCTGGCTGAGCTTTACTGTCGGTGTCTCTCCCACTCTGTCTCAGCCTTTGCTTCCATTCTGCAGTCTGCACCTGGCTGAGCTTTACTGTCCGTGTCTCTCCCACCCTGTCTCAGCCTTTGCTTCCAGGCTGCAGTCTGCACCTGGCTGAGCTTTACTGTCGGTGTCTCTCCCACCCTGTCTCAGCCTTTGCTTCCAGGCTGCAGTCTGCACCTGGCTGAGCTTTACTGTCGGTGTCTCTCCCACCCTGTCTCAGCCTTTGCTTCCAGGCTGCAGTCTGCACCTGGCTGAGCTTTACTGTCGGTGTCTCTCCCACCCTGTCTCAGGCGCTGCACAGTAGAGGTTCAGAAGCTGATTGGACCTGAGCTGGTACCGGGACTGGGAACAAAAAGAGACAGAAACTTGTGAACATGACCCAGCAATAAGGGGTTGGGGAAGGTGAGCAGGGACTCCAGGTTCTGTGAACAGGGTCCACAGAGTAAGTGGATCGTGTCCAAGATGAGTCAGAATGTCTTTAGATGAACCTATCCTGGATGCTTTGCAAATAGCTAGGGAGAGCAACAGAAGCTACAAGTGAGTCTGGTTATGACACAGGACTCTTTCGGTGCCACTTTGCCAGCCAGAGACCTCCACGGCCGGCAACGCCCCTGCGCAAGGCCTCACGGCTCCAGGCTGTTGGAGGTACCTGCCCACTCAACCTGGGCTGGCTGTTGGAGGTACCTGCCCACTCAACCTGGCGGGCTGTGCGTGGCTTGTGCTTTGGGCTGGATCCCACGCTCGCCATGGGATCTGCACTCGGACTGCAGCTGGGCCGGGCATGCCATGACCTGCTTCCACCTTGGGTGCTGACGTCTGGATGAGAGGAACATGGTGGCGCCTGAAAAATCTGGAGACACCAGAAACCCTGGATCCCCAAAGGAAGTGTTATTCCCGCTGTCCGTGCTGTGGGTGTGAAGATGTGTGCTGCACATCCCAGTTTCCAGCACAGGACAAAGACTCAGAGAGGCACCTGCCAGGAGTCTCAGGTGATGGAACCCAGTGGCGGGCATGTGGGCAGCTGCCCCAGGTGGAAGGGATCGTGGCACAGCTCTTGGTTCCCCAGGCTGGCCCTGACCTTCGTGCTTTCCTGCCCATGGCCCAGACTTCCGAGCTCCATGTTGGGGATGCTCAGGGACAACCCTTCAGCCTCCCCCACCATGTCCCGGCTACTGCCCAGGATTCTTGTTCTCTGGAGGGTGGATCCAGCCCTCCCCATCTTGGTGCCCTACCAGGGCCAGGCTTCCCATGGCTCTTTCTGCAGCCCCTGGCACAGACTGTGGGGCGCACAGCCCGGGGAGCAGTGGGCCTTGGAGGGGCCAGGTCTGCATGTTCCCACCCCCATCATGGAGTTTGACACACCAGTGGGCAGGTAACTCAATCCCCCCTCACCTTCTCTTCATCTGTTAGGGGTGACAGGGTGCTCCCCGTGGGGCCAAGAGGATGCAGCACCCCCACCGGCTACCCTTCCGGCCACACCCTTCTCTCCTGGCCCACCTTCTGAGCTGGCAGGGCTTCCTTCCTGGCTTCTGCTGGGCAGTGTATTAGGGTCCTCTAGAGAGACAAAACCAATAATGGAGTTTAGGAGAGGGGATTTTTATTTGTTTGAGACAGAGTCTTGCCCTGTCACCCAGGCTGGAGTGCAGTGGCTCGATCTCGGCTCACTGCAACCTCTACCTCCCAGGTTGAAGTGATTCTCCTGCTTCAGCCTCCCGAGTAGCTGGGATTACAGGCACCCAGCACCACACCCAGCTACTTTTTGTACTTTTAGTAGAGACGGGGGTCTCAC
This sequence comes from Homo sapiens, assembly GCF_000001405.40. Taxonomy (NCBI): domain Eukaryota; kingdom Metazoa; phylum Chordata; class Mammalia; order Primates; family Hominidae; genus Homo; species Homo sapiens. The sequence continues at coordinate 144,809,870 of NC_000008.11, read as the reverse complement.
CATGTTGGCCAGGCTGGTCTTGAACTCCTGACCTCAGGTGATCCACCTACCTCTGCCTCCCAAAATGCTGAGATTACAGGGGAGAGCTACCGCGCCCGGCCAGGAGAGGGGATTTATTAGGCGAACTGGCCCACACACTTATGGAGGCTGAGAAGTCCTCCCATAGGCTGTCTGCAAGCTGGAGACCTAGAGAAGCTGTAAGTGAGGCTCAGTCCAGGTAAGAAGGTGGTTGAACCAAGGAAGCCAGTGGTGTAACTCTCATTCTGAGGCTGACTGGCCGAGAGCCCTGGGAGGCCTCTGTGGCAAGCCTGAGTCCAAAGGCCGAAGAACCTGGAGTCCTGATGTCCAAGGGCAGGAGATGGGTGTCTCCCTCCAGAAAAGAGAATTTGCTTGTCTTCTCCCTTTGTGTTCCATCTGGGTCCCCAACCAAGTGGATGTGCCTGCCCACGCTGAGGGCAGATCTTCACTGAGTCCACTGAAAACATCCTCACACACTCAGAAACAATGCTTCGCCAGCTGCCAAGTACAGTGTGTGTGCCTTAGTCCCAGCTACTCAGGAGGCTAAGGTGGGAGAAACGCTTGAGCCTGGGAGCTGGAGGCTGCAGTAAGCCATGATTGTGCCATTGCACTCCAGGCTGGCTGACAGAGAGATCCTGCCTCAAAAAAAGAGATAGATAGATAGATAGATAGATAGAGCTCCACCAGCCATCTAGGCTTTTTTTTTTTAAACAGGGTGTCACTCTGTCAACCAGGTTGGAGTGCCGTGGTGCTATCATAGCTCACTGCAGCCTTGACTTCCCAGGCTCAACCCATCCTCCCACCTCAGCCTCCTGAGTAGCTGGGACTACAGCGTACAGGCACAGACCACGATACCTGACTTATTTTTAAATTTTTTGTAGAGAAGTTTCACCATGTTGCCCAAGCTGGTCTCAAACTCCTGGGCTTAAGCAAACCTCCCACCTCAGCCTCCCAAAGTGATGGGATTACAGGCAGGAGACATGGCAGCCAGCTAAGGCTCCCTGTACCCTGTTAGTCGGCTTTACAGCACCTGGAATTGACCGCCACACGGAGCCTGGCGCTAAGGCCTGGCTGTGCCCAATGGTTCTGCACGAAGACCCGGGCCGGCCTGTGGGGAGCTCAGCTGCATATGCGTCTGTGGCGCCCCCTGTGCCCTGCTCTTTGGGGACTGAGCATAGCTGCCCCTCCCTCTCTCCCTTCTGCCCGCTCCTGGACATTTCCGGAAGGCCCCAGGAAATGGTGGCTGATAGTGGTTCCTGAGGCCACACCACGGGCTGCCTGGTGCCCTTTCCCTCCCCAGTGCCCGGCTGGAGCAAGAAGCCGAGCTCCTGATGGGAGCTGGCCCTTTCTTTAGACTTTGCTTCACCTTCAGGACAGGGGGTTCTGAATTTCTGCGCTAGGGCCCCGCCGGCTTGGGTGGGCTTCCAGCGTGAATCCTCGGCCTGTCGTCCCCGTCATCAGGAAGCCCAACAGGGCGCCCGCCTGCCCTCTGTGTCCTCCCCGGGCTCGCGGCCGTGCACCTTCTGGTGCTGGATGAGGGTGGACAGCCGGCTGCAGGCCCTCCCGCAGGCGCGGCACCGGTATGGCCTCTCGCCGCTGTGGAGCCGGTAGTGCTCGTTCAGCGTGTAGCTCCTGCGGAACGCCTTGCCGCACTCGGTGCACGCGAAGGGCTTCTCCTTGGTGTGGATCTTCTGGTGCAGAGTGAGGTTGGACTTGCGACCGAAGGCCTTGCCGCACTCCGCGCACTCGAACGGCTTCTCGCCCGTGTGTAGGCGCAGGTGCAGCAGCAGCAGGGAGTTGTGTCGGAACGGCCTCCCGCACACCGGGCACTCGTGGGGCGGGTCCCCCGCCTGGGGCCTCTGCGCAGCTCCGAGCAGGGCGCCCTGCCCCACGCCGCCGTCCTGGGCACCCTCCTGCGCGTGCAGCCGGTGGTGCTTCAGGAGCGAGGACCCTCGGATGAAGCGCTGCCCACACCGCAGGCACCGGTAGGGCCGCTCCCCGCTGTGGATGCGGCCGTGCTCGTTGAGGGTGAACCTGCGGCAGAACGCCTTGCCGCACTCTGTGCACGCGAAGGGCTTCTCCCCGGTGTGGAACTTCTGGTGCTGCAGCAGCCGGGAGCTGCGGCTGAAGGCCTTGCCGCACTCGCCGCATGCGTAGGGCCGCTCGCGGGTGTGGACGCGGTGGTGGGCAGCCAGCTGCGTGCTCTGCCGGAAGGCCTTCCCGCACTCGCCGCACTGGAACGGCTTCTCCTCAGTGTGGATCAGCTGGTGCCGCAGCAGGATGGAGCTTTGCTTGAAGGCCTTCCCGCACTCTGTGCACTGGAAGGGCTTGGCGCCGGTGTGGATGATCTGGTGCCTGAGAAGCAGCGAGTTGTATCTGAACGCCTTGCCGCACACGCACCTGTAGCGGGGGGCTGAGCTCCCCACAGGCCGGCCCAGGTCTTCCTGCAGAACCCTTGGGGAGGCGCTGTGCTCCCGAGCCCGGGGGTGGGTGGGTTTATCTGACCCGTCCTCAGGACCGCCATGCGGGTGGGGTGGTGCAGGGTGCCCCCCCACAGGGTGCCCCCAGGGGAGGCACCCCCACACGGTGCCCGGCAGTCCTGCCTGCCTGGAGAGCTTTCTCTGCAGAGGAGACTCCATGATCCCAGCCTCCATCCTGGAATCTGAGAGAAGGAACAGAAAACGGAAGGATGATCCAGCCTCTACACTCACAAACGAACTTCTTGTTTGAAGACATAACCTTTTTATTCCCAAGTCTTCCCCCAACACCCAGCTTTACTGAGGTATAAATGACAAATAAAACTTGTATACAGGAGGCTGAGGCAGGAGAATTGCTTGAACCCAGAGACAGAGGTTGTAGTGAGCCGAGATCGAGCCATTGCACTCCAGCCTGGGCGAAAGAGTGAGACTGTCTTAAAACAAAACTTGTATATATTTTTGGTGTACAACATGATTCAATAAACATCTACACTGTGAAATGATACCACAATCAAGTGAAGACAGAGTCTTTGTTAGACGTGTAGGGAGGTTTGAGAAATTATTGCCAGAGGTTTTAAAATCAGGGTTTCAGGCCAGGTCCAGTGGCTCACGCCTCTAATCTCAGCACTTTGGGAGGCCGAGGTGGGCCGATCACCTGAGGTCAGGAGTTCAAAACCAGCTTGGCCAACACGGTGAAACCCCATCTCTACTAAAAATACAAAAATTATCTGTGTGCGGTGGCGAGCGCCTGTAGTCCCAGCTACTCAGGAGGCTGAGGCAGGAGAATCGCTTGAACCCAAGAAGCGGAGGTTGCAGTGAGCCAAGACCGCACCACTGCACTCCAGCCTGGGCGACAAAAGCAAAACTCTTGTCTCAAAAAAATAATAAAAATAAAAATAAAATAAAATCAGGGTTCGGGTGAGAAGGGAACAAAAAGGCTAATAATGGCTCCAGCACTGTGGGAGGCTAGCTCAAGGGGAGCCCATAGGAGAGGCCCAAGGTCTGGCAGGGAAGACAGGCCAGGCATGAGGTGCAAGTTGTACCTCACCCCACAGCCATGTTCTTTACTCCTCTCTCCTTCAGAGTTCACCCACAGTTCCTGCACTCAGCAAACATGTCTGGGCAGGTGCGTAGAGCAGGTGCCTGCGCAGACCTCTGGGACTGGGGGCCTCCTCCCCAGCTCAAGGTTCTTTCTGCAGCCTCCACTGCCCTGAGCTCAGTCCCTGGCACATGGGCCATAGGGAACCAGGAAACCAAAGCAACCTGTGGGCAAGCAAGCCTCCCAAGTGCCAAGGCAAGAGACCGAGGGCACAAGCTGTTCCAGTGTAATAAAGAAAATATATAAAATAAGAATAGTTATACTAGAAAGAGATTATAGATATGATGATATATGAATAGTATTAGTCATCAGCTTGTAGCATTACTCTTTATTCTAATATTATAATAATCTCTGTTCTGGCCAGGCGTGGTGGCTCACGCCTGTAATCCCAGCACTCTGGGAGGCCGAGGCGGCGGATCACAAGGTCAGGAGATCGAGACCATCCTCGCTAACATGGTGAAACCTCGTCTCTATTAAAAATACAAAAAAAAAAATTGGCTGGGCGTGGTGGTGGGCGTCTGTAGTCCCAGCTACTCGGGAGGCTGAGGCAGAAGAATGGCGTGAACCCGGGAGGTGGAGCTTGCAGTGAGCCGAGAACGCGCCAGCCTGGGCCAAAGTGCGAGACTCCGTCTCAAAAAAAAAAATAATGGCCAGGCGCGGTGGCTCACGCCTGTAATCCCAGCACTCTGGGAGGCCGAGGCGGTGGATCACAAGGTCAGGAGATCGAGACCATCCTGGCTCACACGGTGAAACCTCGTCTCTACTAAAAATACAAAAAATTAGCCGGGCATGGTGGCGGGCGCCTGTAGTCCCAGCTACTTGGGAGGCTGAGGCAGGAGAATGGCGTGAACCCGGGAGGCGGAGCTTGCAGTGAGCTGAGATCGCGCCACTGCTCTCCAGCCTGGGCGACAGAGCGAGACTCCATCTCAAAAATAATAATAATAATAATCTCTGTTCTACAATTATAACCTAGGAAAAACCAGGCCATACAGAGATAGGAGCTGAAGGGACACAGTGAGAAGTGACCAGAAGACAAGAGTGTGAGCCTCTGTCACGCCCGGACAGGGCCACTAGAGGGCTCCTTGGTCTAGCGGTAACGCCAGTGCCTGGGAAGACGCCCGTTACTTAGTTGACCTTGGTCTAGCAGTAACCCCAGTGCCTGGGAAGGCACTAGTTACATAGCAGACCTGGAAAGGGAGTCTTCCTTTCCCCAGGGTAGTTAGAGAAGACTCTGCTCCACCACCTCTTGTGGAAGGCCTGACATCAGTCAAACTCGCCCACAGCCATGCTGAGGCCTGACCGTCTCCCTGTGATGCTGTGTTTCAGTGGTCATGCTCCTGTTTCACTTTCATGTTCCACCCTGTACACCTGGCTCTGCCTTCTAGACAGCAGTAACAGAATTAGTGAAAGTACTAAAAGTCATTAAAATGCATAGAAGAAATAATGGCGTAAGCTGTCCTGTCTCTCTCTCCGCCTCGGCTGTCAAACAGGGAAGGACCCCCTGTCCGGTGAACATGTGACTCACATGACCTTATCAATCATTGGAAATGACTCACACTCTTTACCCTGCCCCTTTCGCCTTGTATCCAATAAATAACAGCGCAGCCAGGCATTCAGGACCACTACCAGTCTCCATGTCTTGGTGGCAGTGGTCCCCCAGGCCCAGCTGTCTTTTCTTCTATCTCTTTGTCTTGTGTCTTTATTTCTATGATCTCTCGTCTCTGCACATGAGGAGAAAAACCCACAGACCCTGTAGGGCTGGTCCCTACACAACCCAAGGGTAATGGCACTGTGAGCACAGACCCGGCCCCTGACACCTTGGGGACACCAAAATGGAAAACTCTCGCACTTGGGTCTTCCTGCATAAGTTAGTTTTGACCTTAGACCTACAAGCAAGGCAGTTAGTAGGAAATCTGGCCCTGCTGTGAGGAGCTAAACATACACACCTCCCACTGTAGAAGAAGGGACCTGCAGAGCTGCCCGGAGGCCAGGCCACATTGGCAGCACAGGACACGCCCTGTGGGTGCTTTGTACTCACCTGTGCACAGGCTGGCTTTGGCCACGCTCTGTTCAGCCACCTGCAGAATCAAGGCCCCCGGCTCCTCTCCTTGCTCCAATAGGGAGATCAGTGCTGGTTTGGCAACAAGAAAGCCTAAGCTCAGAGAAGGAAAGCAGCACGTATCAGTACAGGAGGGAGAAGGGACGCCCAGGTGCCTGGCTGGAGGCCATCAGGGCACAGAGTGCTTGGAGTGGGTCAGGAACATTCACTATCCCAGAAGGGGGCAGCTAGGTGGCCAGGGGGAGATGGGGGGCCTGCCCCAGGAGAGAAGCCTCAGGCAGGCTGACGCTGGCAGTGGGTGCCCAACAGGAAGCAGAGAGGGGCTCCTTGGGGAGCCTCCAGCTTCCCCTCAAAAATGTGTCAGACCTTGAATCTGCAATGGAACCAACTTCCTTTGAAGCTAACACAGACGCACCTCCCGGCCCCAGGACCAAAGGCAGAAGCCCTCACCTAGTGAGGCCAGGTTCCCATAGTTCTCCAGCATCACGTCCCTGTAGAGTGCCTGCTGGTCGGGGGCCAGGCAACTCCACTCTATCCTTGTGAAGTACACAGCCACATCCTCGAACACAACCGCCTCCTGCAACCACATACTCTGCTATCCAGGCAGTCAAGGGCTCGGTGAGAACCCAGCAGATGAGAAACATTTGCATGATCTGCTAGAGGCCTCTCTCCTTGCTGCCCACTGCTGCATCCACAGGGCCCAGCAGAGAAAGGGCAGCCCAACACCCCCCGAGTGAGCGGCCTCATTCTCAGCAGAAGCCCCAGAGAGGAAGAGGGAAAAACTGAACTTGGGGGAGGGAGAGAGATTTACCAGGAAGGGGGTCCCAACCTTGGCCTCGCCCTCTCCACAGGCTATCAGGGATTTGGGGAAGGAGCACCTGCACTGTGGGGAGCATCCCCACCCTCTGGGTCTCAATTTCTAACACCAGCAGTGAGTCAGCATCAGGAGAGGGAGGATGGGCTGACCATTCACACCAGGAAGGAGGCAGGCACTGGGGAAGGACAGGGACCCTGCCCTCAATGGCTGACCATAGAAGCTCAGGGGCCAGAGGAGGCCGCAGGAAGCCCACTTCTGCCCAAAGGCTGGAAGGATTTGGCAGAGCCATGTGTGAGGCCTGGCCATAGAGCGAGGAGGCTGTCCTCGGCTTGCAGACTCCATCCTGTGATGTGGGTGGGTGTGAGGCAAGCTGTAAGGTTCTCAGGGCTGAAAAGCTGAGGCTAGGGGCGAAGCAGTCTCCTGGGGCAATGGACGGGCTCAGGGGGTGCTCACCTGAGGTCCAGGCATCGGGAGTGCCATCGCCATTCCAGGGTCCCTCTGTGGAGGAGCAGATGCTACAGACAGTGAATTCTGAGGGAACATAGAGCCATGAGTGGAAAGAGCCCAGGCCTAAGGCCCTCCAGCCCCCCAGAAGGCCCCTCCAGATCCAGAAGGGAGCAGGAGAGGGTAAAGTGCTAGGGCAATCACATCAGCCGCCTCCTTCACGTCCCAAGGAGGTGTATCCAAGCTTCTCCATGGGAACACCCACTCCTTCCAATGTTTTCTGGCTCTCACCTTGCTGGGAGGCCTTCTGTGACCACCATTTTTTAAACTGCCACCTCCCCTCCTGCCTGGGAATTCCTTATCCTCGCTCCTTGCTTTATTTTTCTCCATAGCACTATGCCATCTGACATAAGACAAGTTAACTTCCTTGCTCCTTATCTGCCTTCCCCAATTAGACAAGGCCTCTGGTCTGTACCCCTAGGGCCTGAGGAAGGGCTTGGCACACAGCATGTGCTCAGAAAGGATTTATGAAATGAACAAAGCGTGACTGGTTAGAGCAAAATTATTGTTTTGTTTTGTTTGAGACGGGGTTTCGCTCTGTCGCCCAGGCTGGAGTTGGTGGTGTGATCTTGGTTCACTGCAACCTCTGCCTCCTGGGCTTAAGATTTCCTCCCAGGATGGCCAAGGTTGCACCATTGCACTCCGGCCTGGGCAACATTGCTCATTATGAAATGAACAATGGGTGACTCTGCAACCAATAAAACCATGTTGTGGGAACATCAGAAAACATTCTTGCATTTTACTACATGAAACAAGCAGACTGTAAGCAGAAAAATAAAGCTGGTAGCATAAAACTCTAGCTCTCTCTGCGTCATAGAATTATGAGTGGTTCCTCTTTTTCTCCTATTTTTCTTTCCTTTTTTTGAGACAGGGTCTCAATGCGTGACCCAGGCTGGAGCGCAGTGGTGTGATCTCAGCTCACTGCAGCCTCAACTTCCTGGGCTCAAGCAATCCTCCCACCTCAGCCTCCCGAGTAGCTGGAACTACAGGCGCATGCCACCACACCCAGCTAATTTTTAAAAGTTTTTATTATTGATGAGGTCTTACTATGTTGCCCAGGCTGGTCTTGAACTCCTGGACCCAAGTGATCTCTTGCCTCGGTCTCCCAAAGTGCTGGGATTACAGGTGTGAGCCACCACACCCGGCCTCTTTCTATTTTTCTAATTTAACACTTTTTTGGCCAGGTGCGGTGGAGACAGAGACCATCCTGGCTAACACGGTGAAACCCCATCTCCACTAAAAATACAAAAAATTAGCCGGGCATGGTGGCAGGCACCTGTAGTCTCAGCTACTAGGGAGGCTGAGGCAGGAGAATGGCGTGAACCTGGGAGGCGGAGCTTGCAGTGAGCTGAGATCGCGCCACCGCACTCCAGCCTGGGTGACAGAGTGAGACTCCGACAACTCGCTCTTGTTGCCCAGGCGGGAGTGCAATGGTGCAACCTTGGTCATCCTGGGAGGATCCCTTAAGCCCAGGAGGCAGAGGTTGCAGTGAACCGAGATCATGCCACCAACTCCAGCCTGGGCGACAGAGTGAGACTCTGTCTCAAACAAAACAAAACAATAATTTTGCTCTAAGCAGACGTATACAGAGTAGGCATGAGGCCCTGTTCTCCTCACTCTTCCCTTCAACAGACACTTGAGCTCTTGTGTTTGGGTGAAGGTCTCCGGGGCTATCCATTTCTGTAGAGCTGGAGCCGTCTAAGTAGCTGCCACTTTGTAAAGAGATGTTTCCCTTTAGGCATCAGTTAACAAAAAGCATGTGTTTAGAGGCCAGGCACAGTGACTCATGCCTGTAATTCCAGCACTTTAGGAGGCCGATGAGGGCGGATCATTTGAAGTCAGGAGTTCGTGACCAGCCTGGCCAACATGGTGAAACCCTTCTCTACGAAAAATACAAAAATTAGCCGAGTGTGCTGGTACGCACCTGTAATCCCAGCTACTTGGGAGGCTGAGGCAGGAGAACTGCTTGAGTAGACAGAGGTTGCAGTGAGCCAAGTGTGCCCCGCTGCACTCCAGCCTGGGCGACAGAGTGAGGTTCTCTCTCAAATAAAAATAAAGAGTGCGTTTAGAGGCAGGAGGGCTGCTTGGTCACAATGCTATGAAGTGACATTTGGCAGCAGAGCCCTTTTGACATGTTAGGGTACGAAGGGCGATGGGGGTGGATCAGACAGATTCGTGAATCACCCCTGCACAGAGGGCACAGACTGCAAACGCATGGAAGAGCAGGGCCACACCACCCCCACCCAGCCCCCACTCACTGTCTGTCCAGGGCAGTCTGTGGCAGGACCCACCTGGGCCACTGCGATGGCCACACGTGTTGTCCTCACCCCAACAAGGCAACCAGAGTATCTCAGGGTATGAGGCTGCCAGAAGACTTGATCCCCGACCCCTCAACACATACCACCCTCCACTCTGGTAAGAACTGCAACCCAGGACTAGGGTAGGACTTGGACTAGGAGCGGTAAGTTACTGCTGCTTTGTGTTTGCTCATGTCTAGGGAGTGCATGTCCTCAGGGAGGGGCTACCTGGTTAGAGGGGAAAAAAACCTGCTTTTAGTTCTATCTTCGGAATTAGGAAGTAAACCTTCAATCAGATTAAACAGCACTGAGCTAAAAATAATGGAGCAGTGATATGATGACAACAGATCAAGCTGTTGCTGAGACAGAAAATGTCAAGGGGAGGAGGGTGCTAATTTTAGATGAAGGACCACCAAGAAATGTTACTGGGGGAACTCATTTAACTGGGGTCTGGAAGACTAGGAGGGGTCACCTCCTTCCATACGCAGAATAAGCCCTGTTCCTCGGGGACCTGGGGCACCCGGCTCACTACGCCGCAGCCATGCCAGCCTTCTCTCTGTTCCCCCGCCTGGGAGTTTCTCCTCAGGGATCTGTGGCTGCTTCTCTCCTCCAGCAGGTTTCAGTTCAAATGTTAACTCTTTTTTGTTGTTGCTGTTGTTTGCGACAGAGTCTCCCTCTGTTGCCCAGCCTGGAGACCAGTGGCGCGATCTCGGCTCACTGCAAGCTCCGCCTCCCGGGTTCACGCCATTCTCCTGCCTCAGCCTCCCGAGTAGCTGGGACTACAGGCGCCCGCCACCACGCCCGGCTAATTTTTTGTATTTTTAGTAGAGACAGGGTTTCACCGTGTTAGCCAGGATGGTCTCGATCTCCTGACCTCGTGATCCGCCCGCCTCGGCCTCCCAAAGTGCTGGGATTACAGGCGTGAGCCATTGCGCACGGCCAAATGTTAACTCCTTACAGAGCCTCCCCTGACCGCCAAGGCTACCCTAACCCCCTAACTCTCACAATTTTATTTCCTTGGTTTATTCTGTGCGAGGCCCTTGTCAAAACCAGAAGTTATTTTGCTGCGTTATTGCCTGTTACACTAACGCCTCACCTCTATTACAATTCATGCTCCTGGAGGCGAGGCGGGCTGTTCGCTCACTGCGGGGTCCCCAGCACCGGAACGCTCACAGTTAAATACCCAACAGCTATTTACGAAATGACTGTTGGTCCAATAAATGCCCCAACCCGGGGAGGGGGCAAAACTGCGCAGGGTAAATGAACGCTGCGGGAAACGGCGTCCGCCGGGGAGCGAGGCTGCCGGGAAGAGCCCGCCATCGGACGGAAGCGAGGGGCAGAGCCTGGTCCTCCCCGGAGCAGCCCCACCTCGCCAGGCCTCCCCGCCTGCAGCCTCATCTCTGCGCAACCGTCCGGCTCGGCGGAGCGGGTCTCGGGGGCCCGGCCGCACGCCCCCGACCACAGCCAGCATGGACCGGGGCGCAGGGCCCTTCGCCCCGATAAGGGTTCGGAACCCAAGGCGAGCGGAGGCGACAGTGACGGCTGCGGGTCCGCTCCCTGCCGAGCTCCGCGCGCCCACTGCGGGGGCTACAGCCTCCACCAGGCCGGGCTCGGAGGACCGCGCCCCTCCCAGTCCCCGCCCCGCGGCCGCGGCCGACTCACCCTGGGCCGCCGAGACAGCGCGGGGAGGAGCGCACGGCGCCCGGCTCTCAGGCTCCGGTTCCTTCCCCGCCCCCGGAAACGGCCGCTGCGCCGCTCTGGGAGGCCTGGAGGACCGCGCGCCTCGATGGCGCTCGCGTCTCGACGGCTTCTAGCCCCTGCGGCGCGGCGGTCGCCAGGGCCCCAGCTAGGGGCGCGCCTGGGGGGTTCCGGGCCAGACCGGGTATCAGTCCCAGGCCCGACGGGCGCGGAAGGGCGTCGACGTTCTCGGCGCTCCGTTTCCCCCGGGATCGGAGGCAGCGAACGTTCACCCCTTGCGCCCACTCTCTGCCCCCGGGTGGCCTGCGGGGGTTGGGGAGCACGGTGGGGGATCGACTCCCGGACCCGCAGGAAGGGCGGAGCGGGGGCGTCCGGCCAGGGTCGGTCTCATATAAATTTATGACATTGTTTAGTATGACTTTTTTTTTTTTTTTTGAGCCTGAGTCTCGCTCTTGTTCCCCAGGCTGGAGTGCAATGGTGTGATCTGGGCTCACTGCAACCTCCGCCTCTCAGGTTCAAGCGATTCTCCTACCTGAGCCTCCGGAGTAGCTGGGACTACAGGTTCCCACCACCACGCCCGACTAATTTTTGTATTTTTAGTAGAGACGGGGTTTAACCATGTTGCCCGGGCTGATCTCGGACTCCTGATCTCAGGTGACCCGCCCGCCTCGGCCTCCCAAAGTGCTGGGATTACAGGCGTGAGCTACCGCACCGGGCCAGTTTCTGGGATCTTGAAGTGTCTTTGCTGCTCCCTCTGATCACTCTCAGACCACCTCTCCTGTCTGCACCCAAGGGTGGCCATTCTGACTTCTAACAGCCCTGTGACTTCTGTAAACATTTGTATGCTCTTTGTATTTACTAATTTAATCCTCATGGTAATCCTATCAAAATACTACTGTTCCCATACTAAAATGAGGAGAGCATAGTGTCCCTGTTATTTGCCAAGGTCTAGTCTCTTTTTTTGAGACGGAGTTTCACTGTTGTTGCCCAGGCTGGAGTGCAATGGTGCCATCTTGGCTCAACATTATCTCCACTTCCCAGGTTCAGGTGATTCTCCTGCCTCAGCCTCCCGAGCAGCTGGGATTACAGGCATGCGCCACCACGCCCGGCTAATTTTGTATTTTTAGTAAGGAGGGGGTTACTCCATGTTGGTCAGGCTGGTCTCTAACTCCCGACCTCAGATGATCTGCCAGCCTCGACCTCCCAAAGTGCTGGGATTACAGGCGTGAGCCACTGTGCCTGGCCAAGGTCTCATCTCTTAAGTAACAGAGCTGGGATCCAACCCACAGACCTGGCTCCAAGTCACATATTCTTTAGCCACTAAACTGTGTTGTGAAACCATCATGCAAGTGGGAGGAACAGTTCAATATATGAAACTCGGTGTTTCCCGAGTTCCCACTCACCTCCACACACACTTTAGAGATGGTTTCACACACACTCTAGGTTTTCAGATCCTCTGAATTGCAACCAGACCCTGGGAGGAGGAATGAGGATCAAAGAAGGTAAGGGACTCATCCAGAGCCACAGCTGGTTGGGAGCCGGGTCAGATTTGAGCACAAGACAGACCAGGAACCATCATTTTCTTCCTTTTCACAAGGACAGGGGAAACTGGGTGAGGAGGGTGATATCTGTCTAAGTAGGCTTAGCCCAGCACTCCACTATGGGTGGTGCTAAACTTGTATGATGTCTACATAGATCCTTGTCCCAGGACTGGATGCCCCTAGGTTCCTCAGATTCTTTGGGGGACCAAGGGTGTCTCCTGCATTCACACTGCTGACAGCGGATTTGCTCAGGAGTGAGGCACAGGCTGGGTAGGACAGAGGCACTCTTCACCAGGAGGGAATTGTGGGTACTTGCTGTGTCCTGACAGCCACAACCATCTTTGGGGGAGGGATCATGACTCCCCTCAGGGCCATGGCACATAATTTCAGACAATATGGGTATTGTGGTGAACTTGGATGTCCAAAAATTGTATGTAAATCCTGTGCTATTCTCTCATTGTAAAAGGATGCCAAAACTTCAACTATTTAATCACACATGTGAAGGGGTGGGTTGCCCCTCCACACCTGTGGGTGTTTCTCGTAAGGTGGAACGAGAGACTTGGAAAAGAAAAAGACACAGAGACAAAGTATAGAGAAAGAAATAAGGGGACCCGGGGAACCAGCGTTCAGCATATGGAGGATCCCGCCAGCCTCTGAGTTCCCTTAATATTTATTCATCATTTGTGGGTGTTTCTCTGAGAGGGGGATGTGTCAGGGTCACAAGACAATAGTGGGGAGAGGGTCAGCAGACAAACACGTTAACAAAGGTCTTTGCATCATAGACAAGGTAAAGGATTAAGTGCTGTGCTTTTAGATATGCATACACATAAACATCTCAATGCTTTACAAAGCAGTATTGCTGCCCGCATGTCCCACCTCCAGCCCTAAGGCGGTTTTTCCCTATCTCAGTAGATGGAACGTACAATCGGGTTTTATACCGAGACATTCCATTGCCCAGGGAGGGGCAGGAGACAGATGCCTTCCTCTTGTCTCAACTGCAAGAGGCATGCCTTCCTCTTATACTAATCCTCCTCAGCACAGACCCTTTACGGGTGTCGGGCTGGGGGACGGTCAGGTCTTTCCCTTCCCACGAGGCCATATTTCAGACTATCACATGGGGAGAAACCTTGGACAATACCTGGCTTTCCTAGGCAGAGGTCCCTGCGGCCTTCCGCAGTGTTTGTGTCCCTGGGTACTTGAGATTAGGGAGTGGTGATGACTCTTAAGGAGCATGCTGCCTTCAAGCATTTGTTTAACAAAGCACATCCTGCACAACCCTTAATCCATTTCACCCTGAGTTGACACAGCGCATGTTTCAGAGAGCACGGGGTTGGGGATAAGGTCATAGATTAACAGAATCTCAAGGCAGAAGAATTTTTCTTAGTACAGAACAAAATGGAGTCTCCTATGTCTACTTCTTTCTATACAGACACAGTAACAATCTGATCTCTCTTGCTTTTCCCCACACACAGGTGGGGTCCCAGAGAATGTTCACCCATGGCTTTATGTCAGGTTGACATGACGTATCCAAGCCATATAGACGGCAGGGGTCATGGAGATTTAGCACTCACTAACTCGTTGTGCTTCACAAAACAGCACCTTAACCCCTCTCAGAAAAATTCTAACACGCACCTCCAAGCTGTCCCCAAGCATGTGCAATCTCCATCCTCCCAACCACCCCACCTCTTCCTGCTGGCATTGGTCCCTGGGGTCTCCCCTCACCCACTCCTGAATGGGTAACAGGGGCTCCTATGGACTACCCCACCCCTGAGGCACTGAAAGCACATGGGAAAACTATCTCAGAGAATCTTGTTGGAAATACCTTTTCACAAGACATAGCTCCACAATTATAAGACACTAAATTAGAAAAGCAGCGTGCATGAGGTGGGTCATGGTGGCTCACACCTGTAATCCCAGCACTTTGGGAGGCCAAGGCGGGTGGATCACGAGGTCAGGAGTTCAAGACCAGCCTGCCCAAGATGGTGAAACCCCGTCTCCACTAAAAATACAAAAAATTAGCTGGGTGCGGTGGCGGGCGCCTGTAATCCCAGCTACTCGGGAGGTTGAGGCAGGAGAATCGCTAGAACTCTGTGGGCAGAAGTTGCAGTGAGTCGAGATCGCGCCACTGCACTCCAGCCTGGGCAACAGAGTGAGACTCCATCTCAGAAAAAAAGAAAAGAAAAGCAGTGTGCATGAAAAGTACTTAGATCAGTCCCTGGCCCATAAAAAGTGCCTAGCATTGGCCAGGCACGGTAGCTTATGCCTGTAATCCCAGCACTTTGGGAGGCCAAGGCAGGTGGATCACCTAAGGTCAGAAGTTCAAGACCAGCCTGACCAATATGGTGAAACACCGTCTCTACTAAAAAATACAAAAATTAGCTGGGCATGGTGGTGTGCGCCTATAGTCCCAGCTACTCGGGAGGCTGAGATAGGAGAATCGCTTGAACCCGGGAGGCGGAGGTTGCAGTGAGCCCCGATCACGCCATTGCACTCCAGCCTGGGCAACAAGAGCGAGACTCCATCTCAAAAAAAAAAAATATATATATATATATATTCATTCATTACGGAGTGATCCCATTTTAGCCATATGTGATGGTGTGCCCATATGTGGCATACAATTATGCTACGGGGGCGCGGTAGGGGGCAGGGAGATAAGGACACATCAGTTGTTGGGGATTGGGGGTGCGGGCAGATAATGCTGGTTGGGGAGGGGAGCCAAGCTGAGCAAGACAGAGGATCACAATTTCTCATGTTTCTACCAAATTACTGCTGCATGTATGTGACAAGAAACATTTGAAGAACAATTTCAGAAGGAAATAACTTTTTTTTTGAGGCACAGTTTTGCGCTTGTTTCCCAAGCTGGAGTGCAATGGCACAATCTCAGCTCACCACAACCTCCACCTCCTGGGTTTCAGTGATTCTCCTGCCTGAGCCTCCCGAGTAGCTGGGATTACAGGTACCTGCCACCATACCCAGCTAACTTTTGTATTTTTAGTATAGACGGGGTTTGTCCATATTGATCAGGCTAGTCTGGAACTCCTGACCTCAGGTGATCCGCCTGCCTCGGCCTCCCAAAGTGCTGGGATTACAGGCATGAGCCACCGCACCCGGCCGGAAATAAATAATTTCTAACAATAAAGTTTGAACAGCAGGTTGGGGTGACGTCGGATGGCATAAGGGAGGTCACCAGGCCACTAGCACAAGCAGAGGCACTGTGTGGGGAGGGACTAATCCTGGCCTAAGAAAGATGGCTCCACCCCAGAAGGCTGGAAAACCCCATGTCCAGTGCTTGCGGCCTCGTCTGGAGTGGCTGTCAAGTGACCCAGAACTGCATAGCCCCTGCTGTGTACCAGGCTGTGTGGTCTCCCGTGAAGGTCAAGACTGAGCCCAGTCACACAGTCCTCAGGACTGTCAGGTGGATGCTGGCAGGGCCATGTCTCTTCCAGCCTTAAAGCGGCCTGGTCAGTCTCCTGGCTGCACGTAGGGTCTTGGTAGCCGCATCTCATCCCAGAGACCCGTGAGACCATCTTGGGGACCCCACAGCCTGTGTGTCCAAGCACTCTTCTCACCTCTATCCCGCACCCAACTCTCCTTCTGCTCCTCCAGAGAAGCAGATTTGTTCAGGAGTGACGGACAGGCTGGGCCTGTGGGCCAATTTTGGGCTGACCCCAGAACCCCTCACCCTGCCCCCAGGGTCCAGTCCTGCCCCTCAGCCCCTGGCCCTAGCTGTGGGCTGTGCTGCTTCCTGAGTCCCCACCGGGCAGCTCCTCCTCCATCCCCCTGCCGACCCTAGGGGAGGGCCTCCTGCAGCAGCCCCTCCTCTCCCCTGTGAGCAACAGCGGGCACAGGACACCCTTCCACCCTCTCCTGTCTCCTTCTCACGATGTCAACCCTGCCTCAGCCCCTGCAGGGTCTAGGAAACACCCCACCTCCCAGTACCGACAGCAAGCCTCTCCCGCCCACTGGGACCCCCGCCTTCACCTCCTTGCTGCCTCCCCACCCACGGCCTCGCGTGTGCTCGACAGTGCTCACTCAGCCAGGGACTCTCTCCTGGAAAACCTCTTCCCCACCATCCCCCACCCGCGGCCTCGGGGTCCCACCCGTTAGGGGCCCGATTCCGCGAAGCCCCTCTCCACAGCACGTACCGCAGGACACCCCCAGTCGGGCTGACTCTTTCCAGCTCAGGCCCCCACAGCCCCTCCCAGCCTCCATTTCTTGCTCCTTCCCCACCTCTCCCGCACAGGGTTCTGGTCAGGGTACGGTCCAGTCTCCCATTATTCGTCCACTCCGCAGCATGTGACCCAGCCCATCCCCGCTCCTTCTTCCTCGACCCGGGACCCTCCAGCTTGGCCCTCCCCACTTCCTGGGCCGGCCGGCCCTCACCCTCGGCAAGGATCCCGGGGCTCCTCTCCTCGACGCCCGACCTCTCCAAGGGCCTACAGTGGATAAGGTCCCCGCGTCCAGAAGCGCCCGTTCATCAGGGAGACGGACATTTGCCACCTGCAAACCATGACGTTCCACGAGTGGGTCCACGCGTCTCCCCTGCCCATCTCCTGCTCTGCACCAGCGAGAACCCCCTCGGCCTACACGGAAGCCCCTCACCAGGCAAGCCGGGAGCCCCAGACCCCGTGGCCCGGAGTGGGTCGCTCTGTGACACCCTGGACAGGTCACTCAACCACTTGGCGCCTCCTCGGCCACTCAGAAAACACCTGCCCTCCCGGAGACCCCGGTGAAAGCCGAGCACTCCTGCACCCTCCTTCCGAGCCCACGCACACCAGGACACCTTCAGCCGCGTCTCCTGGTGCGCCTGCGCGGGGGCCCTGGAGGAGGAGAAGTAGGCGGGGCCGGCGGCCGCTGGTGACTACAAGCCCCGGCGTGCACCGCGCTAGGCTGGCCGTGGCGCGCCCGGAAGGTGTCGCGGCCCTGGGCCCCGCCCCGGAAGATAAGGCCGCTCGCTGACGCCGTGTTTCCTCTTTCGGCCGCGCTGGTGAACAGGTAGGTCATCCTTGCGGCCTTGCGGCATGGGCAGTATCCGCCGCCATCCTCTTCCGTGAGGCGCGCTGAGACCCGGACCGGCCCTCCTGAGAGGATGCCGGTGCGGGCGCCCGCGGAGAGGGTAGGGAGTGGTGGGCGCGGCGGCCTCGGGGGCGGGGTCCCGGAAAGCCGGGCTGGCGGGGGTACCCGGGCCGCCCGGCCGCGCTAATCGTGAGTCGCCCCCAGGACCCGTCGCCATGGGCCGTGTGATCCGTGGACAGAGGAAGGGCGCCGGGTCTGTGTTCCGCGCGCACGTGAAGCACCGTAAAGGCGCTGCGCGCCTGCGCGCCGTGGATTTCGCTGAGCGGCACGGCTACATCAAGGGCATCGTCAAGGTGCGGAACGCTGGCCGGGGCGGGAGGGGAAGGGACGCCCGGCCGGAACGCCGCACTCACGCCGCCTCTGCCCACAGGACATCATCCACGACCCGGGCCGCGGCGCGCCCCTCGCCAAGGTGGTCTTCCGGGATCCGTATCGGTTTAAGAAGCGGACGGAGCTGTTCATTGCCGCCGAGGGCATTCACACGGGCCAGTTTGTGTATTGCGGCAAGAAGGGTTAGCATCGCGGCGGGGAAGGAAGGTCGGGGTGGGGAGGGGTCTGGGTGTTGCCTGAGGAGTTAACGTCCTAAGCCGATATGGGAACCTCGCAGGCAGAAGCTTCAGGTGGGGACATCCGCGTGGCCAGACCAGTGGCCACCGGTGGGTGCCGAGAGAGTTGTACCGGGAGGCTGGATGTTGAATGCTGTGCTCGCAACTTCGCGGGTTGCCTAGAGCGAGGGGGTTCGCATTGTTTCTTACTGTGCTGACGGCCTGATGCTGCTTCCCCTTGCAGCCCAGCTCAACATTGGCAATGTGCTCCCTGTGGGCACCATGCCTGAGGGTACAATCGTGTGCTGCCTGGAGGAGAAGCCTGGAGACCGTGGCAAGCTGGCCCGGGCATCAGGGAACTATGCCACCGTTATCTCCCACAACCCTGAGACCAAGAAGACCCGTGTGAAGCTGCCCTCCGGCTCCAAGAAGGTTATCTCCTCAGCCAACAGAGCTGTGGTTGGTGAGTATCAGGCAGCAGTTGAATGCTGAGGGCTGTGGGTGAACATGCTGTGAGTGCCGGTGGACAGCCAGTGGCTAGACTTGGTCCCTGGAATTCGATTACCTGTTGTTCTAAAACTTGGGTTCTGTAAGTTTGAGCTCATCCTGTAGTCTCAGTTGTCATCACTGTACAACAGGCACAACAGTACCTGCTTTACTGCTGTTGAGGCGTTAAATGAGATTGGGACGAAGTCACCAGGGTCTTGGATTCTACCGTGGGCTTCCTGATTGCTGCACTTGCATGCAGTTGGTTAACAGCCTTTTTAGAGAAGGCAGGGAGAGATTGTGGCTTTCTCAAAGACGCCTACTGAGTGAGTGAAAAAGGATTTGAGTCTAGGTTAACTCACTGTGCTGTTTGGGAACATCTTGGAATCCTTGTGATGAACTCAGCCTCGCACAGGGGAGGCTCTGAGGTTGTGTTCCTGGAATAAGTAAAGCTGAGATGGGGCAGGCTGAATCAAGTGTCTTACGTCAGGTTGAGTGGCCGGCCTGACGTCTCACACATGGTGAGGGGGGTGCTTCCCTGCGCTTGGAGCTCAGCCAGCATTCTAGGTGATGGAGGTGAGGGCCTTGGCTTGCCTGCCCATTGTGGATTGAAGAAACTGGATGTCAGCTCACAGGGTGCAAGGGGCTCCCTAGGGTGGAGGCGAGTGGGCTTTTTGCTGGGTAGTTGGATGCAGTATTGGGAAGGTGCATGACAGGAGATTGAGGGGAGGTGGGGGTGCTCTGACCGACTGGGGGTTCCCTGAGGTATCTGATCCCCTACAGGTGTGGTGGCTGGAGGTGGCCGAATTGACAAACCCATCTTGAAGGCTGGCCGGGCGTACCACAAATATAAGGCAAAGAGGAACTGCTGGCCACGAGTACGGGGTGTGGCCATGAATGTAAGTAACCCAGAAATGCAGGGTTGGGTATTGAAGTTACAGTGGCCACACTGTTGGGTAGGCAAGTCCCATCCACAGGTGTCCCTGCAGGAGGGGGATCTACGGTGGGAGGAGCAGCAGGTGGTGGTTTGTAGTCACGGGACTGTTGATCCTGCTCCAGCACTCCTGAAGGAGGTGGGCTCACCCTCCTTCACCGTTTCTCCGCAAGAAACGGAGGCTGGGAGGGGCAGTGGGGGCCTGAGCTGGAAAGAGTCAGCCTGACTGGGGTTGTCTAGCGGCACATGCTGTGGAGAGGGGCTTCGCGGAATTGGGCCCCTGACGGGTGGGACCCCGAGGCCGGGGGCGGGGGTGGTGGGGAAGAGGTTTCTAAAGCCATCTTTCTCTGCCTGCAGCCTGTGGAGCATCCTTTTGGAGGTGGCAACCACCAGCACATCGGCAAGCCCTCCACCATCCGCAGAGATGCCCCTGCTGGCCGCAAAGTGGGTCTCATTGCTGCCCGCCGGACTGGACGTCTCCGGGGAACCAAGACTGTGCAGGAGAAAGAGAACTAGTGCTGAGGGCCTCAATAAAGTTTGTGTTTATGCCACCTGGCTGTGCCCACCCCCATGGTTTCAAAGGGAGGGGTCCCTGCTGGGAGGATTTCTGTGGGATCCCCCTGGTTGGTACTGGGAGGGAGTTAGACTACTGAAGTAGACCACCAGTGAGTGGTAGAAGCTTGAAGGGAAAGTCCACAACTAGAAACGGGGTGCAGGTACCCTGGGCAAGACCCTTGCTTCCCCACAGAGGGGACCAAGAATGTGGCATCCAGGACCTGACACTTATGTGGGTGACTCAGTCCCATGGCCTGCAGTGCTTGGATGTGAACACTCATTTCACGTATCAGGAAACAGAATAGGACACAATCGTTGAGCCTGGTGTTCTGGACCATACCCTCACTCTGTCAGCTCCCTGCTAACTTTCTCAGCACCTGAGGCAGTCCTTTGCCCAGGGTCTTTTAGCGACACCCTTTCCCTCCATACTGGCTACAGCCCTGCTGATGTCAGTGTGTTTAAGTCACTGCCAGGGATACCTGGCTTGCAGGTGTCTGCCTTGCACTGGGAACTTGGGATGGGCCCTGAAGGAATGTGGGACAGGCACCCTGTCTACAGCCAGGAAGCCATTCCTAGCCTGGCTTTTACCATTCTGTTCTGCATGCATTCCCACCCCGCCATGGTGGGGAGTGGTCACTGACTGGAGGGTTCTGGGTGCTTTTTCCTGTGGGTGGTGGGTGGGGCCTCATGCCTTTCCTCATTTTCTAGCCTGATAGTGACAGGTGAGGTTGAGGGTGGTGATTGAGTGTGGGGTCCCAGGTCACTGCTGGGATTGCTGAACAAAGGGATGAATGCATGCAGTGTGTGTATGGGGAATCCCAGACCACCCAAGTCCCTTCACCCACCCACCCAGAGCCCTACACTGGACTGGAGCTGGCACCAGCAGTAGGTTGGTCTGCTCCTTGAGTCCTGTAACTCCACAGCTTCGCAGGGCATGTAGCCCCCTCTTCCCTGGGGCAGAGAAACTAACCAGGAACAGCCCCCAAAGCTGCATTGATTACCTTAAAGCACATGGCCTTTCCCTGCTGGCAGGGGCTGATACTTTGGTTCTCTCTAGCTTTGGTAGTGATGAGGCTGACAGTGATGATTGAGTGGAATCAGGTTGGAAGTGTTGGGGAACCCCCCCTGCAATGGGAGGGCAAGTAAGCTGGTTTCCGTCACAAGGCAGAGTGGAGGGGCTTCCTGTTTGGCCATAGCCCATGGCATCTTGTCCCTTAACCATGATCCAATGAGGAGATCCCAGGACAGCATCCTATCAGCACTTTCACACGAGGAAGTTCCACCAGCGAATGCAGCAGCTGCAGATCACTGCCCCTAACAACACTCCTGTGGAACTGCAGCAGGCAGGATGAGGCACGGTCTCTCCCTATAGACTTGGTTGGAGGGTGCCTGGCAGGTGAGAATAGTCACCTTAGGCTTCCGTGGTCACTCCGGGATGACAAGTCCTAACTGGCTGCGCGGTGGTTCCTGGCTGTCATGGTCCACGCTGTCTCTAGAGAACCTTACCCCCCATTTCGTGATCTTGCTTTCCTGATCCTGCTGGTATGGCCCCACCTGTCTTTGGGCGCCCACCACACCTAGGCAGTGACCCAGCAGGGCCTGTTTATTTTAGACAGGCTCTCGCTATTGCCAGGCTGGTCTCAAGCCCCTGGCCTCATGTGGTCCTCCCACTCCAGCCCCGCCTCCCCGCCAGTAACTACGGGACCTGGTTTTGATCTCGTCATTCGCAGGGCCGGTCCCAGGGTCCCAGCTGACTTGTCGAGAAAGAATCCAGGAGGGCGGTGTTTCCTCCTGAAGGATGGAGGGGCATCTGGAAAGAGGGTTTTGGGAAAGCACTAGATGCTTAGCTTGGCCATAAGCGGTCACTGTTTTTCTGCTCCCTTCTGGGCAAAGTGGACGGCAGGGCTTGGCCGATGGACCGGCCATGAGGGAAAGTTTGTTCCAGAAGCAGCTCAGGCACCCGAAAAACCCTTTCTCCAGAGTGGACACTGGGCCCCATTTACAGGAGTTAAGGATGAGGAGCAATAGGTTAAACCCAAGACAGGCTTCTTTGGCCAGTAAGCATCCTTTCTTGGCCCTAAGGAAGGGTGCGGTTCCCGTTTCTCTGTAAATCGAAGGGCCTAGTTCTTGTTTGCGGCGCCTTTCGTGCATCATTAGGGAGAGAATTTCTCAGAAAAAGGGAAAGACTAATATGTTTTCGCCTCTGACCATCGCCCCAGTTCTGAGGCCTCTGGGCCGTGGCTTCGGACTGCCACCCGGTGGCAGCATTCCCGCTTTACGGCTTTGCCATTCGCGGGTCCCCGGAGCCTTACTGCAAGCCAGGGAGGTGGGCAGCCGACACGCGGCGTCCTAGCTTCCCAGAGCGGCCCGGACGGCGCCTCGGACCCAGACAGTCGGCTGACGTCACTTCCGGATCGGTTCCGATTGGCGGGGAGGGAGGGCCGAACGGGCGAGGTTGGGCTGCCGTGCTGCTCGGCGGCGCTGAGGTGAGTGTGAGCCCGGCGGGGGCGGGCGCGCGGGGCGCAGACCCTCCCGGCGCAGACCCTCCCCTGCGCGTTGCCCCTGTGCCCGGTCCTCTCGCGGTGCTGCAGGCGTGGGTCCGTCCCGCCATCAGCGGCACTTCCTGTTCGAGGGACCCCCCGGACAAGGCCCCGAGTACGGACTGCGCCTCGCCGCTCTCTGCCAGCCCTGGGGTCGCTCCTCACGGGGCTCCTTCCGCTCTCGAGCCCCTGACAACTCCCTTGCCCCACGCGGGGTCCCCTGGACTCCTGCCGCACAGAGCGGCTTCTGCGTCCCGATGCGCTCCAGACCCCTTGGTCCCAGCGGCCCGAGGCTTCCCATCCCGGCTCCCTCCCACGCTCCTCTCCTGTCAGCTTTTCAGGGGCGGGGCTCGTGCGTCTCGCGGTCCTCCCAGCCCTCTGCGAATGCCGCCCCTCCTGCCTTTAGCGTCCGCGCTCCGCCAGTGCTCCTCCCTCTGCTTGTGCCTTCCCTCCGCCCCACCCTCCTCGCTTCTGGCGCTCCAAGGCTTTTCTCCCCGCAGCCAGGCAGCCAGATTTTTGTTTCTCTTCTTTATTTTTTCTTTCTTTTCTTTTCTCTTCTCTTCCTTCTTTCCTTTCTCTCTCTCTTTTTCTGAGACGGAGTCTCGCTCTGTCGCCCAGGCTGGAGTACGATGGCGCGATCTCGGCTCAATGCACCTTCCGCCTCCCGAGTTCAAGGGATTCTCCTGTCTCAGCCTCCCGAATACCTGGGATTACAGGCGCCCGCCACCATGCCCAGCTAATTTTTGTATTTTTAGTAGAGATGGGGTTTAACCATGTTGGCCAGGCTGGTCTCGAACTCCTGACCTCAAGTGATCTGCCCGCCCCAGCCTCCCAGAGTGCTGGGAATACAGGCGTGAGCCACTGCGCCCGGCCTCGTTTTCTTATATCTCTACAAACCTAATACTGTTTTTGTCTCTTAAAAATCTACATATGTATGGCAGAGCACGGTGGCTCACGCCTGCAATCCCAGCACTTTGGGAGGCCAAGGCGCGGGGGGGATCACTAGGTCTGGAGATCGAGACCATCCTGGCTAACCCAGTGAAACCCCGTCTCTACTAAAAAATACAAAAAAATTAGCCGGGCGTGGTAGCGGGCGCCTGTAGTCCCAGCTACTTGGGAGGCTGAGGCAGGAGAATGACGTCAACTCGGGAGGCGGAGCTTGCAGTGAGCCAAGATCCCGCCACTGCTCTCCAGCCTGGGTGATGGAGCAAGACTCCGTCTCAAAAAAAAAAAAAAAAAAAAAAACTACCTATGTATTATACTGTGTATATTCTGTACCTGACAGTTTTTCTCAGCCTTATAACTGTGCTCTATCTCCTTGACATTACTTTCCACCACTCTGACTTTGCTGATGGACGCTGAAGTTTTTTCTTCTTCTACACAGGCACATGGTAACATTTTTGTGTTTCTTTTTGTGTGCATTAGCAAGAGTCTCCATAAAGTACATACTTCGAGTGGGGTTTCCCCACTGAGAGTTTTGCAGGGTTTCAGTTCTACCAGGTAGGGCCAGACATATTTCTAGAGTGTCTACCAGTTTACAGTGTTCTGAACATTTGGTATTATGAAGTATTTTATATTTCCCCAATCTGTGGGGAGAGTCTTGTTTTACTTTACATTTTTTCTTAATTAAAAAATTAGAGATGGGGTTCTCACTATGTTGCTCAGGCTAGAGTGCAGTGGCCACTCGCAGGCGTGATCCCACTACTGATCAGCACAGGAGTTTTGACCTGCCCTGTTTCCCACCTGAGCTGATTCACCCTTCCTTAGGCAATATGGTGGTCTCCTGCTCCCCGGATGTCACCATATTGATGCCGAACTTAGTGGGGACACCCAATTGGCACAGCAGCACTACAGCCCAGAACTCCTAGATTCAAGTGATCCTCCTGCCTCAGCCTTCTGAGTAGCTGGGACTACAGGGTTTGCCAGGTCATATCCTGTGTTCATTTATTAAAAATTGTGACATTTTTCTAATTTAAAAATGTTTTAAATATATTCTGTATATTTATACTTTGTTATGTGTCTGCAAATATCTTTCACTCTGCAGCTTGTCTGCTTGCCTTTTATCTTTGTGGTGTCTTGTACAGAATCCTTTTTCTTTTTTTTTTTTTTTTTTTTTTTGGCAGGGTCTGGCTAAGGCTGGAGTGCAGTGACACCATCTTGGCTCCCTGCAGCCTCCATCTCCCACTCTCAAACGATTCTTCTACCTCAGCCACCTGAGGTTTTGACTGGAACCACAGGCTCACACCACCACGTTGGCTAATTTTTGTAGAGCTGGGGTTTCACCATGTTACCCAGGCTGGTTTCCTACTCCTGAGCTCAAGCAATCTGGCCACCTCGGCCTCCCAAAGCACTGAGATTACAGGTGTGAGCTACCATGCCTGGCCTTTTTTCTTTTTGATGGAATCAAACAATCTTTTTCTTTATAGGCTTTTATTGTTTATTTATTTTTATTTCTATTTATTTTTTTGAGACAGAGTCTTGCTCTGTCACCCAGGCTGGAGTGCAGTGGCGTGATCTTGGCTCACTGCAACCTCCGCCTCCCGGGTTCAAGCGATTCTCCTACTTCAGCCTCCTGAGTAGCTGGGATTACAGGTGCCCGCCACCACGCCCGGCTAATTTTTGTATTTTTAGTAGAGACAGTGTTTCACCATCTTAGCTAGGCTGGTCTTGAACTCTTGACCTTGTGATCCACTCACCTCGGCCTCCCAAAGTGCTGGGATTACAGGCGTGAGTCACCGTGCCCGACCTTTTTTTTTTTTTTTTTTTAATGTTTAGGTCTTCAACCTGCCTGAAGTATATTTGTGTACCACAGAAGGCAGGAAACTAATTTTATTTTCCAATGGAAAACCAGTTGTGCCAATACCATTTATTGTCCTTCTTCATTGCCATTAATATTGCAGGTATATTAACATATCCATAGATGTCTTCCATTATCTTTTTTCCTATACTTAAACTTCACTTTCCATTACCATAGCCTAAGTCTTGATATCTAGTAGGGCACACCCTTGCCTCCTTTGGTTGTTTTTTTGGTATTGCCTTAGCTAATCTTTTTTTTTTTTTTTCTGGAGACGTAGTCTCGCTCTGTCACCCACGATGGAGTGCAGTGGTGTGATCTCGGCTCACTGTAACCTCCGCCTCCCGGGTTCGCGCCATTCTCCTGCCTCAGCCTCCCGAGTAGCTGGGACTACAGGCGCCTGCCACCATGGCCGGGCTAATTTTATATTGTTAGTAGAGATGGGGTTTCACCATGTTAGCCAGGATGGTCTCGATCTGACCTCGTGATCCTCCCGCCTTGGCCTCCCAAAGTGCTGGGATTATAGGCGTGAGCCACTGCGCCTGGCCACACTGCCTTGGCTAATCTTAGATCGTTACTATTTCATGTGATATTTGGAGTCATTTTGGTCAGATATCATGTCCTGTTGAAATGTTTATTATAATTGCACAAAATAAATTTAACTTGGGGATAATTGATATCTTTATGTTATTGAGCCCTCCTATTTAGAAACATTGTCTGTTTCTCCATAGACCTTTCTAAGGTACTTCAATAAAGTTTTATAATGTTGTTCATTACATACATATCTTTTTTTAAGACTTAATGTACTGTATAGTTTTTGTAGCTATTGTGAATGGTCAGTTTTCGGTTGCTGATTGCTGACAAATAGAAGTGGTATTAATTATTCTCTGTTGACCTTGTATATGGCAATGCTGTGGAACTCCTGTCATTCCAACAGTGGATTGATAACTCTTGGATTTTCTATGTAGATTATTTTTATCATTCTCAAAGAATGATGATTTTGTCTTTTTTCTTCTGATCCTTGTAGCTTATATTTCTTTTTTCTGTAACTTACTGCTTTGGCTAGGATGTTGAATAGCAGCAGGGTGAGGGAACGTCCCTCTCTTGTCACTGAATCTACTACAAGTGCTTCTAATGTGTCCTCTTAGTGTTGCGAACACAAACTTGAATGCATGGAACCCCAGGGTCCCTGAGCCACACTCTGAGAACTACTGCTATGCTTCCCAGGGTCAAGTGATCCTCCCACCTCAGCCTCCCAAGTAGCTGGGACTACAGGCATGTGCCACCAATCCGTGCTAATTTTTTTTATTTTTTGTAGAGACAGGCTGAGCTTGAACTCCTGGGTTCAAGCCATCTTCCCGCCTTGGCCTCCCAAAGTATGGGGATTACAGGCATGAGCCAACCACACCTGGCCTTTTGCTCTTTTTTTTTAATCTATTTAAAATGGTTTTATTTTAACCTGGGAGCATAGATTCAAATTGCCCTAAATATACACTCTTTCCTTTTTTGTTCCTGATAACATTTCCTTTTCTACTTTTCCATCTATTTTCTTTTCTTTTTTTTTTTTTTTTTTTTTTTTTTTTTTTTTGAGATAGGCTTTGGTTCTGTCTCTGTCACCCCAGCTGGAGTGCAGTGGTACGATCTTGATTCACTGCAGCTTCTGCCTCCTGGGCTCAAGCGATCCTCCCACCTCAGCCTCCCAAGTAGCTGGGACTACAGGCACATGCCACCATGCCTGGCTAATTTTTGTATTTTTTGTAGAGAGGGGTTTTGCCATGTTGCACAGGCTGGTCTTGAACTCCTGGGCTCAAGAGATCCACCTGCCCTGGCCTCCCAAAGTGCTGGGATTACAGCCGTGAGCCACCGTGCCCGGCCCTCCTTGAGTTACTTTCTTATTCTGTATCTGATTTCTTTTCTTTTGTTTTTTGTTTTTTGTTTTTGGACAGAGTCTCACTCTGTCGCCCAGACTGGAATGTGCAGTGATGTAATCTCAACTCACTGCAACCTCCACCTCCCGAATTCAAGTGATCCTCCTGCCCCAGTCTCCCAAGTTACTGGGATTACAGGTTCACGCCACCATGCCCGGCTAAGTTTTGTTTTGTTTTGTTTTGTGTCGGAGTCTCACTCTGTGGCCAGGCTGGAGTGCAGTGGTGCGATCTCGGCTCACTGTAACCTCTGCCTCCCAGTTTCCAGTGATTCTCCTGCCTCAGCCTCCCGAGTAGCTGGGATTACAGGTGCCCACCACCATGCCCAGCTAATTTTTATATTTTTAGTAGAGACGGGGTTTCACCAAGTTGGCCAGGATGGTCTTGATCTCTTGACCTCGTGATCCACCCGCCTCAGCCTCCCAAAGTGCTGGGATTACAGGCGTGAGCCACTGCGCCCAGCCCCAAGTTGTGTATTTTTTAGGAGAGATGGGGTTTCACCATGTTGGCCAGGCTGGTCTCGAACTCCTGACCTCAAGTGATCCACCCGCCTCGGCCTCCCAAAGTGCTGGGATTATAGACGTGAGCCACAGCCTGCATTTGATTTCTTGCTGAATACTTATTTATTTCAGGCTTTCCTGTTAAAATGAGTCTATTAAGGATGCACAATTTTCTTTAGGTAGGCTTGGTTCTATTTCCACTTTAGTTTCCATTTCTATATGTCTCTGGGGAGAGGGTTACTTTTCATATATTTCTAATATAACAACAATATGGATAGAAATTGTTTTGCCAAATGATATATTCTTTTGGGATTTGTTGAAACTTTCTCTGTTGCTTTGTTTTTTTTGGTAATGTTCAGTATGTTGAAAACAATGTGTGTTCTCTATGTTTTAAGCATGAGATTGTTTACTTGACCCACTTGTTTCTGAGGGAAGTATGTTAAAAATCTCGACTGGTCATGGTGGCTCCTGCCTGTAATCCCAGCACTTTGGGAGGCCAAGGCGGGCAGATCACAAGGTCAGGAGATCAAGACCATCCTGGCCAGCACGGTGAAACTCCGTCTCTACTAAAAATACAAAAAAAATTAAACGCACCTGTGGTCCCAGCTACTTGGGAGGCTGAGGCAGGAGAATGGCGTGAACCCGGGAGGCAGAGCTTGCAGTGAGCCAAGATCGCGCCACTGTACTCTAGCCTGGGCGACAGAGTAAGACTCCGTCTAAAAAAAAAAAAACTCACTCCAGAGGAGGATTTACCAGTTCCTGTTTGGTAGATCCATACTGTTTGTAATTATTACAGCTTTTTGGTGGGCTTTTAGTAATATGCAGTGTTTTATTTTTATTTTTATTTATTTATTTATTTATTTATTTATTTGAGATGGAGTCTCGCTCTGTCGCCCAGGCTGGAGTGCAGTGGTGCGATCTCAGCTCACTGCAAGCTCTGCCTCCCGGTTCACACCATTCTCCTGCCTCAGCCTCCCAAGTAGCTGGGACTATAGGCCCCCGCCACCACGCCCGGCTAATTTTTTTTGTATTTTCGGTAGAGACAGGGTTTCACCGTCAGCCAGGATGGTCTCGATCTCCTGACCTCGCCATCCACCCGCCTCAGCCACCCGAAGTGTTGGGATTTCAGGGGTGAGCAACCACGCCTGGCCAGTAATATGCAGTGTTTTTTTTATTCCTATTAGTGATTTTCGCTTTCTTTGCTTTTCTTTTTTTGGAGATGAAGTCTTGCTCTTGTCCCCCAGGCTGGAGTGCGATGGCGCGATCTCGGCTCACTACAACCTCCGCCTCCCGGGTTCAAGCGATTCTCCTGCCTCAGCCTCCTGAGTAGCTGGGATTACAGGAGCCCGCCACCACGCCCGGCTAATTTTTGTATTTTAGTAGAGACAGGGTTTCACCACATGGTGGCCAGGCTGGTCTCGAACTCCTGACCTCAGGTGATCCACCCGCCTCAGCCTCCCAAAGTGCTGGGATTGCAGGCGTGAGCCACCACACCCGGCCAGTTCTGTTCTTTCTTGACTGTGGTGCTGGTTCCATGGGCTTGTGCAATTTGTCATGGTCCACTGAACTGTGTACTCAGGATTTGTCAACTTTTATGATAAAAATATACTTAAATAAAAAGCTTTAAAGATACAGAAAAGATATATAGCTACCACAGCTTCATTTTAACTAGTGTTTGATCTAATATTAACTAATACTTAGCCTTTCTGTGTTATTTTATTTTAGGCCAAATAGTTGCATCACATGTATCTAATCCGAGAGTCTCATGCTTCTGGTAGGTGAGTCAATCTTATTTTACTTATTTATTTTGAGACAGGGTTTTGCTTTGTTGCCCAGGCTGGAGTGCAGTGGTGCGATCACAGCTCACTGCAGCCTCTACTTCCTGGGCCCAGGTGATCCTCCCACCTCAGCCTCCCAAGTAGCTGGGACTACAGGTGTGTGCCATCACAGCCAGCTAATTTTTTTTTTTTTTTTTTTTTGGTAGCATTAAGGTCTCCCTATGTTGCCCAGGCTTGTCTCAAATTCCTGGGCTCAAGCTGTCCTCCCGCCTCAGCCTCCCAAAGCGCTAGGATTACAGGTGTGAGCCACCGAGCTTGGCCCCTTCTATCATTTTTAATTTTTTCTTCCTTAGCCCTTAACATTTTGTCTTCATTCTTCCATGTAAAGTGAATGAGTATTGTCGTTTTCCTCCTGAATGAGACAGCTTAGCATGCCAGAGCAGGGAGGGGGATAGACGGCCCGAGGGCAGCAGGCAGTAGAGGTGACTGGAGGCTGGGCACTTTGGTGCACTCCTTTAATCCCAGCACTTTGGGAGGCCGAGGCAAGAGGATTGCTTGAGCTCAAGAGTTCAAGACCAGCCTGGGCAAAACCCCATCTGTACAAAAAAATACAAAAATTAGCCAGGTGTGATTGTTGGGGTGATCAGACCCAACACCAGGCCATGGGGGCTATGAAGTCCAGCGGAGTCAAAGGAATGAGAAAAGACAGGTTAAGAGTACTTAAGGTGGGTCCAGGGGGCCAACGCTAGTATGGAGGCTGTGAAGGCACCAAGCTCTGGGAGCCCACACTATTTATTGATGATCGAACAAAGAAGCAGGTGGTGAGGATGTGCGGACATGAGGGTAGACAGGTGAGGACATGAGGACATGGGGATAGAAAGGTAGCGGTGCATCAAGCGTAGCTGTGACGGTTTAGCATTTTCTTTGACACATATGTACTATGCTCTGCTACCTGAGATAATGGAGAACATGTTTATGAGCCTGGGAGAGCAAGAAGCAAGGAACCAACAAGTCTGTGCACATTCCAGAGGCCATGAGGGTTTTGTGCCCTGAGCCCTGGATTCCATCCAAGCCACGAGGGGTTTTGTGCCCTGAGCCCTGGATTCCATCCAAGCCACAAGGGGTTTTGTGCCCTGAGCCCTGGATTCCATCCAAGCCATGAGGGTTTTTATGCCTTGGCTTAGATTATGGAGCGGCAGGGCAGCCTTCCCCCCTTTGGCACAGAGCTTGGTGTTCCAAAGGCCATGAGGGGGTTTGGACCCTGGACCCAGGACGTGTTCCCAGACTCTTTTACATTATGGCAGACAAGCTAGTCCTGCCTCAGCTCTTCCACCAACAGTGGTGGTGCGCGCCTGTAGTCCTAGCTACTCAGGAGGCTGAGGTGAGAGAACTGCTTGAGCTCAGGAGGTCGAGGCTGCAGTGAGCCGAGATCACGCCACTGTCCTCTAGCCTGGGCAACTAAGAGAAACCCTGTCATGTCATTAAAAAAAAAAGAAAGAAAAAAAAGAGGTGGAGCTGGAGAGGGCAGCCCCAGGCAAAGAGTGGAGTCTATGTCCGGGAGGCCAGCTAGCAGTACCCACATTGGGATGGGCAGGGGTGGACCAGTGAGGCAGGCAGGGCTGTTTATGGCAGCACCAAGTAGCCTGAGCTGTGGAAGAAGGGGCCAGACTGGGCCTCCACTTGTTGCGTTCTCTTCCCTCAGCTCCTCAGTGACCAGCTCCTGCTCACTGCCCTCAGAAAGCCCAACCCTCAGGCAATGGCGGCCTTGTTCCTGTCTGCCCCACCCCAGGTGAGTGTCTGTCCTCCTGGGAGGAGTGAAGTTTTTACCCAGGGCTTTCCTTGGCAAACACTGCCAGGTGTCTCTGGTTTGGGATGCTGACATGATGGTAGGGGTGGCCCTGAGACCCCCATGCAGCCACCCCTTGGGATGTATTAGCTGGCTCGGTGGCAGATGGGTCAGGCCACCCACTGTGCTGCTGCCTTTAGCATGCTTCTGCTGCCTCCCCGCCCCTACCAGCCCACTCTGGACCACACCTGGGCTGCAGTAGTCCCTGTCATTCCAGGCCGAGGTGACCTTCGAGGACGTGGCTGTGTACCTCTCCCGGGAGGAATGGGGCCGCCTGGGCCCTGCTCAGAGGGGCCTCTACAGGGACGTGATGCTGGAGACCTACGGGAACCTAGTCTCACTGGGTAAGGCCCTCACCAGAACTCAGCTCTGGGAACAGCCCTGGGGGCTAAGGGCTCAGCAGAGGCTGGGCTAGGGGCCTCACCCCCTGGGCACAGATAGGTGATGACCTTTATCCCAGGCAGGCACCTGATCTGAGAAGATGAGGGGAAGAGCAGTGCTGGGACCTTCCTGAGTCAGCCCTTCCCTTCCCTCTCGCCCCAGGTCCCAGGCAGACCCCTCCCTGGTAGGGCGGGGGACACCGGGGGGGCGGAGTTGCATACCTCCTAGTGGAGGGAACCCCTGAGCTCTCATTCCCTTATGCTCAGGACTGCCCCAGCCCAATCTCAGTGCCCTCCAGAGAGTGTCCAGGCTTCCATCACCCCCTCTGCCTGTGCCTCCCTTACCCTGCAGCCCCAGGGTGAGACAGCACTAGGTGCTGCCCTGTGTCCTTGGTACCAACCCCAGTCCCTGTCTCCTTCCCAGGAGTAGGACCTGCAGGCCCCAAGCCTGGAGTGATCTCGCAGTTGGAGCGAGGGGATGAGCCCTGGGTCCTGGATGTTCAGGGCACCTCTGGGAAAGAGCACCTGAGAGTCAACAGCCCAGGTGCGTGAGGGGATCTGCTCCCCAACTCAAGTCACCGAACGAGCCTTTATTGGGGTCCAGGGTGTCTGATTAATGAATCAGGAGTTTGTGGGCCAGATTCATCGGGGCTAGCACAGGAGGCCTGACAGTGGCCTTTGCTGAAGCCCAGGTGACCCCTCTCAGTCTGGGCACCTTGGTGGGGAGATTATTGAGCAGAATCTCTCCAGGGCAGCATTTCTGTGGAAAATAGGAATGGACATTCCAGGCAAGGTCCCGTGTAGAGGGGAGTGAGTAGGTGCAGAACAGGGGTGCTGTTAGGGTCTGCGGAACCCCACAGAACCCTGCGCTCCAGAGCTGATGCCAGATAATGAGGGCCTAATGATGGAGCTATCATTTAATTCCCCTCTCTTCTAAATTAATACACTGCGGAAAAGTGAGAGACTACACATCACCCTGAATCTCACTACCCAGACATAGTTGTGTTGTAGTATATTTCTGCTATTCCTTTTCTAGCACTGGCCTTTCCACTGTTATGTACTGACACTGCTTTTTTTTTTTTTTTTTTTTGAGACAGGGTCGCCCTCTATCACCCAGGCTGGAGTGCAGTGGTATGATCATGGCTCACTGCAGCCTTGACCTTCTGCACTTAAGCGATCCTCCCATCTCAGCCTCCCGAGTAGCTGGGACCACAGGCATGTCATGTGTCACTCACACTAATTTTTTGATTTTTTTACAGAGACGAGGTTTCACTGTGTTGCCCAGGCTTGTCTCGAACTCCTAGGCTCAAGCGATCCTCTCGCCTTGGCCTTCCAAAGTTCTGGAGTTAAAGTGTGAGCCACTGCCACTGCACCTGGCTCAGATGCTGTTGCTTTTTTATTTTTTGAGACAGAGTCTCGCTCTGTCACCCAGGCTGGAGTGCA